>NC_000011.10:125051212-125354242 GCF_000001405.40 Homo sapiens | reverse complement strand
GAGTCTCAGAGAGCGGCTGGTTCTTGGGGATATGAGCATTCTGAAGGGAAATGCAGCAGTCTCCCCCTAGGAAGCTGGGGTCCATATCTCGAAAAGATAAAGGGAAGAAGTCAGGGGTCCAATGCAAGTTTGCAGAAAGTGCCAGCAGCCAGGCATGCACGGAAGAGCTGTTCCTACAAGGGAGCCCCTCCTAGAAGCCCGAAAGAGTGGGCAGAAGGCCCTCAAATACTAGCATTCTTTGGAGAGAACAGCCTTTCCCCCTAGAGTCAGAAGCCTTTGTTCTGGGGGCATCCCCCAGCTCCCCCATCCCTCCCACTCCACCCCTGCCCTAGCTCCTTTCCCTTAGCCCCACATCCTGCTCGGTTTCCTTGGGAACCAGCTCAGCTTGGGGAAGGCCAATGGCAATTTGGGCATAGCCTAGTGCCTTCATCAAGGCCGTAAAGACCCTGACATCTTGACCTGGTCAGTTCACCATGGACACTGATGCTTCTCATCAGACATTTCACTCATGGATTGCCAGGGTTACAAATAGATGGCAGCTTCCCCAGGGCAAATTATTCCTTTGCTCTAAATATGAAGATTTTAAATGGTGACATTCTGGCGGATCCTCAGAGAGGAGAGCCTTCGGGCAGTGCCTGTGTCTGGCTTCTGTCTGAGACCTTAGATATGGAAGTGGAGACTCCCTTCTTCCTCACAAAGGCTAGAGCAGCTCAGTGGTGACTTCTGGGGGGCTGAGCACCTTAGGGCTGCAGCCCACCTCCATCCATCCCTTGATAGCTGGGATTTATTAATCCAGCTGTATGCTGATCACTAAATTAGGCTTCTGGATCAGCATTCAACACAGGCCCTTGCTGCAGCTCTCCGGCTAATCCCCGCCAAACCAAAACTTCTCCCAGCTCCCCAGGCAGTCAAAACAGGGAGGGGTGGGTGAGAGGGAAGGGGCCACCATCAGTCATGCCAACACAGTGTTCTCTGACCTCTCAGCCCTGCCCTGGTCTGTCCTTGAGTCTTGGGTATGGAGGTGTGGGCCTTGGCAGCTACCACCTGCTAAATACAGGAAGGGTCTCCATCTCTGTTCCCCATTCTTCTGGAGAGAGAATCCAGTCACAAAACAAGTGGAGCCCACGTTCCCACCACTTAATCGATATGTGGGCATCGATGTGTGCTGGCTGAGTGGAATGGGAATGGGTCTGCTGCTATCAAAGAAGGATGATCTTGCCCCTATTCTGGCCCCTAGCTTCTTCTCTCACTTCTTTCTTGGGAGGCAAAAGGTTCCCATCAGTTGAGGGCTCCTTCTGAACTTTGTCTCGGGAGCTGAAACTACAGAGGGAAGGGACTTGACATAGTGTTGGATGCCTGGAAGCTTTCAAATACAAGAGCCATGTAAAGGCCAAGTTCAACCCTGTGGCTTATTAATGGAAGCTACTGGCATGAGCAGAGGGCTCGCTGAGGATGGGGTTAGGCTGGGAGAGCTGGGGAAGTAATATGATTTGATATGTGGGAGCGGGGCCGTAGACATGTGCTCAGAGATTGGTGAAGGACCAGGGCTTTTGGACCTTCAAGGGCAGAGCAAAGGTGTTCCATATGCTGGGTACGCTAGAAAGAAGCCCCACAGCATCTGGTAATCTCCCAGAGGATGACAATGATGTATAAAGCAGCTACTACATGCTCCCACTAGGCTGGAGGCATCAGGGCCATAGTGAGCACAAGCCTGGCATCTGCATCTTAAGACCCCTTTCATGCTGCACAAATCTTCCGTGTGGCCCATGAGAACCACTGTGTTTGAAAATGCCAATGAGTGAGGGATGGCAGAGGAGGGCAGAGAGTGGCTGCTGGAGGAGTGCAGATGGTAGCCTGCCCACAGCACCCAGCGGGCACCTGCTGCACATGGGCGAATTTGTGGATGGACATTCTAGCTGGGTGCATTTCACATCACAGGTGCCCAATAAATAATTATTGAATTCATATTGACAGGAGAGTGTGAAGGGAAGGGTCAGAGAATGAAGGCTTCTGTGAAAGCACAGACACAAAACTCGAAGTTTCCAAAGAACCAAGGGTGGACAAGAGGAGCACCTGGGGGAAGCAAAAAGGAAAAGCGGCTGGTCTAAAGGATGTAGGAGGGCAGCCCCCACAAGCTGGGCAGGCTTCCAGGAGGAGAAGGGCAGGCAGCATGAAGACAGCCAGAAGGCACTGCTGAGGAGGGGCATGTTGCAGGAGAGGCAATCGGGGTGGGGAGCGCAGAAGATCTTGGGGGGCGGCTGTGTCTGATCTGAGGGATGGAAGCTGGGGACCAGAAGGAAAGGGTTGCGGGGTGTGCAGAAAGAATCTTGGCTTTTTAAAAGTAGAAGCCCAGAAGAGTTCTGAAGAGAACAGAGATTCTCCCGACAGGCAGGCAGAGGAGGACAAAAGGGCCCAAGTGACCCGAGAATGGGGGGCCTGGCACTCAGAAACCTCTGAGTGTGAAGTTTCTCAAACACTCAGAGGGCGGTTCCGCTCACATCCGGTACCTGGGTCTCCCCCACTGTGGATTTTGCCCCAGTCACAGCAAAGGGGCTTGGCTGCGCTTGTCTGCTGTCTGATGGATGGGGTGGAGGCCAGGACTGTGGCCACTAATCTAGCTTCCAGTCCTAGCTCCTGGGGTCTGAACCTGGTGACTGCCCTCGGGGTCTGTGTTTGCAGGGCTCTCGCTCCCCAGGCTGACGGGAAAGAGCCCGGAGTGCCACCAGGACGTGATTGCGGGAGGCCTGGCTCTGCCCGTCGGCCCCTGGAATGTCCCAGCCTGCAGCTGGGGCTCTAAGGCCACCACACTCCCTCCCCCGTGGTGGGAGGCAGCGGCCCCTGCGCACTCACCTGTGGGCTGTCCTGGTAGGGTGGGGGCGGGACATTCTGCGTGGCCATCATCGTCAGAGCGGGGGCTGGGGAGGCATGTTGCATCATGGGATTGATTCACATGGAGGACCTGTGGGCAGGAGAAAGGGGGCCGCACCGTTAACACCGCTGAGCAGGCCCGCCCTGGGCACCCAGCAGCTCCCTGTGTCCCCCGCTGGGCCACCTGGGCCGGCTGGATGCGGCAAGGGTTGCACGCCCTTCAGGGCAACAAATGAGAGCTAAGGAAGAGGCCTGGGTGGGGAGGGGCTTGCTGTGCTATTTTGACTTGAAAGAAACAATATTCAAATCATATGTAAAACAACCGGTACCCCTGCAGCGGCGCTTTGTTCAGCATCAGCTCCGGCCTGTTGTACGTGTGGGGAGGGGGCACGAAGAGGGAGGGGGCCTGCCTGGTAGCAGCACCGGGGGACTGGAGGCCATTTGGATACCCCTCCTTCCCCAGGAGGACCCTGAGTTCCAGCCTGATAAGGGTGCTCCTGGCCCCGCTGTTTCCCAGGCTTTCTGGAGCAGCCACAGCGCGCACAGGGGCAGGAGGGCCTCAGGCCAGCTACGGGATTCCAGGGTCCCCAAGCACCAAGCTCGCCCCTCCCCAGGGCTCACCCGTCCTCAGACTGTGAGACGGAGGACGGCCTGGACCCGTCCTCAGACTGTAGCCCCAGGGTGGCTGCCTGGAGGCCTTGGGGAAGGGAAAGAGGCAGGGAATGCCGGTCTACTCCTGTACTTTCCCAGACTCGGGCTTGTGACTATGGGCGTGTCCACAGATGTGCCTGCATATCCTATTAAGGAGGACTTTCCTCAGTCTTGGTTCAGTACGGTCACCGGAATGTGGGGATACCAGAAGAGCTATCAGAGCCAAATGGTCTACCTGCCTCTTTGGCTGGTAGAAGACAGAGGCCAAGGGTGACTTGTGTATGGGAGGGCGGGGGTTGGGGGACTTGTTAGTGAAGCTGGGATGGAAGCAGCACCTCCAGATTCCCAGCTCTGGGCCTGCTCCACTGTTGCCCCCATCATTTCCCCATCACCAATAAGCAGGCGAGCTGCCCCCATGAAGCCTCAAGATTTCCTCTTGAAGTAGGATGTGGTGCCATAAGTGGAGACAGCCCGGCTGTGCCACCCAAGGAAACAGAATGTCCAGAGAGCTGTTGTGCTGCAGTAGATGCTCTGAAATATTTAGATCTAGAAGCCACAGGCTAGTTGCCTGATACAGGGCTGTCCACTGTAGGGTAGGAGGTTGCTAAGAGCCTCTGTGGAGTGCAGGACGTGTTCTTCTCCTGGGTGGAGGGCACTGTTGGTGTAGAAACCTTTGTGAGCACAGCACTCACACCCTCCGTCCCCTCTCCCTGAGGCACCTAGGGCTTCATCCTCTTCCAGCCTGGCCCTTCCCAGGGTCTTCCAAAATGTTCACAGACCTGAATTCTGTGGGAATTTGAGAGTGCTTTGGAGCTGCTGTCATCTAAAGGGGCTGGCCTCCAGGGCTGTGTGTGTGTGTGTGTGTGTGTGTGTGTGTGTGTGTGTGATTCTTTTGGTTCTTTTTCAGGAAGTGGAAGTAAGATCTACTCTGACCTGACCTGAGTCTCCAAGATACCAAGTACGCTTTGACCTTCTGCAAAAAGCACTGGAAAGGCCTGTTTCACTCAATAGATGTCTACCAACCACCAACTCTGTGCAGAGAACAGTGTGGGGAGTGTGGTGGGACAGATGAATGAGGCATGGCTAGGAGAGGGAGGTCATGGTCCTAAAGGAAGGAAGAAAATGAGGTGGAGGTGGGTGGAGAATGCACAGGGAGGGATGGCTCCCCCGGTGCTAAAAATGCCGACTTCAGGCCGGTTCCGTCGGCCTCACCGCCTGTCACTCGCCCCCGCCTGGCCTCCTTCAGAAGACGGACTACCAGGATATCTTCACAACAGCATGCAGGGCCTCGCCCATCTCACACACCGCTGGTCCCTAAGATCCAATTTCCTTTTGCAAAGGGACGCAGGAGGGGGCTTTGGGGGAGCCTCTCTCTTCAGGCAGGGGAACCAAGGCCTCTGTTCACAGCTGGATCTTTGTCTGGGTGGTGGTCAGCATCCCAGAGAGCCAAGAGCAGAGTGAGGATTGCAGAGGGAAAAAGGTGGGGGTGGGGTAAGATATAGACTTTTTGAGACATCAGAAGGAACTTCCAGAATTAAGACTTTTGAGATATTAAAGTGGGTGGAATTTCTCTTTTTTGGACCCTGACAAAATAAAGGAAATAGGAATGTTTCAGGGGCCTATTAAACATAGCCTTCCCTGGAACTCTGGCAGAGAAGGCAACTTTGGATAGGGCCCAAGGGCCAGGATGGTGGAATCTCTTCCCGGGAGCATCGATCACAGATGCTCGTCCGCCAGGAAAAAAGTGAAGGGCCATAGCACTGTAGTGCCTGCAGCCTCCAGAAGAGGGAGCCTGGGGGCAGAGTCAGGGTGGGAGCCGCCTCAGGAAGGAGGGCTTTCTCCCCCTCTTAGGGGCAACTAGTTCTCTTTAACCTCGGGCTTGGGTCTTTTGGTAACCTCATTCCATGGATTAGAAGGTCATAATGAAGGCAAAACAAAGGAAGCTCAACGAGGAGGGCATAGGCTACAGAGAGGCGCCTTTCATTCACATTCTTTTGTTCACTGTCCAGTGAATGGAAGGCAGGGTCATTTTAGAGGCGCTGTCCCCAGAAATATTTGTAGCAGCAGGAGGGCTGCCCTGTGTGGGGTTAAGGAGGGGAGGTTAAGAGTAGCCTGTGCCCAGAGACAACCGCCCATGAGGCTGAGAGGAGACTGTTCAGTCCTGAGCCCACCAGGCTGCGGAGCAGGGCCAGACCCGCGTCGAAAGAAGACACAGGAACAATATTCTGAGGACCCAGATGGCCCTGGCCCCTCCCCCTCCTTGGGGTCACCACAGGCCACTAGGCCACTGCCCCATTACCCTCTGGGGGCTTCTCCTGCAAGAGAACAGGAGGCCTTTTCATTAGAGGCTTAAGTTTCCTTCTCTGCTTGCTCAGGCACAGAAGCCTCCGGCAACTTGACACTCCGGGAGCTCAGCTGCTGGAGACCCTGCACCCGTGTCCGGAAGCTGGCTCTTTTCCTCACACCTCTCCACCCACACGTGCACTTCCCCGGTTCCTGAGGGGCCACGTGCAACCATCCTGGAGAGGAATTTGGGGATCTGACTCGCCTTATCTGTGACTTGGCTGGGACTTTGCAGTGGGGTGTGGGGGAACTCTTTGAGCCACAGCGGGGGTCCTGGCCCTTTGGGGGAAGCCTGCCCTTTTTGCATTTTCTTTGGGAGAGGGAGGGGAGCAGCAGGCCTGAGCCCCTGCAAACCTAGCCCCGGGCTTCAGAGCTTTTGTCACGGATTCTGAGAGGCTGCTTGGCCCTGTCCAGAGGCCCCAGTGCTCTGTCACCAGACACCTGGGCATTCAAGGGGGCACAGTCAAGACTGCAAGTGGAGGACAGATGAGGAGCATCTCCCATGGAGAGATTTCCCATCGCGAACAGGCTCACAGGGAAAGGTTGCTTTTTGATTTGTTTTGTTTTGTTTTGTTCAGTGCTGAAAACCTTTATGATATGACATCTAGGAGGGAAAAATTCTATTGCAACACTTGACCCCACAATGACATCCAAGAAGAAATCATTTGTGTCTCTGATATCATCAGAAGAAACTAAAATGTCATTTTAGAGAGCCCAGGAGCCACCGAGGCAGGATCAGTGGATGCAAAGTCATAAAAGCACACCCCTTTAGGAAATGGGATGGGCAGTCCTGGGCACCCACCTCCCTCAGCCTCCTCAACCCATGCTCCCCACAGCCCTGCACCACCAGGTCGGCAGTCTGGAGCCCCAAATCCAGTGTGCTGACAAACAGGCTCAGAAAAAAAATACCAAGCTCATTAGGAAGGAGCTCATTAGGACTTGTTGACATGAAACCCATTAGACCAATTAACATTCCATTAATGGCCTGGGGCACAAAGGGGTTAATGCTGCCAGGCAGTAATTGGGCCAGTGTGCCGGGGTTGGGGGCTCAGGGCCTTAAGGATGAGACACAAAGTCTAATTGGGAACTCTCTGGCCAGCTGGCCTGACAGCATTTGTTCCTGGCCCCTGACCCTAGCTGAGACAAATTGATGGGGGATAGGGAAAGTAGGGCCAGCTCGCTTGGCCCCTCACTGTCCCACCCACCTGCCCCAAACTGGAGACGGGGCCCATGGCTGGCACAAGGACAAGGGTGAGGGGACACTCCCACCCTCCTGGACTCTGACAGTCCTGTTTTCTTCCTTCACGCCATTCCGCCCACTCCCTCTGGTCAAGTGTCTTTCTCAGCCCCGGGGAAGTGAGTCCCTTCTCTCCAGGAATTGCTTTGCAGTGATGTTACCCTCTTAGAAGAACTCTTTGGAGAAGCTAGAAGCCTTCAGGCCCAGAGCCCCGTTCATCTGAAGAGTGCTGGAGTTCAGAGAGAGGGATAGAGGGGACGGTGGCCCTGGGTCTGCCTGTCTTCTGGCCCCTGACCTCCTCCCCTCCTTCCTCCCTTCCTTCCCCCCTTCCATCCTCCTTTCCTTCCTCCCTTCCTGTCCCTTCTTCCCTCCCTCCTTCCTCCCTTCCTTCCTTCCTTCCATAGCAGCTAAGAGGCAGTCATGAGGGCCGCTAGGAATGCTTCTTGTCTGTCCTCCGACACATACAAGCAGCATGTTCATGATTTTCCTTCCCTTGAGACAGGTAGGGGCTGTGGAAGTCACATCCTCTGTCTGGGTCTCAATTTCCCCATCTGTAAACTTTGGGATTGGATGAGGGAATTCACAGGGCCACCCCTCAGTTCTCAGTTCCCATGATCTAAGCCTGGCCTTGGGGTAAAAAAAATTCTGGATTCCACATCCAGTAGAATCTACCACTTATTCTGTAATCTGTACAAGTCACTTTCCCTCTCGGACTGCAGAATGAAGGGATTTCCCCAGAACATTCGGGAAGCCTTTGCCCAGGATTTGCACTGCACACATGCTTGTTGAATGGAACGGAAAGGGTTGGATTGTAGCTTCTTTCTAAAGGCCAGCCAGCACCGGACTTCTCTTCCTCCCATCTAGTTGGAGAGTGGGAAGGAGGCCCCTGAGGTCAGCGAGCCAGGAGCTGTCAATCCCTTCAGCCCAGACGCCCCCAGGTTACCCCTCCACCCCCACCCCCAAGCCGTCCCCTCTGAGCAGCTGCCCAGGCCTGGGTTCTGACGTCTAGACAGATTTGCAGGAGGCTGAAATAACACAGTGAACTCAGCAGGAGGGACCGAAAAGCTGCATTAGTAACCTGGCTGGCTTCAACATCTCCCTCTGGGGCAGCCTCCTCAACCCTGGCGCAATCCGTCTCTTTTTCCCTCAGCCCCAACGCCGCGTCCAAAATGATCTTCTCTGGCCCAGCTCCCTTCCCAGAAGTGGCCTGTAGGTGGCGTCGCAGGGCCCGCTTTAATTGCATTATATAATATAACCTGTTTACTAAATCATGTAATCAGTCGCCTTAGGATTTGCAGCTTGGGATGTGTATGGAGAATTGGACTTTGAGTCAAATTTAAAAACAAATAAAAATGAGAGGCAGCTGTTGCTGATAGTGTGATATTCATCTTTTGGAAACAAATTCACCCCAGTGCTATAAATTATGCCTGGAAAAAAAAAGTGTTGCTGGTAGAACGGAGTTGGCTAGGTCTGCTCTGCTGGCAACTCATAGCGATGAATCTTGAAATAACGGTGTCAACCTGTCACTGATTTCATGTGACTCTGTGGATTTATCTAAAGAAGCAAAGGCGTGTGGGTGCACGCGAGCACACACACATAGAAACACACACATGCACCAGGTCTCTCTGCAAAACCCAGTAAGGGCTAGAAGTGACAAGCTGGAGGCGGGGTGTCTGCCAGAGCTTGGTGGTCCCTGAGGCTTGGTGGATGGGGTTGGCACCGAGAACTGAGCAGTGACAAGGGTGAGGTCAATTTGTGGTGGCAGAGGAGGACAGAATGGAGAGAGAGGATGCACCATGGGCTGGGAGGCTTGACCATGTGAGCAGGGGTTTGTCACCTCCAAATCAGTTGTTGTGTTGAAATGTTTCAAAAAGAGGGAGAAGTGGATGCTCCTGGAGGGGAGGACTAAGGAATTTGGGAAGAGGGGCAAGCTCCCCAGAGCCCGCCCCACCTTACAGCACAGCAAACACCCTCGCCTGCCTCTTCACCCCAGGGACTGTGGGTGCTGAAAGGAAGCTGGGGACCCTGAGGATTCAGGCAGCAGGAATGTGGGGCTGAGTGGGTGCTGCTCTCTGCCTGTCTTTCTGATCCTAGGCTGATGGGGGGAAATGGAGATCCTCCAGTCTGCTGAGGTCAGGCTTGGAGTGGGGCCTGGGAGCCAGGGAGGGAGTTTGTACATATCTATGTTACTGAAGGAGGGACAGGTGCAGAGGAACTGAGTGGGATTTGCACTCAGGTCTCACATCCTTGTTCACTCTGTGTCCTGAAGGCCAGCTAAGAGGTCAAAAATAAGCCGCGACTCCACAATGACCCAGGTCCCAGGGCACACCGCACCCAGCACAGAGCCCAAGTCCTTGCAGAATGTCACAGCCAGAACACCTGCTTCCCTACTGCCCCTCCGGGTCCTCCTTGGAATACTCAGTGGGGAGGCAAAGATGACAACCAAGACAAGCAGACGCTTTGGCCACCCATAGCTCTCCATACTAATTGTCATTTGCTGCCCTTCTGGGAAGCCAACTTGGGAGGTGGTGCCAGGTCATGCCCTAATATCACGATGCTGGTGTCCAGGGAACAGAGTGGGGACAGAGCAGAAGCCAGCATGAGCTTTGGCTAGGACTGCCTGCTTCTGACTCCCTAAGAGATGTGCAGATCTCTCTCCCTCAATCCTCCTTCAGCCCTTAAATGCCACATGGAGTGAATGCTTTGGAAATGGTAAGAGCCTTCTGTGAGACCAGAAAACCCAGAGACCCTTCCCATCCAACCCCCAATTTCCATCCCAAGGAGCGTGGCCTCCCCCTAATGGCCTGTGGCCCTACTTCCGAGGGCCTAAACCTCCTCTCCCGTCTCCACTCCCAAGACCATTTTACTGTTTGTTCTTTATTTGGAGTAACAATATGTCCTCACTGTGGTCGGGCCAACAGATCACTTATGCACTCACTGACCCCAGCCTAGAGATGAGCAGAAGCTTACATTAGAGACCCACCCTGGAGGAGAGGGTGCCGGGTCCCTCTGTGTCCATGGTTCACTATGGGGAGGATTAGTGGGCACACAAGCAGCATGATAAAGCAGTGTCTGGGGACAGGCCCCAGCACTGGGTCCATCACCCTCCTCAGCCGCTCCCTCCTCCATGGACAGGACTTGCCTTCCTTGAACTCCAGCCCGACCAGGTTTCCCAGAGAGGAGCCCCACCGTCCTGCCCTTTGCTGACAGCCATGCCGCTCTGACTCACACAGAAGCCAGAGTTCCAGGCCTGCAGTCTCTCCTCCTTGAGTCCCCAGTTCAGCTATTTTTTTTAACTGGGCTTCACAACACGGAGCAGGAGAGTCAGACGAGCAACACCCGCCCTGCTCCCGCGCCCTCTTCGTGGTCTTGCTCCCGCCTCTCCACACCGGGAACAAGAGTGCTGGAGCCCCACCGCCCTCCCTGCCTCGCTGTCACACCTTTTCTGGCTTCAAAAAGCTGCTGATATATTTTACAAACTGAAACAGCAATTTAATTCCCCCTGATAGCGGCAATTGTCCATTAGATCTTCCTACCGAGGAGCTTAACAATAATTCCTTTCATCCAACTGCTTGCTTCTTCTTGATCTGAGAATCAATCCCATAAATAGCAGGCAAGAGTTCTCACATTACTCTCCCCTCCAGCTTTTAGCATTTTGATGAAGATTCTCATCTCCTCTTTAAGCACTTTACAACTTGGCAATTTTTCCCCCTTTGGTTCCTTTAAACAAAATAAAACAAAAAACAGAAAAAAAAAAGCATGCTGGCTGGAAGGGGGAGCACAGCCCTTGCATTCTGCTCACGGAAGTGGTGTGCGCTTTTTCCTACCTGGAGGCAGGGGGATGGCTGCAGTGACCTGCGGTGGGTCCTGTCTGCTGGAAAGTGGGTGCTGCTCTGCCCCAGAGGCCATGACTATTGTGTCCCCAAAACTCACACTCACCACACCTGGGTCCCGCTTTTGCCAGTGATGTTCAACTTAGGGTACCTCTCCCATTCCAGGAGCCCCTCCCCCTATTGTTCACCCCCAGGAATGGAGGCAGGAGGGAGGCCACAGCTGCTGCCCTGGGGTGCTCTGAGCCAACTCCCTCCCCCAGCCTGTGGCCCCCTTGGAACCTTCTAACCTAGAGAGCGGATTCTGCCCTTTTGTTTTCCTCTCCAGCCCCTCCATCTCTAGCCAAACAACAAGAGTGGGAGAGGTGGGGAGGCCCAGGGAAAGAAGAGAGCTTGAGGCCTTTTATTCAATTATTTTCCTTTTTTTTTTCAACATGCAAGCAGCTCCAGGGATCGGGACAGTGGAGAGCCCTCCAGCTCCTCCACGGTGGTGGCTAGGGTGGAGTGTCAGGGCACCTGGGAGCCCCGGCCCGCCCCTCCCCCAGAGACACTATCATGTGCTCTCTCGTCTGCACACACTCACAGAGAAACAGATCTGAAAATGAACCTGGGACTGAAGTCCCCCTCGACAAACCTGATTCCCAGGTTTATTATTATTTGTCAAGAGCTGACAGCAGCCGCTCAGGCACTGAGCTGAGAAAACAACACAGGCCGGGCCCCTGAGACCCACAACTCAACAGAGACAGACAAACAGCTCCAGCGCTGGGATCCCAGGTGGAAAAGCGCAGAGCCACCTCCGGCAGCCCTCTCGGGCTCCCACCCTTTCATAAGTCTCTCTTCTCTGAGGCAGTCAGGAGGGCCCTGACGCTCACTGGGAGCTGGGGGGAGGAGGAAAGCAGGCATGGGGACCATGTAAGGTGTGAGTAGGGTGGCCGGAGCAGGGGCTGGTGGGGGAAGGAGGGCATGGAGGCGAGGGACCCTGAAGCCTACGCATTCCACCTCTGGTGCAACCTCAGATTCTCCTGGAGCCAGCGGAGCTAAAAGGGTCAGCCAGGCCCCTTTTCTCTCTGAGGACTGTACTGTGTCCTCTGGCTAGATGATACCTTGTTCCAAATTTTAAAACTTGCCTTTAGGAAAAAAAAAAAAAAGTCAAGAGTCAGAGTTGTGGAAGCAAGTGGCTCTGTGCATTCAATTTATCATTGAAAAGCCACTAGTTCCTGAGACGCTCATACCCAGCCAACGTGTGCCCTTCCTGCACCTTCCTGGTGGCCCAGGCAGAGCTCACAAGAAACAAGAGCTCTAAATAGAGCCCATGGCAATGGGATCGGCTAGAGGAGGAAAGGCTGCCCAGCCAGGCTGCCCCACCCTTGGTCCTCACCACCCCCTTGGAAGGAGGGCGGGTACACTGGCTCTGTGTTCCTGAGCTTCAGGAAAGCCAGCCCTGGGGAAGGGAAGATGACAGCCATGATGCGAGAGGACGTGGCGCGGCCACACAGACTCGCACCCCAGCAGATACTCCCTCCGTCGCCCAACCTAAGATGCTCTCGTGCCTTTTGCTGTGTTTCTTGTCCGCTACCAAGGTGTTCTGTATTTCACAGCCATGCCGTTCCCTTCATCAACACTTGGCTCCAAAGCCTACTGTTCCATGAAGCCTTTCTTCCCCTTCCACTCCAGGACTACACGTGGGAAATCAAGGCGGGAATAATCATCATGCATGTTTCTGTGTTATGGAAAATCTGCTCCTCACCCGCATGTCCCATCTTGCCCACTGGCCCCTGTTCCCCCCAGCAGACAAGATCATGGCTCTGCCTTGCATGTTCACTGGGGGAGAAGGGGCAGCCTATACAATATGACTGCACAAAGTCTACCTCCTTATGGAGCCTCAATATATATACATGGTTATAGTTTAATTTCTTTGGCTTAACTCCTTTTTTTCTTTCCTTTTTTTTTTTTTGAGACGGAATCTTGCTCTGTCACCAAGCTGGAGTGCAGTGCAGTGGCACGATCTCGGCTTACTGCAACCTCTGCCTCCCGGGTTCAAGCGATTCTCCTGCCCCAGCCTCCCGAGTAGCTGGGACTACAGGCGTGCACCACCACACCCAGCTAATTTTTGTATTTTTAGTAAAGAGGGGTTTCACCATGCTGGCCAGGCTGGTCTCGGTCTCTTGATGTGATCTGCCTGCCTCGGCCTTCCAAAGTTCTGGGATTATAGACATTAGTCACTGTGCCTGGCCGGCTTACTTTTTTTTTTTTTTTTTTTTTTTGAGATGGAGTCTTACTCTGTCACCCAGGCTGGAGTGCAGTGGTGTGATCTTGGCTCACTGCAACCTCTGCCTTCCGGGTTCAAGCGATTCTCCCACCTCAGTCTCCGGAGTATCTGGGACTACAGGTGCCTGCCACCACGCCTGGCTAATTTTTGTATTTTTAGTAGAGATGGAGTTTCACCATGTTGACCAGGCTGGTCTCAAACTCCTGGCCTTGTGATCCACCCACTTCGGCCTCCCAAAGTGCTGGGATTACGGGCGTGAGCCACCGCGCCTGGCCTGGCTTGCTCTTAAAATGTAAAACAAGCCAATCCAAGAAGCATAACCCTTTGAGTCCCAGCAGCCATTTACACAACAGTGAGAATAAGTTGGTTAGTTTCTGGAGCCAATTTGGATGTGGGTGAGATGATAATATAGAATTAATAACAACTGCCACTTACTGAGCCGTCCCTGTGCCCCAGGCATGACACTAACAGTAGATACGGGTCACCTGGTCTCTTTTCCTTAACAACCAGATGGTGTCGGCATTACGGTTGTTCCCATTCGTGGGTGAGCAAACCGGGGCTTTGAGGAAGTTTCCAGATGTTACACACAGTCTGATCCCAGAGTCTGCAGGTTTAACTGGAAGTCTCAGGGTGAGGGCAGGAAATAGCAGGGAAGGACTGAGACTCCTAGAAACTGGAGAAGTGCAGAAAAGGTGAGGCTGATTATAAAACCAAGCTGCCAGTTTAGAGTTGGGCCCTCGAATACTGGCTGTCCTTTGACTTTCCTATGCCCTGATTTTCCAAGCATCATGTTATACTGACACCACTAAATGTCTTCTGTGTTGCCGAGCCTGGGCTTTTGTACATCAGTTAATGGACACACACTCTGTGCCTTCCCACGGTAGGGAAGTTCCTTCCATCAGCCCTGTCATCCTGCTACAGCAGTGTGTGTACACATTTTGTTAAATATTTCATTGCATTTTGCTCTTATTATTTTATAAAAATGAGCAGGAGATGGGAAAATGAAAGTGCTGATCCCAGCGATAAGAAGTAGGGGTCTCATAAACATAATACGACTGAGACGAAGATGGAAAACGTTAAGCGAGCTGAAAGCGGCAAATCTTGAGTCTTCATCGTGGACTCATTGGACTGTGTGTTCAATTAGGAGGAGAAGGAACAAAATTAAAGAACACAAAATGATGGAAATGTATGGCTGAAGACTGCATCTCAAAGGCGATGTATAATTGGAATCTGATAATGTGTCGTAGCTGTCTGGGAGCAGAGCTCCGGGAACGCATGGGGCACATACGAAAGCCAGGCTGTCTGTGCCTCACCCTGCTCTTGGCGGCTCTGGGGCCAGGGCTCTGAATCACATTACTGGGATTCTGTCAGTGTCTCTGTCTTGTCATACTGGACTGAGGGGCCCTGCTGGGGCCCAGGAGGAGTGAAGTGGGGTAGAAGGGGGCATGCAGTCAGCCTGCTCTCTGTGACGGTCTCCACTTGGCCTTTCCCCACACACCCTTGGCTTTCCAGGGACCACCCACAGCTGTAAAGAAGTCCCTGTTCTGGAATGAAATCTGTCCATGACGCACAGGCTAAGAGGCAGCTGGCTGTATCTTGGGAAAGCGTGTCCAGTGGAGCAGTATTAGTGTTTTCAAGTCAGGGCACCCCATCGTTAGGGAGCATCCCCTCTCTTGTCATATCTCCCTGAGTCCAAGATTGCCAAAGAAGCCCCTTCCTGTTCACTTCAGAGTCTTCTCTTCCGCTCTCAGCCCAGAGAGATTCCAGGCAGCAGTCTGAATGGGCAGCCAGTGAGCCAGCAGCAGGGTTATTACCCACATCCTCTGAGGCAGGCAGCTATTAAACAGAAGTGCGAGGACGGAGCTGTGTTCTACCTCCCACTGGCTCGGGTTGTTCTCTGCCAGGTCCCGTCCCCTTCAACCTCCAGCCTTGGAAAGGGGCTATGGTTTTCTGGCTCCTAAGAGGGAAAACTTTAGTCATGTGCTGGCCCTTTCAGCTGCTCTCAGACACAGAGGAGGAGTGTTTCATATTAGCAGCAGAGTCTTTGAATACTAGGAATGGGTCTGAAAATTATAACTCGCAGTGAAGCTTAATTCTGACTTGCGCAACGCAACCCATTTCCTATCATTATGGTCTGGGTGGAAAGAAAGAGTCCTGCCTTTAGCACAGAATCCTTGTAGTCTCGATGTTCAAGATCATGCCTTCACTTTGCCCTCTTCTTTCTCCAGTGAGATGGACATCATCTCTCATGCTAGGGCAAGGACCAGGGAGTGGAAGAAGAGGAGGAGAAGAAGGCAATTTTGCACAGTGGACTCTGGTCCTCAGGGACCAATTAGGATGCTTAGAACGGTTACTAATCCCCTGGGATCTGAGCATTTGTTAGTCTGGGTCTTCCAGGGTCAAGCCTGTCCAGGGAAAAGGAACAAAGTGTCTCTACTTCCAGATCAGGAGGTTCTGTCCAGAGTAGGTTGATCGGAGCAGGCAGGGTGCTGCATGTGAGATGTCTGCTCCCAGAGCCAGGCTCTGGGATGGGAAGGAGAAGGAAACGGGGCTACTCTTCTAAGATGACTCCCCAAGGGCACAAGTTTGCCTGGGGCTGGGGACGATCCTTGCTGTCTTCAGCCCCCCTCGGAGCTTTCTTCTCTGTTTAGGGCCTGGCTGTCTCCAGTGAGAGCCTGTGCTTTGTGGCACTGGGAAGAGCAGTCTGCTGTCTCTTTGTCCTGCAGTTCATAAACGTGAGAAAAAGAGCTCACTTAATGAGGCACTTGCCACGGTCAGGGATGATTTCACTAGCAGAAGCTGTGTGTGTGTGAGCTGGGGAAGTGTGGGGAGTAGGGAAGATGGGCAGAGGGAGACAGGGAGGTGAGGAAGCCCATTTCAGAATGATGGGGAAGGTCAGGCAGAGAGCTCCCCAAGGGGGACAGAGAGCGGATGCTGGGGAGATGGAGGGTCCAAAGGAGCTGTCCACAGTGAGAAGCCAGCTGCTGCGGCTGACCTGAAACCCAGCCTCAGCCTTTTCTTCACTCCTCAGGAAATGAACGCTTCTTCTCCAATTCTGGAAGCAGTGGGAACTCCAGGCACTAGGGCAGACTGTCAGACAACCAACAGAGGTGGAAGGGTCCTGAGTCATCATGAGGTCTGACTTCTTCCCGAGACAAATAAGGAAACTTGCCCAAGTCCATGCAGCAAGTTGGAGATAGGGCCCTAATTAGAACCCAGGTCCCAAGTAGCAAATCCAGGCCTCATTTACTGAGCACCTATTCTGTGTCAGGCACTGTGCAGGGCAATGGATGTCCCAGAAGGAGAAAACAGACGACAAAGGAAAAGAAATGAAGTCGTAGCAAAATGGAGATTTCCCTGTGCTGAAGCAGACAGGTGACTTCAGACTTAAAAGATCCCAGCGCTAAGAAAGGAGAACAGAAAGCAAACTTCAAGCCCCAACACATGGTGGTGAAATCAGAACTTTAATGGGAAAAGAAGAGAGAACCACATGTTCCCATGGATCCTCATTGCAAGATCGGAAACAAGGAGATGGTGCAGCCATGTCAGCAAGTTCTAGGAGAAAAAGGTTTTGAACCTGGGATTCTGAGCGCAGTCCGATTATCAGTCAAGTATGAAGACAAAGCCAGTGTTGGACATGTGAGAACTTGGAGTTTATTTCCCACTCGTTGATATAAAAAATAACTAGAGGTTGTAGCCCAGCAAACGAAGAAATCCGAAGAGGCGGAGAACACTGAACAAGAAAGAGTGGCTGCTCAGGGCACCAGTCATGACACCACAGGGCTCAGAAGGTTCTTCCACAGCAGCCACGTTGTAACGACCCTTCCACAGGCCATTCACACTGCTTAGTTCTGTGGTTGAATATATTGCCATGCCCACAGTGGTTTTAATGCTTTTAAACAGATTTCCATCTTATAATCACCTATAGAATGCAGAGGTAAACTACAGCAATGTAACAGTATAAATCTTCTAAATCTTAACAATGTAAAAATCATAGATAACTTATTATTATGCAAAATATAATATGTAGTACTATATACAGTATATTATATACAGTATAAAAGTATATGGCATACTATAGATCCTATATATCATATATAATTATATATTATAGTACACAGCATACATATGTATTATAGTACATAGCACATAATATACCTCATATGATTATATATACTAACATATAATATTACATATTATATAATGTATATTATACTATTATATGTGATTTTAAAATACTGCATATATTATATAGTATACTATATAATATAGTGTATAGTATTATATATTATATATCATGTAGTATACAGTATTATGTATGATATATAATGCTATATACTATATTATATAGAGAATATACTACAGAGTATACATTACATATTATATATAATATGTAGTGCTACACTATATAATACATAATCTTTATAGTATCTATAATGCTATATGGTATGTGTTATTTAGTCTATTACTATTATGTTACATTATTAAGATTTAGAAGATTTATACTTATATTAATATATAGGATATATTATATATGGTGTATATATGTTATATAGTACATATAATGCTATGAACTAAAAATAGATAATATCAAATGTAATTTGATAAAAACTTATCAAAGTAATACAAATTGGAGGGGAAGGATGTGTGCTAATTTCCTCAACTTTCATAGCAGACAGTTAATAGATAAATAGATAAACTGAGAAAAAAGGGCTGAAGCATATTATCTAATATAATAAATGTTGGCCATCAAATAACTAAGGCCAGAAGCTGTTGTGGTTGACTTTGGATCATGAGCCTTGTGGGGAGAGGTGAGGGTAGGAAGGGAGAGTTTTTATTTTGTATCTTTTACACTGTTTGCTTTTTCCTCTCACACATACTTCTAATTTAAAAAATAACTACAATAAATAAATAATTATGCATCTATATAATAGAAAACTATGCAGCAGTTAAAAGTAATGGAGTAGATCTATTTGTTTTGACCCAGAAAGCTATCAATCATATAACCTATGTTTAAAAAGCAAGTTTTTAGAACAATATTTAAAACATAACATTTAACTGTGTTATAATAAACAGCAAAACCGGTAACATGTAGTCCCTACCTTCAAGGAGCTTTCTGACCACGCACCCACTTCCATGTCCTCTGCCCTGGGCCATCTGGCCTGCTTGGGACCTCTTCCCTTTGCAAGATGCATGCCTCTTATTTGCTTGCTTGTTTGTTTTTTAGAGACAGGAGTCTCCCTCTGTCACCCAGGCTGGAGTACAGTGGAGCAATCATAGCTCACTGCAGCCTCAACCTACTGGCCTCAAGCAATCCTCCCTCCTCAGCCTCCTGAGTAGCTGGAACTACAGGTGTGCATCACCATGCCTGGCTAATTTTTTAAAATTAATACCTCTTTTTGCAGTAGATAAGAACTATTTTGTGCATATTTCAAGTAACAACTCTAAGTTCTTGACTATAAGTGCTCAGTCCAAAGACTGGCCTGGATGAAACTGCACAAGAGATGAACAGCTTTCTACACAAATATCTCGTGGAGGGAAGCAGAGAGGGGAGTGAGAATCCAAGGACTACAGGATGTCAGGCCTGAAAGACTCCTCGGAGAGCCTCTAGTCCTCCTCCCTCATTCACAGAGAAGGAACACATGTGGGGCCCAGAGAGGGGCAGTGGCCAATAAAAGGTCATGCGGTTGGATTATGATGTCCAGAAAAGACAGAACTGGGCTTTGTGAACAGCCAGAGTCAGGAAACAGCAGACAAGCTGAAGGCTGACCTGGGAGCCTGAAACCATGGCCTGCAGAGAGAGAATCCTACAGGGAGTTCAGAGGGGGCCCGTTCAGGAGCTGCTCAGAATGCAGACGGCTTGACTTTGAGGGGAGGCCTGCACAAATCAGACCACATCGCCCTTCCCTAGTGTCCATGGTAGTGGGAAAGAAGCAGTTTTAATAAAGTAGAAGGTGCCGCTTTGGGGCTCAAGGGGAGGGGCTTGCACAGGAACTGGCATTTTCTGAGCATTTCTGATGCACCAGACATTGTGTGAGGTGCATTCTTGTGCATTCTCTCATTTAATCTGCACAGAAGCCCCATGAGGTAAATATGATTACCACAATTACAGAAAGACAATGATGGTAAGAAAACTTAAGTGTCTGGGCGCAGTGGCTCATGCCTGTAATCACAGCACTTTGGGAGGCCGAGGCAGGCAGATTACTTGGACTCAGGAGTTAGAGACCAGGCTGGAGAACATGGGAAAACACTATCTCTTTAAAAAAAAAAATACAAAAATCAGTCCAGCATGGAGGTGTGCACCTGTTGCCCCAGCTACTCAGGAGACTGAGGCAGGAGGATCACTTGGGCCTGGAAGGCAGAGGTTGCAGTGAGCTGAGACTGTGCCACTGCACTCTAGCCTGGGTGACAGAGTGAGACCCTGTCTCAAAAAAATGAAAAGAAAAAAAAAAAAAAACGAAAACTTAAGTTACGTAACTTGCCCCAAATCTCACAGGCAGCAAATGGCAGAGCTAGAATTGGAGTCTAGGTTGGTCTGGTTCCAAAGCCTAAGTTTCCTCAAGGAACCAGAGGACTCCAATAACTACGTGTTCACCAACTGAGAAGAGGAGATATGTCTCTCCTAAATGGGGATAAAACAAATGCTGTTCCCTTCCTGAACCCTGAGTATGGAATCAGCTCCTTTACCCAATCCATGACTATCCAGGCACACTGGCTGGCTCTTGAGAACTAAGGTTTATGTTTGCCCAACAGGACTTTGAAAATCCCCACCTCAGAGGATATCAGCATTTGGGGCTCCCTTTCTCCCTAGCAGAGTTCCTACAGTACCAGGCTCAGAAGAAGATGGGCTAGGACCTAGCATGAGTGCAGGGAAGAGAAGGAGCTGGAGTCCAGAACTCTTGATTTCCAAGGTTTCAGTCCCGAATCTGTCCTGTACCAACCTCAAAGGCATATGACCTGCTCTTGCCACCCCTCAGACACTGGCCCCCAGCCTCCTCCTATGTCTTCCTAGGCACCTCTGCCTCCACTGAGCCCTGACTCTGGGGGAGGCAGGCAGGCCCAGGAGAGTATATATGTCAGTTAGGGTTTGTCGTTTACACGTGGAGATCATTAACGAGACTTATTTTTAAATTGTAATTGCAAAATGTAAATGCTCCCCAAACCGATGTGTAATTGCTACCCCCTCCACCCCAGCCCTTCCCCTCTGGTGCCAGCTTTGCAAGGAGAGAATTAGAAAATAAAAAGGGGGTGGATTATGTAAGCAAAACGATTTTAAAAAAAGAGAGCGAGAGAGCTAAGAATTTAAGTGAGACAGCTGGCAGCTTCTCTGATTGCCACACTTCCAGCATTAGCTGCAAAAATTGTCCTTGCCAGTTGCACCCATCCAAGCAATAGTGTCAACTGTATTTAGTACCTAGAACAGACCATACTGCCACTCACTTGGCAAGACGGTTCAGTGGTTAGTGTGTGTGTGTGTGTGTGTGTGTGTGTGTGTATGTGTGTGTGTGTCTTGGGACTGAGAGGGCAAAGGTCAGGGGTGATATTTGAGGTTGCCTCTACCCCATCTGTGGAAGCCTTCCATTCTACAGGAAGACATAATTCACAGCAGGATTAGCAGTCCATCAACCCTGTTACCCATATTCTACCATGCAGGTGATGGCAGGAACACCTCCATTCTCCCAGGCTCAGACTGGCTTGTTTGGACTCCAGCATCCACAGCCTCAGCCTGCAGAGAAATAGGACTCTACAGGAGAGTTCAGCAGGAAGAGCCTCAGTTCTATTCTCAGTCCCAGAGAAAGCCACTGAACTTGGGCATCAGCACACTTCACACGGATTCACCAGGTGTAGAACCCTTGTCCCTTTTTGTACCTTCTTCCCATCTTCTTCAATCCCTGCCCACAGCTGCTGTCTACAGTGAACTCCTTGTGACATCACTCTGCTACACAGACTCCAAATGTTGAAAAGGCTCAACTTGCCCCCGAAACGGGCATCGCCCAACCCACACTCAGCGAAGACTTGACCTGCATAGATACCTTGCCCTCAGCTTCCACCGCGAGGAGCCACAGCTCTCCCATGCCACCCACCCCTCATTGTACCTAGAACACAGAGCTCCCCAGACAGGAAGAAGGACGAGCATTGTTGCCAGTCTGTCCTCAGACATGTGGACCTCTAAATAGACTAACTAGCTGCTTGGAGAGCTGGGCAAAGGGACATTCATCTTTGTGATTAACTCTCCCTCGTTCCCTCTCTGCAGGGAAACCAGCTTTGTGAGGAATTTGGCGATGATTTCTGCTGCCAAAATGGAGACTGATGAACTGTAAAATCATGGTGGCCCTAAGACATCAGGGAAACTTACAAAATCCTGGGCAAGGTCCTTTGGAGTTGGGGCCCAATCTCACCATAACAGATCCAGCCCTTATCATGGCATACTGGAAAGAAAAAAGGGTTGTTTCGGATAACCGGATTTCTACATGCCTGCCTATATTGATACTTACGTCTGTGGGATCATGAAGTTACTTAAGGGGATTTAAAAAACCCTATCAGATAAGAGGATTAAATGAGATTCTCTATTCAAAATGCTTTATACATTCAAAAGAACCATTTCTCAGAGTTCATCAGAAACACCTGGAATGCAGTTTCCATGCATCAAAAAGATTTGGGGTGCAGGTTCCTGAGTCCTAATCCTGACTCAAAGCATCAGAAGCTTTGGCTTTGGGGTCCTGGAACTGCATTTTTAAGGAACCCCCCACCCCACCCCGCCACCACCAGGTCATTCATGGGTGATAATGTTTGCTCCAGAGGGCGGTACAAATGTGATCATCATCTTGATACTAAGCAAGGCCCCACCCATCTGTATCAACCACCATTTATTGTTCACAGAACCATTTATTGTTCACAGAATAGATGAAAAGAGACAGGAATAAGGCCCAGCCCTCCTCCTCAAGGAGCTAAGGAGGTGACATGAAGACATGAGAATAATCACACAATGATTGGCTTTCAAGGTCGTTCATGTTAAGTGTCAGCTCATGTTCTGAGCTCGTTCTAGAGGCCTTCAGAAGAAAAGATATCCTGCTTGGGGGGTGTAACTGTATGTTAAACGACAGAAGAGCATTTCTTACTGTTCGGGTGATCCCGGGGCCTCTGAGATGGTCCTCAGGAGACTCACTCCCCTCTTTCTACTTCCAGCTGGGCCAGAATTTCTTCCTGTCTGCTAGAGCCAAAGCACCTGCAAAAAAGGGTAGAGCAGCTCTCAGCAGGGAAGGCAAGAAGTGCAGGGGTGGTCAGAGAGGAGGGGCTTCCGGGCTGTGTTCTCCCCTCTCCAGGCCTCTCCAGGATGTCCTCTATTCTGTAATTTCCCTTGCAGCCATTTCTCCTGTATTTGCCATTCAACTCTCTCTCAATGTGGTCACTGAGGCCCATGGAGCCACTGTAGCCAGGCCCTGGTCACTGTTGAACACGCCCTATTGTTGTCCATCTGGCTTCCTGAACCAGGAGTGCCTGCGGCCCTCTCCCCCAAGTGTGGACAGGTGCCTGTGAGTGATTTCTGCGGTGCTGGGAAGACCACAGCTGACATCTTGTATTAAGGCTGTGGGGAAACTCAGAGGAAGGGGGGACAGTGGTAGATTTGCCAGGAGTGTGGATAAGTTGCAGATCCAAATGACAGTGGGCTTCGACTGGGGTCTGGAGAGACACTGAGGGGTTAGGGTGGGTGGGGAGGTGTCCAGGGCAGCAGGGAGGAAGAGTCGGAGGGGAATGGGCCTAAAGCAGCACTTAGCAGTAAAGGCTAACCTGTGGCCTCAAGCTGGCTTTGGCTGCATGACTTATTTTTATTTTTAGATTAAAGTGAATTAATTTTGTTTCTCAATATTTGAAATGGACCACGGCATTGGCAAATGGAGGCTGGGTGGTCAGCACGGCCATAAGGTCTGGCCGGACACTCCTCAAACAGTCCCATCAATTTCTCCTTGTGGATGAGTTGCTAATTGGACTTCAGTGAGGCTGTGCTTGGAGCCAGGATGGCAGGGTCGGGGGAGGGGGCTGCTCTGAGGCCTGGGCGGCACTTTCAGAGCAGCATCGGGAGAACCGCTGGCCAGGAGGGCCTGCCCTACGCCAGAGGTAAATGCATCTTTAACATCAACAGTTCCTTCCTAGTTAACACCATCTTACTCTCCCTGTAAAAACACATTTGCACCTCAGTAAAGAATGTAATTAACCAGTGACATGACAACAGGAGGAGCTAAACAGTGGGCCAGGCCGGGAGCTGCAAGGGGTGGTGGAAATTTAGACATTTGCCTAAACAATGAGACTTTCTCACCTCCCTTCTGGTGTGTGTGTGTATGTGTATGTGTGTTTGTGTGTGTGCACTGCTGGGAGGTGAGGGTGGCAGAGAGACAGCATCTGGGATCCTGAGGGAGGTTTGAATTCCTGGTGGCAGAAGAGAGGAAGCCAAGGGTGCTGGGAGGTGGGATGAGCTGAAGGAAGCAAGGATAAGCAGGGTGGTTTGTGAATTTCCATTAACAAAAGCTCTCTGGATTAAAACAAAAACCCCTCCCTTCTTTGCACCCCAGGCTCCTTCCAAGAGGACATAAGAGATACCAGCCATTGCCTGCCCTGGGCAGCCCCTGGGAAGAGCCCAAGAGATCAGGACCAGCTCACAGGCGTCATCGTGGTCCAGTTACTCCTAGCTTGTTCCTGGCACCAGGCTTCTCCTCCATGTGACCTCGTCTGTGAACTCTGTGACCGACTCCCGGTTCTGCGGCCACCCCAGCAGCAAACCTGGGAGATATGCGTGATTCCTCCCTCCTCCAAGCCTCATCTCCTTTTCACTCCCCCATCACTATCCCACTTCTCATCCTCTTCCAATCAGGGCTGAAGATATCTTCCCTCCTTTCTATCCCCAGCTGCACAAGCTACAAAGGGCCCTTCTCCCCTCCATGCTCCTCCTTCCCACCATCGGCCCCACAGCGCACCCCTGCACTGCTGCTTCCAGGCAGAGCTACCGGGACAGGTGACTTCATTCATGCTCTTCAAGGTCTCATCCATGCCAGGCACTGCCGACACAGCCGTGAGTGCCTCACACCTGTGATGGGCTTACAGCTGTGGCACCACGTCCTCCAGAAGTACAACGACTTCCTGCTCAGAGAAGGCCTTCAACACACATCTGCTCATTGTCGAAAAAGCAGCTGGCCCCGACTGCCTTTCTAGACTCATCTTCCACCCTGCACCATGGCTCTCTACTCTCCAACCACTCACAACACTTGCCATTCTCCAAACCCGTCCACAACTTCCCACTCCCCTCAATGCCCGATTCTATATTTCTGTCTGATCAGATATTTCTACCTGAACCATTCCTCAGTGTTCATGCAAACATTCTGGCTGCTACCTCCACAGCCAGAAGTAATTTTTCCTCCTCTGTGCTTCCAAATAACATGCTGCTTGTCATTCTCTGAAAGCTCTAGTCACATCCTGTCTCATGCTATGGTTATCTTAGATATCTTTCATCTCCTTCCAAACTATAAGCTTCTCATGGGCAGAAGTCCTATCTTAAATCTGTATAATTTTTTCAGTTCACAAAGTACTTTCATGTGTAATATCTTCTTTAACTCTTAAAACAACCTTTAAAAGTAGGTATTTTAATATGATGATTTTGTTACCTTTAAAAAATAGCAAATGCTTCTTGTAAAAAATAGACAAATAAGAGGAAAAATGTTAAGTTAGTAGCAATCCTACAATACAAATATAAGCTACAGTTAATATTTGGAGTAAAATGCTTCTTTTTTAAAAGCAGTATCATATTTTCATACTGTTCACTAAATAGCCTTTTGTATTTAACAACATATCATAAACACCTTTTCATGTAGGAGGAAAATATATTATAATTTTAATGATTATGGCATTCCATTTATGGGTATACTATAATTACTCAGACAAATTCTTCACATTTGTTGTTTAGATTATTTCCAGTTTTTGCTATTATAAACACATAATGACTATTCTTGCAGTGGACTCTTGCTCCAGACTTGATCATTTTCTTAGGATAAGTTTCTGGATGTGGAATTGCCAAGTCCAAAGGTGTGTTCGTCTTAAGGAATTTTTACAAATTACTTGCAGGAAGGTCATACCCATTTACATCCTATCAGCAGCGTATGAGAGATGCCTTTCCCTTGCCAGGTAGTTGCTCTTATTTTGTAGATGTGGAAAATGAGGCTTAGGAAAGTCAAGCACAGGGCTTGCCTAAGAAAACAGCCAGCAAGTGGCGTGTCTTCTGACTCCAGACATTTTGTTCTCCCAAGCTCTCTGCTTCTCTTTGCCCTTCTATTTCTTACCAATCCAAAGAGAGTGCCTGCAGTAGTAAGTGCTAAATTAATGTTGCACTCCCGGAAGGAGAGGCAGAGGCGGCTGTGCCCTGAGTGGTGGGGTGGGCCAATCCTGGGAGCTTTGCTAACATCAGCCTTTTCCGGGTGTCTGAGGCTGACTTGGTAAATGACAGATCTGTTCTTTGGTAGCTTTTTACTACTCCTTCCTGCCCTGTACCTGGGAAGGTACAAATTGCTTCAATTTAGTCCCCATATATTAAGAATCTACCTTGTGCTGGGGCCTGGGCATCAAAGACACAACACACATACTATCTGTCTCTGTCTCTGTCTCTCTTTCTCTCTCACTCACTCTCTCTCTCTCTCTCACTCACTCTCTCTCTTTCTCTCTCTCTCCCCCGCTCTCTCCCTGTCTTCTAGGTGTTTACAGTCTAGTGGGCAAAATAGAAGGTAAAGAAATAATTGCCACCTACAATGTGTGTGTGATGCTGCTTCTGACTGTCAGCCTCCAGATCCCACAATGGCCAGAGCAGGGCTCAGGGCCAGGGTCAGGGCTGGGGAGGGGAGGAAGCCCTGCCTGCCTGGTGTGGCCTCCAGCCTCTGTCTCTTTCATTGTGTCCCTCCTGGTGCTGGGGTTCCAGGGCTCCCTTCGACATCCTGCCATAGCCATGTGTTCCTTGTCTTTCTGCTCTAGCTGAGCCTCTGCTGCCCCCACCCCAAGACGACACAGAGGAGCTACAACTCAGAGAGGAATCACTCCAATATTAGGGAAAGAAGCTGACCCTGTTCTCCACTCAGGGAATAAAACACACATTTGAGAGAGGAAGGACGATCAGAGGTGACACCAGCATGCCCTCACACAGGGCACCGCTTCAGGGCTACAATACACTTGGAATTCTCCTTCCCAGAACTGACAACTGCCGAGTTCCATTTGTTTCCCAACAGCCTACAGAAAGCTACAAGGCATAAATACAGTCTGTAATCTCCTTCCTGTCACTGCCAGCAATTCCACCAAGCACAAGGGGGACCACTCACATGACAGAGAGCCAGGACTGCAGGGAGGAGGAGACCCCTGATGGCCGCGGCCATCCTCCCAGTCTCCAACCCTCCTCTTGCCCTCCACACTCAAGCTGTGTGCCCCTTTCTAGATTGCAGGCAGAGGGACCCAACAATCTCCTTTTTGTCACCATGCAGAGCTCTTCCTCTCTGAAAGCTAATAAGCAGCACAGCAGGCAGGGCCAAGCCACAGATGCAGACAGAAAGTCAGAGAGAAATGGAAGGATGGGAAGACACGGGGCTGTGTGACCCAATGACCCGGATGGTTCAGGGAACAAGAAAGGAAGCAAGAGCTTCACACTGAAGATAAAGTTCCTCTGTCCTCACGACCTCCCCACCTCCAGCACTGTAGCTCCCACAGGCCTCTCTCTGCCTATCCAAGTTCATTCTACTGGACCCGTCTATGGACATGGGCTGGCTTCCCCACAGATCACCTTTGCCTGTTTTGCCAACTTGTGCTTAGGCTTTTTGCAGATGAGTTGGATAAGTGAAGACCGAGCCTCTGGAATCTGTGGCCAGAGACCCAAACTAAAGACTTGTCCCCTGTCCACTCTGGGAAGGTTACCCCCACTCTGGTATCTATCTCAGGAGCATAAAACACCAAGCTTTTTTGTCCCAGTTGGCCCAAGAGCCTAAAAAAGCATCTGTTCTCACTCTGGAGCCCACCAAGGGCCTCTTCTTCCGTGAGTGCGGTGATGAAAGTGTGGTTTGCCTACACGGACACGCCAGCAGTCCCTAATAGCTGATGTTTGTGAATCCTCAGGCTTCACCTCCCTGCTGGCGGGGGTGAGCTATGGAGGTGTGGCAGCCAGGACCAGCTTCATCACACATTTGCTCTGTGATGTTGGATGAAGCATGCCACCGGTTTAAATTCTGTTTCCTCCTCATCATTATTGGTTTTCACCATTGCCATCTATAAACAAGGGGCTGGACCTGACAGTGTGACATTCTCTGATCTCATTCCCTGATGATGCTTGATCGGCTGTTAAATTCAACTGTCATCCCAGGGAAAGGCTCAAGTTTCACCAAGGCAATGAGGCTGATCTCAAAGACACCAGATGCCAATCCTCTAGAAAGAGAGGGGCTCTTTGGAAGCTAAAATAATTCATCGACTTGTTTATGGTGTTTCTCCTCTGCTCAAAAGTCTACAATGGCTTGCCAGGGCCTAAAAGACAAAATTGATATTTCTTAGCTTCCATTCTTCCCCTTCATAATCAGCCTGACCCTACCAATCTTACCTAATCCCCCACTACTTTCAAATCTGAACCTTTTCTCCAGCCAGTCCAGGCTGCCACTGCCTCACAGCCAAGCACACCCCCTGTGTGAGTTCCCTGGCCCACCTGCCACGCTTCCCTTTCCTCTGTTGTCCAGGTCCCATCCAACCTGCAAAGACCAGCTCAAGTCCTGCCTTTCTGCAGCCGAATGAACTCAGCCTCTTGCCCTCCTCACCCTATTACTGACCCTTGATCTTACTCAATTTTGTGAGCCCCTGCTTTGTGCGTGAATCTTAATCTCCCCTCGATGTCATCATAAGCTTTTGATTGTGAGACTTTCATATTTCTCTTATTCCTTCCATACATACCTAGGTGAGTACTGTACCCATGGAGATCATGGAAAGTACTGTTCCTGTCACATGAAGAGGAGCTGCTACTAGAAAATATTAAATCAGATCAATGCTGAACCAGTTCAGTTGATGGTTTGCTTACTTAGTTATTATTATTCATTGCCAAAGATATTAGAGTTCTTTATATTTCAATGTGTTCTTGAATTGAGAGCTGTTGACTAAACTATGTATTATTTTGCATGCTTCCTGCAGTAACACTAAGTGAATGTGGGAGAGAGAATACGATGGGTGGAAAGGTGAAGTCAGACAACCTTGAATTCCAATCCTAGGTTTCTGTTTTCCTAGCTGTATAAGTCACGGTTTTCCTACTTCTGTAAAATGGTTACAATAATACCCAACTCACAGGATGCTTCCTGGGATTTGATAGTATTACATTAGATGTGTGATATGCTTAGCAGATAGCAAAGGGCTTGGCAATGACGTAGACTGAGTCTTTCATAAATGATGACTATTGTCATTAGTGACAATGATAGCAATAATAACTTGTTTAGATCTCATCTAGCAGAATCTTTCTCATCCTCTGAGACTCGGCTCTGTTAGATTTTCTCTCATGACCACTGAGCCCCATACAGGGTGTCTGTCATTCCTTCCTTTCTGCTCCCCTAATACCTGGGACCATATCTCCAAGACAAAGTCCAAAGTCCTTAGCCATGAACTCCAGGCTGTGTCACTGAATTATCTGTTCCTAGGTGTGTCCCTCCCACTAAGCTCTGAGCTTCCAGAGAGCAGGGACTCTGTATTCCTCACCTGCACTTCCAGCCCTGG
Source organism: Homo sapiens (assembly GCF_000001405.40). Taxonomy (NCBI): domain Eukaryota; kingdom Metazoa; phylum Chordata; class Mammalia; order Primates; family Hominidae; genus Homo; species Homo sapiens. Next base: position 125,325,285 of record NC_000011.10, on the reverse strand, counting down.
CCTAGCATCAGGATCAACGTGCATCTATTAAATGAGGGAAAGAACGGATAAGCAGGAATGCCAGAAGCAGTCAAGAGACCTGGGCAGAGTTTGGCCAGTCACAAATTTTCTTTCTGGAGAAAGGGGCCTGGGGGAGAGATTGGTAATTGGGAATGCATCATGAAAAGCAAATGTCCGCTTTAATTCAGCTAAGACCAGCCCACTTGAAAGGGACTTTAGAAAAAGCCTTTCACTTGCCCAGCAGGATTTTCTTATTTGGGGAACCTTCAGCCCCATCAGAAGACTTTGACATTGAACATCTCTGCAAGGCCCTGCCTGTCTCTACTTTCCTTACAAAACTCAGCCTAGCCTCCTTCTCTCACTCCTCCCCTCCCATCCCTTTCCCCAGTGGTCAGACCCTCAGCCTCTGAGTCCTTGCTCTCTCCCCAAGCCAGCCTGCTTGATGACTCTGGGTTCCAAGCAGGCTCCCCAGCTCCAATGGCTCTCTCCAGAAGCAGGTGAAGGTAAGTGCATCTTGGTACAATCTGTTTGTTTTTGCCTCTGCCACCAGATAGAGTGAGCTACATTTTCTTCCTTTCCATCTCCACAGCCACATCTCAGCTCAGCAATTCCCTCCTGATCCATCTCTCTGGGGGCTGCTGCATCCTCCACAGGCTGCACGAGGACCGTTCCAGCCACTTACAGCATCCTATGCACAGTTCTCTTCACACTTAGCCAGCCACATTGTGATCGTCTGGGTACTACTCTGCCACCCCACTTGATTATATAATCCTAAATGGAATCTCAAGCCTATAGAGCTCCCCAGAGCCTAAGATGTATTTTGTACATATAAGGTGTTCAGCATATTTGCTGGATAAAGGAGTAAATACATGTATATATTCAGCAGAGGACATGTGGAGTGTATAACACACCACATGCTGATCTCCTTTACGAAGAACCATATTATCCAATTTATTATTTAAGCCTTGCAGCAACTTTGGAAAGTAGTTATTATTAGTCCTATTTTTAAAAAGGGAAAACTGAGGTTAGAAAGTTAAGCGACTGGCCCAAAGAAAACTGGTTAAGGGGTGAAGGGAAAGGGTGGAGTCCACCTGCCTATCTAGTCCAGGAAAAGCTATAAAGAGGGTGAGCTGCTTCTGTTCTGCCTCTCTTGGGAAATAAACAAGAAGAATTCTTCTTCTCATCATTTGGTGAGTCGGTGACATTTCATTTGACAAAGAATCTAGGAAAAGCCTCTCTTGGGACTAGTTTTGGGACCAGGCTCTGATAATATTGCTTTATTGAAAAAGGATGCTAGGAACTGAGCTCCGGATGGCCTTTTACATGGAGTAATTTATGCAGGAAATGAGATATATATTTTTTTAAAGAAACACACATTGATCTACACAGTCACAAAGACATCAGTGACAACACACACACACACACACACAACCCCAGAAACAGTGTCACAGACACACAAAGGCACAGATTCCAGTTCAGGGTCATGCCACACACAGTAAGCAGCCAGAAGATTCCAGGTCAGATGGATACAGAGCCCTAGGCTCACACCCACTTGCAAAACAGTCGGAAGCCTCTCTCTGACTTTTCCTTCCATGCCTTCCAGGAGAAATTGCGATTTTCCCCACACATGTAAATTTTCGTTATTAAGGAACGCAGAGGAAGCATGACATTGAAGAAATTAATCTCTCTGTGCCTCCCTGCCCTTCTCAGGGCTCTATTTCCTCCTGTGATGACCACACCGCTTATGGAGATGGTGCCAATCCGATGACCTGCACCCTGGGGCATAGCTCCCACTCAGGGAAGATTTACACCTTGTGCCTTGCAGAGGTTTCAGTCATAACCAGCTCCTGGAGGACAGCAAAGGAAGGCAACAAGGAAGGGAAATGAAATGTCTGTAAAATTCTCATTCAGACACTGCTGAGAAATGAATTTCAGAAGTGGAAGGCATGGTAAAAAGCATTTTATTTAAAATGCCTTTCTCCCTAGGCTGTTTGTGAAGAGTTGGTATTTGAAAGGACATCTGAAAGTTAGGACTTCCCTTCCAGCCATGGTGATTTTGACCTGGGCTCAAAGCAGAGCCCAGGATCCCTGTACTTACAAAATTGGCACCGAGAAACTCACGGATGCTGGAAACGCACTGGGAGCCAAGATACCTGGCCTCCATCCATAACTCTCCTGCATCAGCACGTCACTGCTCTGGGCCTCAGTTTCTCCATCTGCAAAGTGAGGTTAGGACCAGATGGTCCCTTCCACCATGGTCTGCATCAGGGGACTCCTTGCTCTGCCTTGGTCCAGTGTTAATAAGACTTTATGTACTGGGGTTATCTGCAAGATGATGTATACAACCCAAAGCATGTCCAATCCCATCCGTTAACTTTTTGTTTATGCTTCACTGTAACTTTGTGAGGTTGGTAGTTCTGGTATCAATATACCCATTTTACAGACAGAATAAGCAAAACTGAGACTTAACTGTCTCGGCTAAGGTCACAAAAATAATCAATATTGAAATCTCAAGTTGATCTATTGGGATATTCAATGGAAAGGTGACCTGCACACTCTGGGGGATCTGGGGGACACAGGGGTGATGGCAGATGACTAACTGCTCCCCCTTCCAGCTCTGCAGCCAAGTATCTGCCACAGTGATTCAGCAGTGAGGGTGTCATCATCCATGGGGAGTTCTGGGCGTGATGCTGCCCAGGAGCCACTGGGCTCATCAGGATTAAACCCCCACGAGAGCAGCGCCATCCTGGGTGGGGCGGGGAAGGTGGTCATTAGTGGGCTTCACTTCATGGAAAACGCAGAGGACAGCAGCTTGTGACTGTGTCTGCATAAGAGAGGACAAGGTCCCTCAGCACTGTCATAATGATGAAGAGGACAGGCAGTGGAGGGGGCTGTAGAACGAAAGGGCAGAGTCTGGAGGGATGGCTACCGGCACTTGGATATGCTTCCCAAAGCTCGGTCTTTCTCTGCACTGCTGTTCCCCATTTTTCTCCAGTACCCTCTAAACTCTGACAATAAACCCTAGGACCTCAGATCACCCATTCCTATGCTCAAAAACATATATATACGTTTTTTTTTGAATAAGACACATCTTTAGTGCAGGTATTCGAGACCTTTCATGACATGGCTCCTACCTAACTTCTAGCCTATGACTCTCCTTCAAGGACGCCAGGTCAGGGGCTGGCAAACCACACCCTATGGTCTGAATGTGCCTCTCCAAAACTTGCATGGAAACCTGATCCCCACTGTGGTGCTATTAAAAGATGGAGCCTTTTGGGAAGTGATTAATTTATGAGGGCTCTGCCCTCATCAATGGGATTGGTGGCCTTATAAAAAAGACTCGAGTGAGCTCCTTTTGCCCACCCCCTGTGTGAGGACACATAGAAGTTCCCATCTATGAGAAAGGAGCCCTCACTAAACACTGAATCTGCTGATGCCTTGATCTTAGAGTTCAAATCTCCAGAACTGTGAGAAATAAATTCCAGTGTTTTCTACATTACCCAGTCTAAGGTATCTTGTGACAGCAGCCCAAAAGGACTAAGACATAAACTCACAAGCCAAATCCTGAGGCTGCCTGTTTTTGTAATTAAAGTTTTATTAGAACACAGCCACGCCCATTTGTTTACTATTGTCTATGGCTGTTTCCCACTGTGATGACAGCGTTGAACATGGTCAGCCCTCTGTATCTGTGGGTTCCACATCTGCTGATTCAACCAACTGCAGATAGAAAATATTTGGGAAAAAAATTTAATCTGTACTGAACATGTGCCGACATTTTTCTTGTCATTATTCCCTAAACAATACAGTAGGACAACTATTTACATAGCATTTACATTGTATTAGGTATTATAAGTAATCTAGAGATTTAAAGTATACAGGAGTATGTGCGTAGGTTATATGCAAATACTACACCATTTTATATAAGGGACTTGAGCATCTGTGAATTTTCGTATCTGTGGTTGGTCTTGAAATCAGTCCCCCACAGATACCGAGGGATGATTGCAGTTGCAACACAAGACCTGAACTATTTACTGTTCGAAATTTTACAGAAAAAGTTTGCTGATCTCTGCTCTGGGTTATAGTTAAACTGTACTCACCCTCTCCTATACAGATTCCACTTTTAGACACCTCCAGGCCTTTGCTTGTTCCAAGACTGGGATGCCCTCTTTCCGTACTCTAATAGTTGAAATACAGCTCTTCCTCAAGGACTCAGCTCAAATGTTATTTATTCTGTGATGCCTCCTGAATTGCTACAAAGAATTGCTCATAGCTCTTTACAGCCATGGCACACTGTTAGGATGACCCCACAATATATCATCCAAACTGGAGTAATTTTGAGAGTGAAAGAGAGCACAATGACTAATTACACAGCAACTACAGGTTGCAACGGAGACCATGCCAGGCAAAGCAGGTTGTGTGGTTGCCAGCATGGAGTGCTTCTGTCATCCTGCCTCCTAAGGGTTAACTGTTTACATATCCACCTCCCTCCAGGAGGCAGCACGCTTAAGGGCAAGGGCAGTGTGGGGATTTTTTTGACCCTCAGAGCATCTTTACACAGCAAATGTGATCAATTCATATTTGTTGAGGTGAAAGAAAGAAGGGCTCTGGTCCGAAGCTAGACACAAGCAGTTTCTTTAAGAGTAGCAAGCTGGAATAACAGAGGATAGAGGAGCCATTAGCTAAATGGGGAGGAGGTGCTTGCAGCCAATGGAGGTTGCAGGCTTGTGTGTGTCTCATGGAGCCTGTATGCCTAGCTTGACAGGGCATTTCAGTACCTGGAACACCAGGAGTCACCTCACCTTTCTGCATCTCTGGCTCCTCTGCTGCCCACCCTCCTGTTCCTCCAAGCCCAGCCCATTCATCCTCTCAGCTCCTACCTTCCCTCCTGACATCTGGTCTCACCGATCCTAGGGTGTATCTCTTGTTCTACAGGGTACCATGTACATCTCAGTCCTGGGTCTATAATGATCAAAGTGGTCGTAACCTCCTGAATCTCTGCTGTGTTAGAAAAGGAGGGGTGCTAATTCAAGGGCTATAGCTTATTTCTATGGTTCCTAGATTCCCACTTTAGACTGAATACTGGGTAACCAGAATTTAAATATGCCTCTCCTTTCATAAAGCACCGGAACATTCTATAGACTTCTGCTCACTAAAATGAGAAACAGGAAACAGCAAGGGATATGAGGACCCATTTAACATTCTTGACACTCTCCATCTGTTTTCCTTTAAACAGCTAGAAAGATCTTTTTGAAGGTGCAAATACTCTATTACATGGTCATACCTCCCTTGTTTCAAGCACAATATGGCTTTCCCATTCTTGAGATCAACGTCAAAATCTTTACCATGGTCTAGAAGGTCAGTCTGGCCCTTCCCACCTTTCCAGCCTCATCTAGCTTGCTGTTTGGCCTCCATCCACCCAGGCCTTTGTGCCCTCAAACAAGCCATGCTTCTTCCCACCACAGGGCCTTTGCACAAGCTACCCATGTTCCTGGAAGGTGCTCTTTCTCCTGCTTTGCTTTCACATCTCAACTCAAGAGTCACTTCCTCAGGGGAGCTACAGTGACCTCTCAGGTAAGCCTCCTTTGTTATATGCATTTCTTAATTCAGTTTGAGAATTTAATTAATGTTGTAATTATATATTATATGTGATTATTTGAGTAATGCCTGTTTTCTCCATTAGGCTATAAAACTCCATGTGGACAAGAGTCCAGGCTTGTTTTGCTCCTCTTGAAACCCCAGCACCTGGTAGCACTTAAAAATATTACAGACACATCTCATTTTATTGCGCTTCACTTTGGTGTGCTTTGCAGATATTGCATTTTTTACAAATTGAAGGTTCATGGCAACACCGCATTGAGCAAGTTTATCAGTACAATTTTTCCAACAGCAGGTACTCACTTCATGTCTGTGTGTCACGTTTTGGTAATTCTCACAATATTTCAGACTTTTTCATTATTATATATGTTATGGTGATCTGTGATGAGTGATCTTTGATGTTATTATTGTAATTATTTTGGGGTGCCATAAAATGTACCCCTATAAGATGGTGAACTTAATCAATAAATGTCATGTGTGTGAGGCACAACAATATTAAAATTAGGTCAATTAATAACCCTACAGTGACCTCTAAGTGTTCTAGTGAAAGGAGTCCCATGTTTCTCACTTTAAATCAAAAGTTAGAAATGATTAAGCTTAGTGAGGGAGGCATGTCAAAAACTGAGTGTATTAGTCTGTTTTCACATTGCTATAAAGAAATACCTGAGACTGGGTAATTTATGAACAAAAGAAGTTTAACCAACTCACAATTCAGCATGACTGGGGAGGCCTCAGGAAACTTAAAATCATGGTGGAAGGTGAAGGGGAAGCAAGGCACGTCTTACATAACAGCAGGATAAAAGGGTGAGAGGAACCGCCAGACACTTATAAACCATCAGATCTCATGAAAACTCACTCACTTTCACAAGAACAGCATGGGGGAAACTCACTCATGATCTAATCACCTCCACCAGGTCCCTCCCTCAACAGGCAGGGATTACAATTTGAAATGAGATTTGGGTAGGGACAAAGAGCCGAACCATATCATTGAGATAGGGCAAAAGTTAGGCCTTTGTGTCAAACAGCCAAGTTGTGAATTCAAAGGAAAAGTTCTTGAGAGAAGTTTAAAGTGCTACTCCAGTGAACACGTGATAGAGAAGTGAGTGAGACAGTCTTATTGCTGACGTGGTAAACGTTTGAATGGTCTGGATAGAAGATCAAACCAAACACAACATTCTCTAAAGCCAAAGCCTAATCCAGAGCAAGGCCATAACTCTCTTCAATTCTATGAAGGCGGAGAGAGGTGAGAAAGCTGCAGAAGAAAAGTTGGGGCAGGGCACAGTGGCTCACACCTGTAATCCCAGCACTTTTGGAGGCCAAGGTGGGTGGATCACCTGAGGTCAGGAGTTTGAGACCAACCTGGGCAACATGGTAAAACCTCGTCTCTACTAAAAATACAAAAAAAAAAAAAAAAAAATTAGCCAGGCATGATGGCGGGTGCCTGTAATCCCAGCTACTGAGGAGGCTGAGGCAGGATAATCACTTGAACCCAGGGGGCAGAAGTTGCAGTGAGTCGAGATTGCACCATTGTATTCCAGCCTGGGTGACAGAGCAAGACTCTGTCTCCAAAAAAATTAAAAAATAAAAGTTGGAAGATAGCAGAGGTTGGTTTATGAGGTTTAAAGAAAGAAACTATCTCTATAACATAAAAGTGCAAGGTGAAGCAGCAAGTGCTGATGTATTATAGAAGCTGCATCAAGTTATCCAGAAGACCTAGCTAAGATCACTGATGAAGGCTACAGTAAACAACAAATTTTTTCAGTGTAGACAAAATAGCCTTATGTTGAAAGAATATGCCATCCAGGACTTTCATAGCTAGAAAGGAGAAGTCAATGTCTGGCTTCAAATCCACAAAAAAACAGGTTGACTTTTTTATTACTGGCCAATGCAGCTGGTGACTTTAGGTTGAAGCCAGGGCTCATTTACCATTCCAAAAGTCCTAGGACCCTTAAGAATGATGCTAAATCTGCTTTGCCTGCACTCTATAAATGGAACAACAAAGCCTGGGTGACAGCTCATCTGTTTACCACATGGTTTACTGAATATTTTAAGCCCAACGTTGAGACCTACTGCTCAGAAACAAAGATTCCTTTCAAAATGTTACCAGTCATTGGCAATGCACGTGATTACCCAAGAGCTCTGATGGAGATGTACAAGGAGATTAATGTAGTTTTAGTGCCTGCTAACACAACATCCATTCTGCAGCCCACAGATCAAGGAATACTTTTGACTTTCATGTCTTATTATTTAAGAGTACATTTTGTTAAGGCTCTTGCTGCCATAGATAGCAATTCCTCTGGTGGATCTGAGAAAAGAAAATTAAAAACTTTCTGGAAAGGATTCACCATTCTAGTGCCATTAAGAGCATTCATGATTCATGGGAGGAGGTCAAAATATCAACATTAACAGGGATTTAGAAGAAGTTGATTTCAAGCCTCATAGATGACTTTGAGGGGTTCAAGATTTCAGTGGGAGGAATAGCTGCAGGTGTGGTGGAAATAGCAAGAGAACTAGAATGAGAAGTGGAGCCTGAAGATGTGACTGAACTGCTGCAATCTCATGGTCAAACTTGAATGAATAAGAAATTGCTTCTTATGGATGAACAAAGAATGCAGTTTTCTGAGATGGAATCTCCTCCTGGTGAAGATACTGTGCACATTGTTGACAACAAGGGATTTAGAATATCACATACACTAGGTTGATTAAGCAGCAGCAAAGTTAGAGAGAATTGACTCCAAGTTTGAAAAAAGTTCTACTGTGGGTAAAATGCTATCAAACAACATCACATGCTACAGAGAAATCTTTTGTGAGACGGTGAGTCTGTCAATACAGCAAACTTCATTGTTGTCTTATTTTAAGAAATTGCCACAGCCACCCCATCCTTCAGCAACTAAACTCCTAATCAGCCAGCAGCCATCAACACTGAGGCAAAACCCTCCAGCAGCAAAAAATTATGACTTGCTGAAGGCTCAGATTATCATAAGCATTTTTTAAGCAATAAAGTATTTTTAAATTAGGTATGTATGTTGTTTTTTAAGGCATAATGCTATTCCACACTTAATAGACTACAGTATAGTGTAAACATAACTTTTATATGCCCTGGGAAACCAAAAGATTCATGTGACTTGCTTTATTGCCATATTGTCTTTATTGTGGTGGTCTGGAATCCAACCTGCGATGTCTCCCAGTTTATGCCTGTAATGGAATGATCATCCTCAGGAACCGAGTCAAAGATTGGGAAGGCTACCTCTGATCATTTCTCGATGCAGTAAGTGAAATTCAAGATGAAGCTAGGGATTAAATTCCTCTTTCTTCTTATCCTGCACTTTCAGCTTCTTCTCCATGCAAAGCTGTCTTTAGGGGCCCAGTGCATAGAAGGCCACATAAGAGAGTTCACACAGGCCCCGGCACTGGATGGAGGTTCTCAGGTCAAGACAGGCAACAGATGCGGATAAGTCCATATTGGGGCAGGTGGATGGACGACCACTAAAGAGGGGTGAGTCAGTAGCAACTGGCTGGGAATGAGGGGTTCACAGTGGGTCTCATTCCCTCCATGCGTCCTTCGCACACCATCGTGGGCTCCATGAGAACGCAAAGGAGCCTTTTGCACTCCCTGGGTCCGTCCTCCATCCTTCCCTTGCTGTTGTCATGGTGTCCTCTTACGTATGGACATCTTTGCCTCCACTCCAGCGCAGCCTCCTTGAGGACAGAGACTGTGCCTTACATGTCCTTGAATCCTCACAGCTCCTGCTACAAGGTCAGGCACAAGATAAATATTTGTGGACTCCTGCTCTTACACAGGGGGTGTAAATGTGAGGGTACCTGCTTGTAGTGTAGAGCCAGAGGACAGCTTTAAGCCTCGGGTAGGGGGTGGCACTGGGGAGGCCATGGGGGCACTGTGGTCTCGGGTGTGCAGAAAGAGTCAGCACTTGAGCCAAACACTAAGGCTTTTCTAGCCCAGCCACCACTGGACTGAGAAGCTGCCCACTCCCAGGCTGGCTCATCTGAAGCATGGAGCGGGTCACTACGCCCTCAGATCTGGTGAGAGACACACCATTAGCTGCCATGCACTCAGCCCTCCCAGCCCTGCAAGGCAGTCTGCCAGCTGCACCCTGGGGTGGGGTTGAGCAAAGGCCTCCCACCGGCCAGGCCAGGGAGAAAACAAAACAGCTGCCTCTGTGCTGGCACCAAGCCCACTCCCTGTGAGAAGGCCTCTCTGCACTGGGCCAATAAATAATAGAAAGTCCAAGTGGTCCAAGGTAGCAGACCCCATGGGCTGGGCCTCGGGCAGGAGGCAGAGCCGCCCACCAGTTTGGGAGCACAAGGATTAATAACGCATCAATTTTAATGCAGAGAGAGGTGTTTTTTTTTTTTTTTTTTTTTTTTTCCTGCTTCACAAACAGTAAAGTGAATGTTTGAGCATCCTGGCAGGGGGTTAATGAGGACTCTGATTAGTTATTCGGATTTCTCCACACTGCCTCCATCTATCCTACTAGGGAGGAGAAAAGGAAGGAGGTGGGGAGAGGGGGATGCTGTGGAGAGCAGGGGTGGGCCCATGTGAACCTCCTGCCTCCCTCTGAGCAGGCTTCAGCCAGAGGGTAACTGCAGCCCACCCTGTGGTAGAACCAAGGGCCGGAGAGGGCCTTAGAGAGGACTCTGTCCGGCTCCTGGTTGGGAAGACCAGAGGGGTGTGACTTGCTGGCCACAAAGGGGAGCAGTGAGAGCCTCTGGCCAGAACCCAGCCTGCCTGGGGCTTCTGCTGCATGGAAATTCCTTTCCCCAACTCTCTTTCCTGACCCAAAGTCAGGAAAGGAATAGTCTCCTTTTCCCTTAAGGAGGCTGCTGCTCAGGGGTAATCCAGTGTCCAGCCAGGGCTGCCCCGGGGCTGGGTCCAAGGAGCATCCTCATCGGAACATCTCTGCCAGGTTTTTTGTCCTCTCGGGGGCAGGGCAGGGCAGGGCAGGGCTGGGGAAGCAGTAGGCAAGGTGAGAGTTTCTGGGATGGCCCCTACTCTCTGCAGCACAGCCAGAGCTGGGGGCTGCACTGCCTCCTCTGCTCCCAGCTGTGGGCATCTAGCCCGGCTCTCGGGGAGCTGAAGTACGAAGCCTTGTCCCCTCCCCACTGACTGCAGGTCAGTGATGGATCCTGCCCATTTGGCCCCTGACATGCAGAGCACACCAGAGGAGCAAAAGCATGCGGGGAAGCAGCATGCTCCCAGGAGGAGAAACTGCCGGGCCATCTGGACGCGAGCTCTGAGTCTTCCCCACCATTAAGATGCAGATGGACTTCTGAGCAAGGTCTCCCCTCCCTGACCCACCCTGGCTCCCAACCCATCTGCTGCCGCCCAGGACCCAGAGCAGATCCAAACTGGCCATGGTGACGTTGCGAGCAAGTGATGTCGCAGTGAGGGCACCGCACTGCAGGTGCTCTGAGATCACTGAAATCCCCCAGGTGCCTCTCTTTGGTGATTCACGACGAGCTGACCATGACACCAACCCCAAATTCTCCAACTGGAAGGTGAAGCCCCTTCATCAACTGTCCCCAGAGTCAGGGCTGGTCTCCTCTGCATACCCACAGGGCTCCGCAGCCCTGCATCCTCAAGGAAGTCTTGGATGCTCCTACGGCAGCCCAGGACCTCAGCTATTTCCTCTAATTCATTCAGTATAATAATGGCCAGTGCTTACTGGGGGTCACTTGTGTGCCTGGCATTGTGCCCAGTGCTTTACACACAGAACTCACAGGGCTGCACTCCATCCTGTGCGGTAAGTACTAACATCCAATTGCATCTTAGCCCGGCACTTTCCAATAGAACTCTCTGTGGTGATGGAAATGCTCTCTGTCTGTATTTTCCAATACCATGGACACCATGTGGCTACTGAGCACTTGGCTCAAACCTGGTGTGACTCAGTCACTGAATGTTTAATTTCATTTCATTTTTATTTTTATTTGAATAGATACACGTGGCTTGTGGCTACCAGCTGCCACGTTAGACAGTATATATTTGAGGAGGCCCTGCGATGTGCTGAATATCACAGCTAGGAAAGGGCATGGACAGGACTCAAGCCAGGGTTGTCTGCCTCCTGGGTACATGTGCTTTTCCAGGATGCTGTCCTTTGAGCTTTATCTTCAAGTGCAAAATGAAACCAAGGTAAAGAAGTGGAGTGGCATTTGCAAGTCCATGCAGTGCTCACAGCCAGCAGGAGCTCTGTGAGGATTCCAGGAACTCCTTGAGGGGAATAAAGATGAGTCAGACCTGGTTTCTGCCCTCAAGGTGCTCCCAATTCAGTTGAAAGAGAAAATTCTACTTGGGACAGGAGAGTTCAGATGCAGAACTGAATGAGGTAGGATGTCACCTGGATAACCCACAGCAACCTCCCCAAACTCACCAGGCCCCATTAGGGACTCCAGCAGCTCCCTCCTGCCCACCCTCTGTCTGCTCCTTTCTTCCATGTTCCTCAGTTTGGATGAGGGGCACTGCCATTGCAGACATTCAAGAAACAAACCTGGGGGTGCCCTCGACTTCTCTTTCCCCTTTCTCCCTTCTTTCACCTTCTACTTTCAAAGACACACAGATAGTTCTTCTTAAGTGCCCCGTAAACACTCTCTGCTTCCCATCCCTGCTGTCTAAGCTCCCTGTTGCCCTCGGTGGAAGGCGATAGCATGACACGGGCCTCCAGTGGGCTTGGCCTCCTCTGCAGCCTCCCCCCTGCCTTTCACACGGCATGCGAGCGAAGGCCTTCCTTATGCCTCTGTTCATCTTTAAATGCTGTTTTCTCTGTTCAAAATGCCCTTTCCTACCTTATCTACTTGTGCCACTGCATATTCCTAAGGCTCAACTCAGGGTATCTTCCCTCGGAAACCTTGTCTGATCATCCTGGCCCCTCTGGCGGACAGTAATTTCTGCCTCTGTGCTCCCATCACCTGAGCACACCTGTATGGTGCTGCTGAGCCCGCTGAATTGGCATTATGGGCACGTGCGTCTCCTCCATTCCATGGAGCTCCTCGAGGTGGGTGGTTTTGTCTCTGTGCTCAGAGTGCCTGCCGTGCGTGACACTCGGGGGGTGGCAGGCAGGGTGCGGTGGGTCTGCCCTTGCAGTCATCCACAGAGCCACAGCACCCGCTGCCCCGGCCCTCCTGCCTCAACACACCACACACCACCTTATGGAATATTCCTGATTCACCTCACAGCCTGTCTGCTCTCCTGGGGCACAGCAGGGTGACTTCCCACAGAACCTGGTGCTCAGCGTGAACTCAGACGGCTTTGAAGTGAGTCTCAAAATCAGCCAGCTTCAGCCCCAACTGAAATGGGCTTGGATCTGTGGCCTCCACACTCTCCTTTTGCCTCTTGCCTTCCTGGTCCTCCCCTCCACCAGGCATTTTTTTGATAGTGAGCTTCAGGAAACTTCAGTTTCATCCAAAAGAATTTTTTACTGTGTGGTGCACAGATCCGGGGACCCGATCATACTGAACATCCTTCTTACCCGCACACAGCACTCCACCCCTTACAAAGCAGTGCCCTCATCTAGCTCTCATTTAATCATCACAACTCCCCCTTGTAGGAGGAAAGTTACGCACTGTTTTTCCCATTTTACACATGAAGAAACAGAGGCTCAGAGAACCTAAAGGACTTGCCCAATCTAAAGTGCTGGATCTGAGGTCCAAATTCAGACTTTTTTTTCTTCTTCTTTGAGACAGTCTCATTCTGTCACCCAAGCTGGAGTACAGTGGTGTGATCTCGCTCACTGTAACCTCCACCTCCCGGGTTCAAGAGCAAATTCAGATGTTTTGATTCTAAGCTCAGTATTCAATTCACTGGGAGGACAGTGATGTCAAAAATTTTTTAAAAAATGTTTTTTTAAGGATCACAGAGGAAGAATAGGCTTGGAGGAGGTGCTGATGAGTTTATTTGAGGGCATTGTGCTCAAGGCTTTGATAGGACGCTGGGTAGAACAGAAAACTTGACATGAGTGTTCGAGGCTACGTTCTACCCCTAGTCCACTGTACAATCACCACACAAAGCTGTCTGCTGTTCCCCAAACACCATCTTGCATCTTTACCTTTGTGCCCTTCATAAGGAATTTATAGCCTTCTCTGCATCTCTGATGCACAACTGCTTAAAATGTCACCTCCCTTCATGTCTCTTTCTTGCATCTTCCCAGGCAGACATGGGCTCTCCTTCTGGGGGGCTTTCACAGCACTTTGCATACACCAGAATTCTAACCCTTGTCCCTTCTACCTAGGGCTATAGCAACTTGTGTGTCTGCCTCCTCCATGGTGTCTAAGGCGGGGACAATTCTTGTTCCCTTTTGTATCGCTCGCAGTATCTAGTACTGTGCCTTGGGCGTAAGAGGTGATCAAAAAAATATTGGTGGGGTTGGATTTCCTTGCTAATGCTATTTCTAAGGAGTGTTGGCAAAAGAGGGCAAGGTCTAACCCATGTCTTTCTAATGGGGAATGTGAAATATAATGGACATCACATCTTAGCCCAAATTTTCAAATCTGAGTTCTGTGATGATTTAAAAGTACATGTACAAAAGATGGAACAAGGCATGGAAGAGTAAAAAGCAACACAAAAGAGTAGGCTGGGCCTGTTAGAAGTGTGCTAGGAAGGCCAAAGACCAGAGTGAACTGGAGTCTAAAAACACCTTCCCCCACCAGACTCCCCCATACCACACACATTCTCTCCCTGTTCTCTTAAAAAGCAATACTTGAAACAAAATGGAAAGAAAAAAAAATTAGGGATTGAGGCAGCTATATCCCGGGGCAGACATATGAGGTTACCAGACGACAGAAGGAAAGCAAACGATTGAACTCCCACTTGGCTTTGTTTTTTTCAAGGACAACAATCATCAAACCAGAAAGATGATTTTAAAAGGGTTCAAGTTTGAGATAGGTGAGGAGATGGTAAACTAGCATCTCATAGCTTTAAATAAACTCAAGTCTGTGGACAATGGCAAATTATATCTTGGAGTATGGAAAGAACAGGATTGCAAAACCACTGTTAGCTGTTTGTGAACTGATGAAAACAAATAGCTTTTAGAGATGGAAATGAGGCAAAAGTTTTCCCTCTTTTCAAAAAGTGGCAAGCATCAGGGTTCTGGAAGCTATGTAACAGTAAGTTTGGCATTACTTGTTAATGAAAATTCTAAATAGGATTATTTATTTATATATTATTATTTTTATTATTTTTTTTTTTGAGACAGAGTCTCACTCTATCTCACAGGCTGGAGTGCAGTGGTAGGATCTCGGCTCACTGCAACCTCCGCCTCCTGGGTTCAAGCAATTCTCCTGCCTCAGACTCCTGAGTAGCTGGGATTACAGGCATGCGCCACCATGCCTGGTTAATTTTTGTATTTTTAGTAGAGATGTGGTTTCACCATGTTGCTCAGGCTGGTCTCGAACTCCTGACCTTGTGATCCACCCGCCTCAGCCTCCCAAAGTGCTGGGATTACAGGTGTGAGCCACCGCGCCCGGCCTAATAGTATTATTTATGAAAGAAAGAAGAGATGACCAAGAACCAGAATGGCTTCACTGAAAAACAGTCATGTCAAACTAACTTTATTGCCCTTTAAAAAAACACACACATAGAATTCCTAGGCTGGCATAAGGAAAATTCTGAAAAATATCTTGATTTCAGTAAGCAGTATGACAAAGTCTTCCATGATATCCTTCTGGGTAGGATGAAGAAGAGTAGCTTGAATGGCGGAACCGGAAGAGTTTTTAGCTAGGTGAGTGATTGTCTCCAATCAATGTTGGTCAGTAGAATTCAGTCTGGAAGGAGCTGTTTCATGCTGAAGTAACCAGCTTTATACTGTTGAGAATTTTTGCCAAAGATTTGCATGACACTATGGAAGGTGTGCTGATCATTCCACACACTGAAATAAATAGTTAATGTGTTTACAGAGAGAATTAAGATTGAGAAAGAGCTCATGAGGCAGAAATTACAGGCTGAAAGCAAGAAGATGATGTTGAGTAGAGAGAAATATAAATTGGTACTGTTAGAGGCCGGGCACAGTCGCTCACGCCTGTAATTTCAGCACTTTGGAAGGCCAAGGCGGGCAGATCACCTGAGGTCAGGAGTTCGATACCAGCCTGGCCAACATGGTGAAACCCTGTCTCTACTAAAAAATGCAAAAATTACCCGGGCGTGGTGGCCGGTGCCTTAATCCCAGCTACTTAGGAGGCAGAGGTGGGAGAATCGTTTGAACCTGGGAGGTGGAGTTTGCAGTGAGCTGAGATCGAACCATTGCACTTAAGCCTGGGGGACAAGAGTGAGACTTCTCTAAAAAAAAAAAAAAAAAAATTGGTACTGTTAGAGTAAAATGCAAACTGTATGGGTGAGGGAGATGGAATTTGAAAGCATGTCATGTGGGAAAAAAATAAAGGGATGTTGGAATGAAAATTCAGTTGGTACCAGTGTTGTGATGTGCAAGGATGGAAGGAAGAAAGAGAGGAAGGAAGGAAGAAAGAGAGAGAGAAAGGAAGGAAGAGAGAGGAAGGAAGGAAGAAAGAGAGAGAGGAAGGAAGGAAGGAAAGAAAGAAAGAAAGAAAGAAAGAAAGGAAGAGGTAATTGTGATCTCAGGCTGAATGACTACAAGATGACTGCAGACTGGTGTCCAGATGAAGGAGTCAATGGTTCAGACCACACAGGAGGAGCGTGTTTACTCCATAAGAGGAACATTGGTAATATGGAGTGCATCTGTGGAGGAAGGCTAGGATGCTTAAGAAAGGTACATACTTCCAGAACAGAAGATCTTGGAGGAACATGACTGTTACCTTCAATATTTAAAGAACTACCATGCAGAAGATGGTTGGTCTTACACTGTGCAGGCGAGAGTGCTGAACTAGGACAGAGGGTGGAAGGGACAGAGAGACCAATTTCCCCTTTATGTGAGGGAGTCCTACTAGTGAGAACCAACCCAGAATGGGAGAGCTGCCGTCACCAGGAGTTGTTAGGAGACAAGAAAAGCCTCTCTAATCAGAGATGCCATCACAGCACGGCAGTTAAACCAGGTGACCTCCACGGCCCCTTCCAGCTCTTGGTTATTATGAAACTCCTGAGTGGGGAAGATATTTCTGATTGGGGCAAAGCCTCCCCCGAGTCCTGTGAACACATTGTGGAGGTCGCCATCTCCTTTGCTGGTGTAATAAATCTGGCCCTGCATTCCGGGGAGCTGCTCTTGGGAGAGATCATGGTGGCCATGACATGTGGCATTTGGAAAAGAGCCAGCATCTTCTCTTGTGCTTCTCCTGACATGTCTGGAGGAATGCAGCTCCCGCTGAGTCTTCCCCAGAGCATGAGCAGGACTGAGCAGAGGTGGGAAAGGAAAGCCCTAGGGTTGGGGGTGCTGCCATTCTTGGGGGTGGTTCCTCCTGAGCTCCGAGGCAGCTGGCTGGGCAATGCTGAGGCTGGCCAGGCCCAGCCCACACATAAGCCAAGGAGCTACCCATCGTGGCCAAGGGCATGATCCATAAGCTGAAACTTGGCAGGAAGGGGCAGCAAGAAGCAGTAATAGGGCACATTCTAAGGAAGGCCATCCCAGTGGCCAGGGGTCTCCCGGGACCATACGCTCAACACCAGCTGATACTGCACAAATTAAATATCTGTGGGAAATTCTCGTCTCCAATCATCTCTGTGCCTTTGCCCACACTGCCTTCTCTGTCTCAAATGTTTTCCCTCCTCTCCCCTCGATGTTTGCCTTTTTGGGTCTTGCTCATCCATCAAGGCCCCTAGCCTTGGCAGTACATTTTGTGTTTCCAAATTGAAGACATTTCCCATGGCAGCACTCATTGTAATCTACCTTGCCTATGGTGAGTTGCATTTGTGCTGATGTGTTTCCTCCACTAGGGAGCAAACTCCTTGAGGGTAGAAAGGGTTTCTTTGCATACATATGATTAGCTTTGCATATTAGCAGCAAGATGGCAGCTGGTAGAGCATTAAACTGGTGGCCCAGAATTCTAGTCCTGGCCTGTTCACCAACGTCTCTAGGCCTCTTTTTCCTAAAGAGTAAAGTGAATACAGTGGCAGATCCCTAAGGGACATATCGAACACTTATGATTTCACTTCATAAATGTTTTGGGGTATGTCCCCCTTTATTGTTTTTTGTTGTTGTTGTTATAGTTTGTTTTTTTGAGACAGAGTTTCACTCTTTTTGCACAGGCTGGGGTGCAATGGTGCAATCTCGGCTCACTGCAACCTCTACCTCCCAGGTTCAAGCGATTCTCCTGCCTCAGCCTCCTGAGTAGCTGGGGATTACAGGTGTGCACCACCACACCTGGCTAATTTTGTATTTTCAGTAGACACAGGGTTTCACCATGTTGGCCAGGCTGGTGATCCACCTGCCTCTGCCTCCCAAGGTGCTGGGATTATGGGTGTGAGCCACCGCACCCAGGCTCCCTTTATTGTTAATGTCAAGTCCTGTCCATCTTCTGGTCTGCTTGCATTTCTGTAACTTTTTCTTCTGTTGTCACTCAGACAACTGTCCATCCGTCCATCTGTCCATTCATCCATCCTTATTTCCAACAAATGAGTATCTGCTTTGTGCTAGGTCACCAAGAAGACTACGATGTACAAACTGCTCTTAAGGAGGGCACAGGTATGTCAAGGGACACAGAAACGAAAAACAAATAGCAAAAAGACAAGCTGAGAAGTGCTGTAGCAGAGGTGAGTATAAAGTGTGCTGGGCCCACAGAGAAGGAGAAACGGGGAGGAAGAGGCTGGTTAAGATGCCAAAGCTCCTCTTCACCCTCTCAACCCTACTGGGAACCCTGTGGCCTTAAATCCATTCTCTCAGCAAATTCTCCAAATGCAACCCTGGGAAGAAAGATGCAATTTGTGTGAAACGAAAATGGGGGAGGGGGTAGTGGGGCCTGGTCTCTCAGTCCCCAGAGAGCCCATGGTCCGACCTAGAATGAGTCCCAGACCCCTCCACGGCTGTGCCGGGGTCTCTAGGGTCCAGAGTCTGCATTTTCAAGCTGTTCACCTCTCCTCCACCCCCACTGCCTCAGCACACTCGGCAAGTCATTTATTCCTCCATAACATTTGCTCGAAGGAACGTTACAGCTGAATTATAGCTGGGACCATTATCTCACAATAACTGTCTGGGAAATGTTAATGTTAATGCATGGATCATGCAGAATGCCACATTAAGGGTTTTATGGTGGACATAACATTTTTATGAACTTTTTCTCTGGTAGTACCAGCCTTTGATGGAAAGAAAAGAAAAAAAGAAAGAAAGGACAGAGTGGGAAGGCAGAAAGAAAAGCCAGCCCAGGAGAAGCGGGCCTGGGAGTAGAAGTGGACTTCAATGGCACCTAAACCTGCATCAGTGAGCTCCCTGGGGGGTGGGGGGCTGCCCTGGTAGCGCTCCAGTGGGTGGAATATCTTTAGCGTTAGGTATTTGCGAATGGGGAGCAACCGACCAAATTGGCAACTGGTGGGAGACAGGGCCTACTGAGGCAGACCCATAAAACTTCCCAGCCTTTTCAGCCACCTGCCGCCGGGCAGGTATTCAGTGCCAGTGGCGGGGAGGGAGGGGTGGGAAGGGGTGTGAGAGACTTGGTGAATGGCCACCATGCCTCCTGGGTGAGGGGAGAGGCCCCTGGTAGAGCCACTTTTGGGGCTCACCTTGGGGAGGGATGGCTAATGGCTTAAGGAGATTTTAATTTCTGCCATTAAAGAAAAAAAAAGGAAAAACACAATCTGGGGAATGGCAGTATTTTACACCTGGCTTTTAAAAAGGACTAATAAAGGCAGTGTTTAGCATTTTATATCCTTGCTCAAAAATAACGATCTTTGGTTCTCATCTCAGACATATTTTAAGTGAGCTTGTGTCTCCTGCCTCCGGAATATTCTTTCAGGAGGCTGGATTTATAGCTCTGCTCTTTACCTGCCCTGGGATCCAATTTAAGTGTCATAACCACCACACTTCAGTCGGTTTGCCTCTTCTCTCCCCTCCCTTCCACCTTTGCAGTCGTTCCCGATGCTGTTACTGCAATTTTTCTTCCAGACAGGGCACTGGTTAGCTCCTGACCATGCAAGACACCTGACACCTGTTTACAGCCATTTCTTTGAGCACATTAAAATGTGAGCTGGAGTGGGTGCCGTGCGCTGAGTGGCTCCCCTCCAGCTATGCCGGATCACTGCCTGGGGTGGGGGTGCCCAAGAACCAGCCACTGTCTAGACTGCAAGTGCCTCTGACCTGGGGCAGGTAGGGGGTGCTGGAGGGTGTATGCGTGCTCTCTGAAGCATGAAGGGGTTCAGGGAGTTCGCAGCAGGCTGGATCTTTTGAGAGAGCCACTTGTGGTCTTGCTGAGAGCCCTAAGCAGGTCAGTGTGGTTGGGTAGAAAGGACCCTTGCCTGCAAGTCAGGCCTCCAGGTGTCAGTTCTATAATAGTTTGCCTGGCTGTGTGACCTTACACACATCACTAGACACAACTCCGGAGGTTGTGACTCCACTGTAAAAGGCTGAAGCCGGAGTGGCAATCTCTTAAGAGCTCTTTCTGCTCTGGAGCCTCTGATTCTACTGCCCACCCAGATCATCTGGAGTGGTAAACTGGAGCTTGCTCAGGTGGGTGTCTTGTCCATCTTCAAGACGAGGTGAGTGTGTGGCGCTGGGCCAGATGGGTTCGAATCCAGATCCCACCACTTACTAGCTCGGAGAACTTGAACATGCTTTTTAGATACTCTTTTGGTTTTCATTTCCTTGCGTGTAAGGAGGAAATCACAATACTACCTCATAGGCTGACTTCACGAGGCTAACTCCTGCTAACACCCTCAACAGTTTACTTATGTATTACATTTATTGTCTGACGCTACACATGGGCAGGGATCTTGGTTTGTTTTCTTCACAGATGTATCTCTAATACCCAGGACAGTAATTGGCACATAGTAGGCCCTCAATATTTAGTGAATAAATGAATGCCCAAGAGTGTCTAGGGAGACATTTGTTCCTCAGTACCTCCACCTGCATCCTGTGCAGACCCCTGGATATTTGCCCTGAAGCTCTCCAGAGAAGGACATTGCTCAGGGCTTATGGGCTTTTCAAGTCTCTTGATATAAAATGCTGATTTAGGGGACGTTTAATGCATCTGTGACCTGAGATGCATAAGGAATTCACACCAGCCCTTGGTTCTGTTCCCTCCAGGATTAAAAGCAGGTGTACCTGGACCAGGCAGCGGGCTGGGAGCCCTCCCCTTCCCACGTGCCCCTTCCCGTGCCTCTCAGGCTG
This sequence comes from Homo sapiens, assembly GCF_000001405.40. Classification (NCBI taxonomy): domain Eukaryota; kingdom Metazoa; phylum Chordata; class Mammalia; order Primates; family Hominidae; genus Homo; species Homo sapiens. The sequence goes on along the minus strand of NC_000011.10, from coordinate 125,304,460 downwards.
CTCCCCTCCTTCTCAGGCTGCCACACGCTGGCTCCTGGGGACCCCCTCTGCCATATGTTCCATCCAGCTCCAAACTGCATGCTAATTGTTCTGAATGAACAGCTCCAGCTGGAAAAGCAGGCAGGCCGTTTATAGACCTTAAGATAACACCCAGCTTCCTGTAAGTGAGGGGGTTTCCAGGGAAGGGGAATGGAACGTCTTTTCAGGGCCAGAGCTGGGCGAGATGGGCCCCTGGGGCTGGGGCTGCAGTTTAGGACATCACCTCTTCTAGGTGTCTACCCAAGTGGATCCATTTCCAAGCAGCCCCCTCCCCACCAACAGCCTTTCCTATGGAGGCCCTGAGGTGTTTCCCGGATCCATCAGGCCAAGCTCCCTGCGGGTATCAGAGGGTCCCTGCCAACCACGTCCCTTGTGACATCCAGATCCCAACAACATCCCTGCATTCCTAAAGAAGCCTTTTGAGGTTGGCCTAGAGGAAGCCCCAGTAACTGCCTCCTAGCTCAGGCCGGCCATGCATCTAGCTGGGGGAAGCCGAGAAGAGAATGTTTGCTGATGGAAGGAGATGGTTTTGCAATGGACATGCAAACATAAGCCTCCCTCTATTTTCTTAGCCTACATAGGACTGCCTGGCAGCCTGTCTCTCCCCTTAGACGACACATCCTTCATTGGTAAGGGGGAGTGCCCTCTTTTTTTATGTCACTTTCTAGTGCCTGTCCCTCTGTGTAAGCCCAGTTCCTTCTCCAGTTCTACAATGCTGATACAGCTTTGTCCTCCATTTCTGCCAGCATTTCCCAAAAGTGGAAAGAGAAATGTTGAAGGGTGGGTTTCCTGATAAGGAGGAGGGCAAGTGTGATGGAGTCATGGAGCCGGGGAACCTTGGAGTTGACAGGAATCTCCAAGGCCATGAGTCTGAACTCCCTGATCCACAGGGAAAGAGGCCCAGGCAGCGCCAGAGAGCTCACCATCCACGTATCCAGACCCACCCTGCACCCCACATCCTTTCCCGAGCCTGGGGCCTGCCTGGGAATGTGGCAGGGGGGCTGGGGCTGTGACCAGAAGCTTGGAGACTGGGCCCAGTGCTGGCTCTGCCAGCAATTAGCTGTGTGGCCCCAGGCACATTCCTCAGCCTGTACCCCCGTTTGCTCATCTGCAAAAGTGAGGGTGACGTAACACTTGCCTGCATCCCTTCAGGGTGGTTGGAGGCCATAAGAAAAATAAATGTGAAAAGGCTATGAAAATTGAAAAGCAAAATTCAAAAGTATGAGATTTAGGTTATGTTTATTTCTGTGGCCTGGGGTCCCAGCTGCAGGTCAGGTTTTGGAGGGTACGGAGACACAGTGGTCTGTGTGATGGGAATTTTCCCACCTGGCTCTCAGCACCCAGCATGGGAACAGCAAGAAGAGCTCCTGGGGACATGGAGGAATAGAGGCACTGTGGCTTCTGGCCTTCTAGAGGGCTGGGGCTGCTGGGGCCCTAAGCTCTCAGGAAGCAAAAGGAAGAACAGACTAGCCATGAGATGGTCCACTGTGTGGAGCAGCGAGCTAGGGTGGAGCTGCACACCACTGCACTGGCTGGTTCTGCCGCCTCCAAGGATTCTCCCAGCTCAGGTATTGCCTGACTTTTCTCTGCCCTCCGAGGCTGTAGTGGGAAAAGACGTGGAGAGGGCATGGAGGAGGGAACACGGCACCTCCCTTTGAGGGGTGTCCAGCCAGAAGAGGCAAAACTGGGTGCTCAGGGCTGGCGGCAGGGCCTGCTCTCTGCTTTCCCGTTAGGTATGGGATGCACGTGGGGCTGATGACTCCTGGCAACAGGGTGGGATTGGGGACAGCCTTGTTTTAAACACCCCCAATACTCTGGAGGGCCTGACTCAATCCCCTTGGCTGCATGGCCCCACCAGTACATGGGGGTGGCCGAGAGCTTCCTGACAGCCAGAGGCTGGCTTCCTCTCTAGAAGCCTGTGAGTCCAGCAGCAGGTGAGCTGGGCCAGCCGGCTAAAGGCTGTGAGGGGTAGTGTGCAGCCCGAAGGTGGGAAATTGCACCCATCAGCATCAGAGGAGAGTGTGCATAGCAGATCGTGGACTAGACGTGGCCTCAGTCACTCACTTGATTGTCAGGGGCTGGTCAGATCATGGCTGGTCAGTGCATGGCTGGAGAGGAAGCTCCTGTCCTCTCCACCTCTCCAGGCCCAACTTCTAGGTCCAGGCTGAATGTGGCCTTTCAATTTACATCACCTGCTCTGTTCTCTTTGCCTGCGATGCTGCAGCTCCCATCCTCTGTGGGAGTCCACTCATCCTTCCAGGCCCCACCCAGATGTCCCCTTCTCTGTGAGGCCTCTCTGGACCTCCTCCAGGCAGCATAGCCCCTCCATGGACTCAGGATTCTCCAGGCAGCTGGCGAACTGCGTCTGAGATGCCATGGCCACTCTTAGCCCCAGTCAGACAAGCACTGGCCCTGAACTCCTTGCAGCGATGCTCTCGCTAACACACACTGGGATCTCCAGAGGGACCATGCCCCGAACTTTGCACACAGTAGGTGCCTAGTAAATGTTGGCCAAAATGACTGAGTCTGGGCAAATGTATAAGAGCACGCTTTCCCTGGCTTAAATTACATCTGCAAAATCAACACCCAGAAAGGGAGAATTAGAAAGATGGCTTTGCCTCTGGAAGGTTGTCCTAGAAAATCACTTCTGTCTCCTCTCCACTGGCCTGGCACCACCTGCCTTGTGCCCAAGCTGAGTCCACCAAACCCAAACTGTTCTTTTTTATTTTTTATTTTTAATGAAACAATAGATGATCTTTTGACATTTCCAGGGCTGTTTGGAAGAAGGAAAGATAATATGTAACAAATTCATATACTTGCGTGTGTTTCTTGGCTCTGGCAGCTAAAATTTCCATCTCTTTATGCAGGAGTCCTGGGGAGCTGAAATCCTTGATAATGCCAAACAATTCAACACTTTATTCTCTCTTTACTCTGTCTGCACCACGGAAAAATATCGATTTGATGCTGCCAGCTGTGGGAAGTGAAATCAGATACTACACTCTTTCTTGCAAGCAGAAGAAGTCTACCCTGCTTGGGAGGCCCTGTCTCTACCCAAGAGTCTTTGGGTAGAGTCCTATCCAAGGCAAAGGACAGCCTGGCTTTAGTTGCCCCCGGGGCATATGGGCTGGAGGATCTCGAACACCTGAGGTGTCCAGGGTGGGCCCAGATAGTTTCTGTCTGTCCTTCTGTCCCTACTGCCTGGAGTCCTTTCCTAGGCAGTCCCAGCAGTGGATTGGCAGCATCTGATCTGAGCTCCAAACAGCGCTCCCTGAACCAGAGCCAGCCCAGAGCCCTGGAAGTTAGCAGAGCCAGTGACACCTTCAAGCTCACATTCTCAACTTGTACAGCACATTTTGGCCTGGGGCTGAGATAAGCATCTATTATCAGCACTTTCATTTCCTGGAGGAGGGGACGAGGATAGAGCACAAGACTTGCCCAGGGCCACACACTGCAATCTCGCTAGAGCTTAAGACCTCCTCTCCTGACACCTAGGCCAGAAGTGTATTCATTTGTCCATCCATCCTCTGAGTCATCTAAAAAATATTAAATGCCTGCAACATGCCAAGTAGTGTGTTCTGGCTCCAAGTAGCTTTTCCTGAGTCTGGAAGCTTAGCTTTCAGGTTTCCCTATAGAGGAAAAAATGCAGGGCCCTGCCTGTTGGGATCTGGGGAGAGTTTATTGGGATAAACAGTACGTAGTTTCAGAAGCAGGTATTTTCAACTTTCCCTCCCTCCCCTCTCCTGCACCCGACTCTCTCTCTGTCTCTCTGTCTCTTTGTTTCTCTGTCTCTCTCTGTTTCTGTCTCTGTCTCTCTCTTTCTGTCTCTCTCTGTCTCTCTGTCTCTCTTTTTCTCTCTCTCTGTGCACGCACACACCTTTCCTCCTTTTCATGTAATGGTGATTAAGAGCCTGGGCTTGGGAACCAAAATGCCAGGGCTTAAATCTTGGTTCTGTTGCTTGCCAGCTGGAGAACTGTGGGAAGCTGCTTAACCTCTCTCTGCCTCAATGGCCTCATCTGTAAAATGGGGATACTAATATCCCTAGAGAGGATTAAATAGAGTAATACATGTAATGTGTTTAGCACAGTGCCAGGCACAGTATTCAAAAACTGCCAGCTGCTATTGCTATTATTAGTAGTAGTAGTGGTCATTGCCTGGTAGGGAGGGGTCAAAACAGAGATAAAGAGGGTAGAAAAAGAGAAGTCTGCAGCCTTAGGCTCGGCCACCTTTGCTCTTTCAAAAGCAGACTCTCCAAAGAAGCCACTCCAAAATCAGGATGGGAGCCCTCATTTCAGCTCCTTGGTCCCCTCTCCAACCGCTCACACGGCCCCGAAGGCCAGACAGGTGCAGGATGCTGGTTGACAGGCCGGTGACTCCACCCCTGGACAACCAACCAGGGCTAACCATGTGCCAACCATTTGTGGAGAAGGAGAGTCATCCTCCCACAGGCCTAAGGCTCACCTTCTATCAAGCACAGCCCTGTCGTGAGGGGCAGCAGACAGGGTGTCTCAGAAACAGACGGTGAGATGGGGAAGAGACCAGGCTGCTTTTGGTTTGTTCCACAGCTTTTGGGAAGCCCCACGGTCGCTTCTGGCTCAGAACCGAGGCTCAGGAAAGCAGAGCAGCCCGGTGGGGGGATGCGAGGGGATCCAGCCATATCCCCAACGCTCACCCTCTCCAAATCGGGTAAGAAGGAGGACCCCAGGAAAACGACTTCAGGCATCTACCAGCACAGTTTGTGAAACACTTCCACATCCTTTAATTTTTCCCAACAATCTTTGAGACCAACATGGCAGATATAATTAACCCCATTTAACCAACAAGTATGTTGAGGCTCAGAGATGCTAATGGATTGTCTAAGGTCAGGAGTAGTGGCACTGCCAGTGCCCAAACCCACCTCTCCTGATGCCCAGCAGAGCACAGCTTCCTCTGTCACCCCGCCCTTCCCTGGCCTCAGTCAGCTCTCCATTTCTCCACCGAGACAGCTGAGAGGCTCATGTAGCTGGCTCCTCGTCTTGTGCCCAGGGAGGGGAAGCAGGCAACCAGAGTTACGCACTCAGACTACAGCTGGGTTTAGAGTGTGACCTAGTTTGGATGTTTGTCCCCTCCAAATCTCATGCTGAAATGTGACCCCAGTGTCGGAGGTGGGGCTGGGCGGGAGGTGTTCAGATCGTGGAGGTGGGTTCCTCATGAACGGCTTGGTGCTCTCCCCATGGGAATGAGTGAGTTTCTTGCTCTGGTAGTTCACTCAAGAGCTGCTTGTGTAAAAGTGTGTGGCACCTCCCTGATCTCTCTTGCTCCTGCTCTTGCCAGGTGACATGCCTGCTCCCCCTTTGCCTTCCACCAAGAGTAAAAGCTCCCAGAGGCCTCCCCAAACCCGAGAAGATGCTGGCACCATGCTTGTACAGCCTGCAGAACTGTGAGCCAAATACACCTCTTTCTTTATAAATTACCCAGCCTTAGGTACTTCTCGATGGCAATGCAAGAATAGCCTAACACAGGGCTTGATCTGGAGAAAGGTGACAGGTGTCTCTTGGCCTCCTGACATGATAACCAATGGTCAGGTAAGAACAAGAAAGAGGCGAAGAAGGCCTGCCCTACAAGTGTGCCACAGGAGTTGCGGAGACCCCGGGAATACGTCAAGGTCACGAGCCAAAGTCTGAGGCCACTGTTTGGCTTCTTCTGACAGCCTTGCACTGTAGGCTTCATTCATTCATTCATCCATCCATCCATCAATTCATTCATTCATTCATCCCAAGTATTTGTCTGGTCCCTGGTACTGTGCTAAGGGCTGGCCTTTCAGCGGCTCAGAACTGGGGGCCTGGAGGCCTGTCTATGCACAGCTCAGGCTAAATAAATGCTCCTGGGGAGCTGAGGGAACACAGAGGGAGGCTGAGTTTCTACTTCACCCACCCCAGAGTCAGGGCTGTTGCTTTGGAGCTCAGTCCAGTTTTAGAAAGCCCTCCACTCTGGTGGCCAGGCCGAGGGGTGAGCCAGCCCAGGTGTTCAGGGAGGGAGCAGGTAAGCCTCCTGCAAACCTGTGACAAACGCGCCGCTTCCAGGGTATCCTGTGTGGGCCTCTATCCCTGGTGACGCATACACAAGGTGGTCCACAAAGTTGTCACTCAGTGGGATGCCTGAATTTTCCAGGTCTCCCAGTGCCCAGCTTTAAGAGCATCCTATGCAAGGCCCTTCATCTACCCCTGTCTGAACCTCCACAGCCCCAGGGGTAACCAACAGCCTCTGCCTGTTTCCTTAACGCCACCTTCTGAGGGACCCAGAGCTCTCACTCCAGCTTATTCAGCCTGGCCTACTCAACCGACTGCTTGCCCAGTGCCCTCACTGTGCCTGGGTCCTCCCAAGCTCTGAAAGTCCTCTTTTCCTCTCTGGCACAGGCTCAGTTTGGGCCATCAGTTGTATATTCATTGTTCATTATATGACAGGTCCCAGGATGTCACCCACCAGCAAGAACAAAGGTGATTAAGACTGTCCTCAGAAGGGTTATGGTTTGCAGGGAGTTATGGAAATGTGACAATGAGCTAATCTATGGGAAGGGTGATATGGGGCTCAAAGATGGGCACCAGGCTCATCCTGGCGAGGAGATGACGCTGAGCTGAGCCTCAAGGAATAAAAATAGTGTGCGGGGAGAGAGACTGTGTTCCAGACAGAGGAAACAGCATTTTCAAGGGCAGGAAATAGCATAATGCATGCAGGATGTAATGAGAAGTCTGTGTTTATGACGAAGGGCTGGCCATAGATGAGGCTGGTGAGGAAGGTGGAGGACCCATACACCAGGTACGAGAGCTTAGTCTTCATCCTTCCAGGAACAGCCAATTTCCTTAAGTGCACAACACTCATTTGCAAAGAGTCATCGCAAATGTCACCTCCTCCAGGAAGCCTTCTCTGACTTCTCCAGAATGAAGCACTTTCCTACTCATGCTGTCAGACTAATGAGTTCCTACTTCTAGTATACCGCACATGGCTCTAAGCTTTTGTTTAAACTGCTGTTGCCACCACTAGACTGGAGATCAAGAATTATTTTCTATTCAATTGTAGATCCCCAGAAATTAGCAGAAGGCCTGGCATACTCAGGTGGTGAATAAATATTTTATGGATCAGTGAATGAGAACAAATTGAGGTCAAATGATCTACTCACTCCCTGCTATCTGCCTCCATTCTGAACTCTCAGTTTAAATATGTAAATATTGATCTATGTCTCTATTTATTAGTTTTCTCATCTGTATAATGGGAAGAATAATACTCTATGGATCGTTGTGAAAAGTAAATGACATAAGTGCAGATGCTACGGCACAACTTAGCATGTAAGCGTCCTGTAAATGTTAGTTTCTTTTCTCTTTCAATTAACTCATATTTATTCATCACCTGCTATGTGCCAGGCATTGTTGTAGGTACTGGGTTTAAAGCAGTGAACAAAACAAATTCCCTGTCTTCATAGGACAACTTCTCGTTGGGTGAGATAGATAATAAACCGCTGAGCGCCATGGCTCGCCCCTGTAATTCCAGCACTTTGGGAGGCCGAGGTGGGTGGATCACATGATCAAGAGATCAAGACCATCCTGGCTAACATGGTGAAACCCCGTCTCTACTAAAAATACAAAAATTATCTGGGCTTGGTGGCGCACACCTGTAGTCCCAGCTACTTGGGAGGCTGAAGCAGGAGAATCGCTTGAACCCAGGAGACAGAGGTTGCAGTGAGGCAAGATTGCGCCATTGCACTCCAGCCTGGCAACAGAGCGAGACTCTGTCTCCAAAAATAAAAATAAATAAATAAATAAGTACCTGCATAGCATGCTGGATGGAGATGAGACGCATGGAGAAAAATAAGCCAGAATTAAAAGGATCAAGAGCACCAGGAGTCAGGGAGGGAGAGGGGCTCACTCTTTCATGTAAGGTAGTCGTCAGGTGACCTTGATGATGAGATGACAGTTGAATAGAGACCTGAGGCGACCAATGTGGGCACATGGAGGAAGAGTGTCCCAGGCGGGATCATGTGTTGAGTGCACAGCAAGGAGGCCAGTGCAGCTGGAACAGAGTGAGCAGGAGACGTGGCTGAACTGGCAGGGATCTGTATTGGGTAGAGCCGGCAGACTATGGAGTAGACTTTGAGTGTTCATTCTCAATGACAGGGAAAGACACTGGCGGCTTTTGAGCACAGAAGTGGCATGATCTGATTTTCATTTTAAATGGAAACTGGCTGCTGGGTTGAGCACAGACTGGAAAAAAAAAGGCTGAGAAGAAGGGAAGAAGTCGGGAGGCTCTTGCAATAATCCAGGCAGGAGACAGTGGGACTGGGGCCAGCGTGGAAACAGTGAAGAGGAAATAAGCTGAGTCTGGCGAGGTTTCTGAAGACACCAGGGGTGGAGAGTGTGAGAGAAAGAGAGGAGTCAGGGGGACCCCACCTTATTTAACTGGAACAACTGGAAGTATGGATTTGCCCTTTACTGAGATGGAAAGGCTGCCTTCCACGTGCTGTGGGGCAGAGAGAACAGAAGAACATTCTTGAAGAGCTTTTAACATATTGAACGGGGGCGAGCTACCGGCGGTACAGAAGGAGGGAAGGCAGAAGATAGCCGTCTATGAAGGAATAGACCAGCAGATGCCGAAACGATACAGACGAGAAAGGCTATGGGTGGTCAGGATGGGGGCAGTCCATGCGAGCCCCAGTTCTGAAACTGCCCTCTTCGAAGGCCACCTCCTTGCCAAATCCAGTGACCCTGTCTCAGGCCTCCTTGTCCTTTCACTGAAGAACACACCTGACACTAGGGTCTACCCTATTCTGGTGACACCCCCAAGCTTCCTTGCTGCTTCCCTCCTCTCCCACTGTGTCCTCCAGTTCACTGTGCCCTCATCCTTCAACCACAGGAATCCAGCAAAGGCCGCTCCTGAGCCCTCACTCTGCTCTCTGGCTCTGAGAGTGGTGCATACGCACAGGCACACACACACATGCACAGGCATACATGTGTATGGACACATGCACACACACACGTGTGTACATACATGGATTTGATCCACATGAATGTTTGATTCTCAAATCTATATATCCCTAGAGCTGACCACTCTCCCAAGGACTTTGATCTCATCTGGACATTTTCTTTGGACGTCCAGCTGTCATCTCATGTTCAAGCTGTGCCAATACCTTCCCCCTCCTTCAACTTTTCATGCTACCTTGTTCATTGTTGTCAGGGGCATCACGGTTGTCCTAGCACTCTGTTTCCAAGCCTTAGATTCATCTTTGGTTTGTTCCTCCTCTCATAGATGTGTGTGTATATATTAAATGTTCCTTTATGTCCCACGGCTGAATGTCTGCAGCACCACACTGTGGACCCGCCTCTAGCTTCACTGTCTGGCCAGCCCTCCAGAAGGCCACCACCAAACTGACCCGGCTAAAGCGTGACCCTGACTAGTTCACTTTCCTGTTCAAAAACTCCAAGTGGGTTCTCATGTCTAACAAGGCAGAGTTCCAGTTCCTCCGCCTGGTGTTTACTCCTCTGCACAGTCATGCCTCACCCTTCACTCTCAGAGAGCCCCAATACTCCATGCGAGGCAGGTGGTGAAGGGATCTAGCAATTGTTGGCATGTAGTTTGTGCTGTTTTTCATCTCATGTAATCTGCACAACAGCCTTGCACAGTAGATATTAACCTGTTCGTATTGCAGATGAAGAAGTGGACTCTTCATAAGCCTGACTACTGGAAGTCATGGAGCTAGTGAGGAGCAGACTGGGGGCTGATGCCCAGGCCTTTTTTACTTCCAAGCCCACACCTTTTCCATCTCACCACAGTGTCCCTGTGCACACGAACCCTTCCACTGTGGAGGGCTGACTCATGTTTTCTACTCACCGGCAAATGCCCTGCCATGCCGCCTCTCCACCCAACCCTGTCCCCTAACCTCTGCCTCCCTAAATCCTCTACAACCCAATTCCAAGGTCTCCTTTCTCCTCCAAGCCCGACTTCTCCCACCTTCTCTACTCAGTACTGACTTCTCCTTTCTTTTCATGCTGAATTGGGTTCCTCTCTGTACCTCTCTTCTGGCCACCTAGCTATAGAATGTCTTCTCTAGCTCTGGTTCGTGCCTTTTCGCCAAGCTCCATAAGATGGGGGGGCTTACCTCAGGCTTCTGGGTGTCCCAAAGGAGATACCCCCTAAATACTTGTGGAAATGAAAACACAATAACAATGGCTTCCTTAACAGGAATATCAAAAACAACTTCAAGCAGGAATCATTTGTGTTTCTGCTTAATGTGTTAATTTCCTGTAGTTAACATGGAAATAATAGTCTGAAATGACAAGTTAAATAGAATAGTGATGTTAGGAAGTTTTGTTATTTGAGTAAAATATTATTATAACATTAGTGGCAGTCTACAACAGAGTTCAGTTGAGACTTCCTTCCTAACACAGTTTTTCATTGCTCAAAATTGTTCCAAAGCATTCTGGATTTTTTTTTCCTCCTTCAATCAATGTTGGGAGAAATAAGATTAAAGGTAATATCTACAGCCATTTTGAAGACATTTGAGTAAGCGGTAAGAGGGAGATGGGAGATGTTCCATTTCTCCAGGGATAAAGTGTATGTGTGAGTGTGAGTGAGTGTGTGTGAGTGTGTGTGAGCGTGTGTGTGTGAGCGTGTCTGTGTCAGTATGTGAGTGTGGGTGTGTGTGAGTGTGTGTGAGTGTGTGTGTTAGTGTCAACTACTCCAAATAAAAGGAACTTCACATGAGGCTGATCATCAACGCGGCCTGATTCTTCCCTGAGTTTAAAGAGACAAGATTTGCAAAAGACAAACAGGGATGTCTTCTGGAAAGTCTCAAGTAATAACAACTTAGATGCCCAGAGGGTTAGATGGCAAGGCTGCCAGATGCAAGACCTGGGGTGTCTGTCAAGCCAGACAAAGAACAAGGAAACAGACTTGAAAAAGGAAGATCTCTTCCCAAGAAAGAAATTCAAGTAACATCTAACACTGTGGTGAGCTCCCCAGGGACAGGAGAGCCAATCTCTGCTTCTCCAAACTCCTTCTGAAAAACACTAAAAGAAATCAGAGGTAGGGAGAGCTACATTTCACCCGCTTGCCCCATTAGTCATCCACCTGCCCACATACATGGGTTTACCTAAAAAAATTACAATTTGTTCTGTGATTAAGTAATTAAAAGCATATGGTACAGGATTTAAGCAGTATGGATTATATATGTATATAGTTGTGTGTGTGTGTATTTGTGTGTGTGTGTGTAAATATTTCTACTTCTGACCCTGAATCCCCCATTCGTCCACCCCACCCCCAGAGGCAATGACTGTTATAATTTGTATGTCTGCCTCCCAGGGAGATTCTATGCATATACAAGCATGTGTGGTTTTGACATAAATGGCAGCACACTCTACCACGCTGTCCGGCATCTTGCTTTTTCCCTTTGGGGTTGGCCTGTGAACAAGGTTAGGTGGTCCAGGCTGCCTGCGACGCTCCCCGCAAAACACCAAGCCAAATAACACGCATCGTCTCCCACTTTGTGGCTTCTGGTTCTCCGAGATCCCCACTTCCATACCGTACATGCACATCAAGAGGGGATGAATATCTCCAGTCTTGAAAGGTGGTACTTCCTCTCTTTTAGGGCAAGCACTTCTCAGGTATACGGCAATGTGGACACGGTCTGAGGGAAACCTCAGCCTTCTCTCTAGGACTACAACGTTCCCGATAAACAGCAAAGGGAAGAGAGAAAGGAAGGGGTGGCTGCAGCCAGCCTCGTGAGTGAAAGCTGCCTTCCCACACATGGCTAGACCTGCTCCGTTCCATCAGTCTTCAATGCAGCACCCACTAGGAACCCAGCCTTGTAGCAAGAGCCAAGGATACACAAATGGATCTTGACTTTGAAGGAAACAGAGGCAGTGCCCCCAGAACCCAGAATCAACATTAATTCCAGAAAGAATTCCCCGAACCTGGACCAGATAGGGTCAGCCCCCTCACTCCCACCCCACCCAGCATCACACCAGAGGGAACCCACTGAGGGCTGGCACTGGCTTGTCTCCTGCTGCTGCCACTGCCACTCCAGAAAGACTGTCATTAAAGCTTTGTCCCCGACTTTCTGATTTACATGTACAAATAATCGCTGTCAGGGGCACAAGCCCCAGAGAGCAATAATAGATTCTGGTGGTAGCAGATGCAGATGCAGGAAATAAAAACAAAAATGAAACACACCAGTCTGGCAGAACTCAATGCTGAGAGACGACCTAAGCCGGGGAGAAAGGCCTGCTGGGGAGGCGGACTGGAGAGGGTTTATTAGATGAAGTATGATGGGTAGGTCTTCTGCACAAGCTAACCTAGGATTTTTAAAAATTGTGGTAACATGTCCATGACGTAAAATATGCCATTTTAACCATTAAATGTACAATTCAGTGCCATAGTTATATTCAGACTATCATGCAGTCATCACCACTATCTCTTCTCAAAACTTTTCCATCACCCCAAACAGAAACTCTGCACCCTTTAAATCAATAATTCCCCATCTCTACCTCCTCCAAGCCCTTAGTAACCTTAATCTACTCTCTTCTCTATGAATTTGTCTATTCTAGATATTTCATATAAGTGGAATCATACAATATTTGTCCTTTTTTGTCTGTTCTCCTTCACTTAACATATGTTTTTAAGGTTCATCCATGCTATAGCATATTTCAAAACTCTATTCCTTTTGATGGTTGAGTAATATTCTGCTGTATGGATAGACCTCATTTCCTTTACCCATTCATCAGTTGATGAGTACTTGAGGTGCTTTTGCCTTTTGGCTACCATGAGTAATGATGCTATGAATATGGGTGTACAAATATCTGTTTGTGTCCCTAGTTTTGATTCTTTGGGGATTATATGTAGGAGTGAAATTGCTGGCTCAAATGGTAATTCTATGTTTCAATTTGGAGGAACCACTAAGCTGTTTTGCACAGTGGCTAGCCTAAGGTTTAAGAAGATGACTCAGTCTGTGCTCTAGGAGACAGAGTTCTGTGCACCTTGGTCCTGGGAGCTCACATAGCACACTCGAGCCTGCCTGCCCAGCCTGGACTGGAAAGAAGGGGATGAGTCCAAGCTGAGGAGTATTAGAATAAAGTCTAGTGGGACTGGCTTTCCATACCACTCCCCATGGTACTCAACCAGCTGCTGGGAGAAGGACCGTTGTATACCTGCAGCATGGGGAGCACTGATTCTTAGGGTCTACTCATCTGCCTCCAACTTTACATGCGAGGAAAGTGAGGCCCAGAGAGCGATGACAATTGATTGAAGTCTGGTGACCCTGTCCCCTATTCTTTCTGCAGGACCAGCCTGCCAGAGCTGGGTCTGGGAAAAATGGGGCAGCTCAGGGCAAGAAGTGGGAAGAGACCCCCTTTGTGCTCTGCCTCTGCCATTGGAATGACATGGTATCGGGGTGTAGTCTTGCGTCTGTCTCAGCTCCTTCTGCCGGAAACACCCTTCTCCCATCAGCTTCTCCTGGTTAACCCCTACTCATCCTTCTAGGGTCAGCTCAGGTGTCATATCTGCATCCCCCATATGACACTCTGCTCTGTCTCCTCAGTGGAGCTCGGCACCCTCCTCTGGCTCCCACAGAACCTCAGGCATCCACTCTCAAGGCTGTTACCACAGGCATCTTGTTACGTTCAAGTTACTGACCCATTTCTCCACCACACTGTGAGCATCCTGAGGGCAGAGAATGAGCATTTTATCTCTATTCCTGACACTAGGACAAGGCTCAGGACCTAGTGTTTGTTGAATGAATGTATGACTGAGACTAAAGAATGAATGAACAGCATGCTCCTCATTACCATGCTGCGTAATGAATGTTTATTGACTGACTGAATAAACAAGTGAAGGGTGTCCCAAGGCCTGCATCGAGCTTGTGGAGTAGACTCTTGGATCACGGTCAAGCCCTCACTCACTCACCCATTTATTCATTCCTTTATCATAGTCACTACTGTGTCTTATCTAGAAGGTACTCTGATTCAGATGTAAAAAACCCTCAGTCTCTGTCTCCAGGAAGCCCACAGAAGAGTAGAGGGAGACAGAAATAAACAAAAAGTGTGCTTCAAGCCACTCCATTTCCCCAAAAGCACACAGAACTTGCATCACATCAAAAACCTGACCAAGGCCGGCTCCGCTCCACCAGTAGCTGGGCAGAGCTGGCTTTGGGAGGGGTAGCCAATTAGCATGCTGCAACACCTGTCTGCGGCTGCTCCAAGGATCCAGGGGCTGGAGAATTAATGACCAGGAGGATTTTGGAGCTCCCAGAACCCAGTCCAGCTCACATCAGAGACCTCATTCCCCTTTAGGGATTCATTCACTCAGCGCAGCTAGTTAATTTTTCATCAGGAGGTGGGGCTGGGGCTGGGAAGGAGCTCTGATCCTCCACTCTTTCATGCTGGGGGTGGGAGTGAATACAACATCCTATCCATTTTATTTTTTTTAGATGAAATAGAAACAGATTGTGGTTGCCAGGAAAGACCCAGCCCTCAAGGGCTGGTGCTGCTGCTGCGGGCTGATTAACAGTTATTGGGCAACGGATGAAGCCTCCAGGCTGCAAGGGCCTCCGGTGAAGGTGCTTACACAGCTAATGAGCACCGAGTGACACGCCAGTGGTGAGCAGCAATTTTTTTTTTAGAACAGTGATTTAAGGCTCTAGTCTTCTGTCCCACCTTTATCTCCTTTTCCATCAGGTCCTGGCTGGACGATACCCCTGCTCTGGCCCGGGTAACATTTGGTTTTTTGTTTGTTTTTAGGAGTGATCTCTTCCTCCATGGAGACTCCAGCTGCAACTCCAGGGGCAATTGTTTGGTCAAATCTGGCCCAGAGCCTGAAAGCTCAGGGAGAGAGTGAAGTCTCTGTTTGCTCACCCAAAAAACTGGAAAGGGAAGAATAAGAAAATGACCTGATATATAAATAAGGCTAGAGGTAGCAAAGTGCAACCATGTTCTCACTTGATCCTCATTCAAAGCGTTTACTGAATACCTTCTAGATGCCCAAAATTCAAAGTGACCTCAGAAGATTTGTGGAGTAGACACTGTCATTCCCATTTTGGAGAAAACTGAAGGACAATGTTGCATTGTCTGCCTGGATCACTGGTGGAGGTGGGAAGAGAGCAGTATCCTACTATAGCATGTGGCATGCAGTCAGTCATGAGGGGAGGCTCATCTCCTTCTCCCCATTTTGGGTCTCATTCCACTGTGGAGTCTCCCACCTGGGAGCTAAGAGATTTCCCCTGGTCAGCAGGGCCCCGGTCTGCTATGGGTTCCGCTTGAAGGCTGAGGATTTCCTGCCACTGCCCATCCTCTGGAGATCTCTACACCGCAGCACCTAGGAGAGACTGTCTCAGGCCAATGAAATGGTAAAAGGCACCTGCTATGTGCTTTGCACTGTGCTATGTTGTTACATGTTATGTGCAAGATACATAAGACATGGTCCCCTTTCTCAAGAAGAAGGTAATTTTACCATGGAGACAGAATCTACACAAATGAATCTGATAGAGCGTGTGTGTGTTTCACAACAAATATCAGCGCTTCTCCATCTAAGAAATACGTACAAAGCACCTGCGGATCTCACTAAAATGCAGATTCAGATTCAGGGGGTCTGGGTTGAGTGGGGGCATGCTAAGGCATTTCTCACAATCTTTCCGATGATGCGGGTCCCACTGGTCCTCAGGCCACACTTGGAGTAGCAAGGCTGGGGATGGTGCACAACGTGAGAAGCCAGAGTCGCTGCGGTGGTCAGCAGTGCTTCCTACGGGAGACGTGCCTCTGCCAGTTCCAAGGAGGGGAAGGCCTCAAATTGGCCAGGAAAATTGGAAAGGCAGACATAAAAGGGTGACTACGATCTTTACTTGGCACTTTGCAGGGCCGATGGGCCATGAGGACTTGAAAGAACGTGTGGGAGAACAAGCTGTCGCTGGGAGCTGGAGACAGGGTCTTCAGTTCTGACTGTGTGACCTCGGGCTCACCACGGCCTCAATCAGGAAGTGTTTGTGATGGAGAAGAGTTCAGTGGTTCTCAACCTGGGCAGCACATCAGAACATCTGGGAGGCTTTTAAAAGAAAATGCCTGGACCCCTTCCCAAGTGATTTTTATGTAGTGATCTCGGGTAAGGCTCAGGCCCAGGTAGTTTTCAAAAGCTCCCCACTGATTCTCATGTGCAGCCTGGGTTGAGAACCCTCACACGGTGCAAGATCTAAGGCCCCTCCTAATTTCCTCATCTTCTCATTTGGACAGAAAGGTCCAGGACTCCCGGCTTCTGTTCCTGGGCATGTGGCCTGGAGCGAAAAAACAGTCTCAGAGAACTCCTAAGAAAAGCTTCAGCACAATGCCAGAAATCTGAGCATTTCTCCGGTGGAGGCCAGGTGGAGGGGCTGTCCTGCCCATCTGGTTCCCATTAATCCCAGAGCATGTTTCACATCCCTGGCAGGTACTTGGAGCTGGGAGCAACCCTCTGCCCCCTGGGTGGCCCTCAGCAGGGGCCTTTCAAGCCAAGCCCTGCTGACAGGCTGCAGGGCTCTGTGTGGCCCCCCTGGCTTCCAAGTCGCTTGCCCCCACTTGGGGATAGAATCCCTGGACAAATTAGAAACCAAAGAAGGCAGACGCAGAAGCCTGGCCTCTCTTTCATTAGCAGTCTGTCACAAAGCGTGAAGGGCTTCCATAAATTCTGCAGCTCAGCAGCTGCCGAGGAGACCTGGGAGGAAGAAGATTCATTTGTTCCCCAGAAGACTGAGTCTTCAGGAATTTCCAGCCCCTTTCCTCCCCAACCCACTCAGCCGGGAACTAGCCCAACACCACGTGTTGCTCCAGGGTCTGCCTGTAGCCTAAGCTTTGGAAGGAGCTGGGAGGGAGTGACTGCCCCAGCTAAAGACGGAAGAGGAAATGGTGAGGCCCTAGACACCCCTTCCTCCCCGCCACATGGGACAGAGGAGTCAGGCTCTGTTTCCATAAGGGCCTTAGAGCATTTGGCTGCTAGCACGCCCTTTCCCCAGGTTGCAGCCACTGTGGCTCTGTGAAGGGGCTTGGTCTTTGCTGTGAGTTTCCCAGACTTGCTAAGTCAGGCTAGTGGAGCTGGGGTTCACCTGAATCCTCCCCAAAGGGTTGCTACTTTTCTTTCCAATGGCTACCTTCTAAACAGCACGGTGTTGTGGTTCAGCCCGGGCTCTGGGGTCAGACAGCTCTAGAGCTGAGCCTCAGTTCTACCACTTACCAGCTACACAACCCTAAGCAAGCTGAGGAACCTCTTTGTGCCTCAGTTGCCTCATCTACAAAATGGGGATAATAAAATATGTACCCAATGAGGATTAATGTCATCAGACTGTCAACAGCAAATGCCTGAGAAAGAGAAAGGTCAGAGACAAAGAGGGCCTCCTCAGGCGGCAAATTCACAGGCATCAGAGACCTCAGAAGCTGGAGGATCAAGTGAGCTGCAGGATCCCACGTGCAGCACATGTTTTCCTGGGTGAAAGGATCAGCAACGCTTTCCCTCTTGAGAAGGCCAAGAAGAACCTAAGGCCATACGCTGCCTGCGCACTCACAACATACGCTGTTCTTCCCTGCACATTCTGACCAAGTCAGGCCTGGGAGACTCTGGCCAAACGGCAATGCCAGGCCCTGAAACAAGAAGAGACCAAGGTCCACGGCTGCAGATGTCCCTCCCAGACAGAACCCAAGCCCAGATTCACAATGAACTTTGGGGCAAGGGAGGAAGAACAGGCTGCAAATCACAGCTTTGGCCATTGCTCCGCCCAGCCCAGCAGGCTACACAGCTGGGGGCCAGGAGGGCCCGGCAGGCGACACCAGGCCTGGCAGTGGGGAGGAGGGCTCAGCACCCCTTCTCCCTGCAACCTCAGTGGGTGGCGAAGGGGTGGCATAGGGCCAAGGGGGTGGACAGAGGTTGCACTGTGCCCACATCAGGCACAATAGGCTTACGTAGGCTAGCAAAACTTACTTTGAAGAAATTGGGCAAAAATCCATTTTTACCCCAAATTCACTTTGTTGGAGAAGAAGTGTTTATGTTCCAAAAGGATTCTTTTCTCTACAATATTATTTACTATGGGATTTTTCAGTGAGAACTTCCTAATACCTTTAGGGTATGATTTGAGTTATTAAACCTTTGTTGACATGCAAGTTTTCAGGAATTCAAATTTGTGAAGCCCTCTTATTTCCTTTAGTTACGACTGTGCTGTTTTTAGGCTACCTGTGAGCCTCCATGCCCTGGCCCCACATCTGTTTTTTTCCCATTCCTTTCTTCCCGTGCATCCACAAGTACCTCCGTCATGAACGGAGTGTGCACTCTGTGTTCCACCCTGAGCTGGGGCCTTTCTTACGGTCCTTCATGCAGCCTCACACTGCCCCGTCTCTCACTTACGCCCTACACACCAGGACCAGTAGCATGCTGGTAAATATTTAACAGCTGGCTTTCTGGAATAATATTCCCACCATGGCCAGTTTCAAGCTACCAATGTGAAGTTGCTGAATGTGAAGGGGGAAGAGATGCAAAGCAGCACACCATCACCCAGGATTTCCACCCTACAGAGGTGATGGAAAGAGCCTCAAGGGCATGGATGGTAGTGAAGTGCTTAGGAAGCCGTGAGCTTGGAGTATTTATTACCTGTGTTTTTAATAGAATTTATTTAATGCAAATTTGTGTAATTTAATGTTAATAATGGCTGTGTTTAACCATTGGCTTGCAAAATTTCTGAAAATTTAACAATCAGCTCTTGCAAGCTGGCACCAGCTGGCTCCAGCACACCACTGCATAGAATCTAGCTGCAGTCACCTCTACTACTGTTGTTACTGAATTTACTCACAGTAATAGGAATGATAGGAAGCTCAGCATTTTAAATGCAGCTTTCAGTTAAGCCTCATAGCAAATCTAGAGGTTAGGCCATTTATGATCCCCATTTTACAGATGAAGATACAGCTGAGGCTACCCTGAAGCTTAAGAGAAGTTAAATGATGTATAGCCCGATATTAGATCAGATCTAAACTCTTTAACCTAACTGTCAAGACTCTATGAACTGTGCCTTCTCTGTTTATTCTATTTCATGTCTAATACCCTTCAATATCCTTATTCTCAATGAAGCTTCAGCAGAGAACTGGGAATCTGGGGTGTGTTTTCCCAACGTTCCTTCTCAGTTTAGCACCAGAGCCCTTTTCAAAGCAGCAGACTGTGTGTAGGAGCACCAGCCTGAGTCCTGGTTCAGGCTCTGTCTCTGTGATATTGGACAAATCACCCCCCTAGCCTTGAGTTCTCAGCTAAAGGATAAGAAGAGCAAGTCTCCATGGCTTGATTGCTTTAGGCGCCACAATGCTATGGGACAGCATTTCTGCCCAGTGGCCCACAGAAAGGGCCAGGGAAGCCCGGATCCCCTTCTCTGCTATGTGGCAACTTGCTCCCAGATGGGGCTCTTTCTGCTGCTCTCAAGGTAGAACAAAGCCTCCCACTCAATCAGTCCCCAAGCAAGCAGAAGCTTATTAGGTATCCAACAAGGTGGACCAAGAGGTGCCCCCATAGAAGCCAGGGAACCTCAGTAGGGAAACAGCCAGAAATCAAGAATGGTTTGGGAAAGGCTGCTCAGAGCTGGGGGTGGAGGACAGCAGGGGGGCCCAATGACCTCCAGAAGTCCCTAGTGTCCTTTCTCTGAGGAGGCTGGTCTTGTGGGTTTCCTAAGCTAAATTGATTCCAGGCCTGGAATTCATCATTCCCTTCATAATACAAATAATCACCAAATGCGCTCAAGCACTCGGTAGCCTGGATACTCACTCTAGCAATTCTCTGTGTGGACGGTGATTAGACCATCATTATCTTAATGCTTCTTAATTTATCTTTCTGATTAGCAACTTACCATTTTATTTGCAAAAAATAGCCTTCTGCTGGGTGGAAGCCAGCCGAGCACAGCAGCTGTCATTTTCTCTGTACTAAATCAGGCCAGGCTTAAGTTGGTTCTCTGGCGATGCTATTTCTTGTGTCTTGGCGCTAACACGCACCACAATCTATCCTGGTTGTTGTTGTGGAGTAAAGGCGCACCCTTGAGGAGCAGCGGGCTGAGAGGTCACCTCTGCCTTGGCAAAGGGTCCAGGATAAGACACTCTCATACTCTCAGGGAAGGGCTCCCAGAGGCAGAGCCCTCCTACTGCCCTAGTGGGACAGCCCATGGGAGTACTTGCCGCAGAGACTAGGAGGGAAGTCAGTGGTGTATGCACCGTAATAAGAGAGGATGGCTGCTACAAAGCTCTTGCCATGTGCCAGGCATTACATGAAGCACTTGAGATCCACTATCTCATTAATTCTCAAAACAACCCTTTAGGTGTGTTCAGTTACTATTTCCATCTACCGATGGAGAGACCAAGGCTAGAGAGGTTACATCATTTGCCTGAGGTCCTATAGCTTGTGAGTGGCACAGCTAATTTTGAGCCACATCTTAGTGACTCTCAGAACCAATGATCTTAATTGCCATGTTATATCACTTTCCCAAGCGAAGTAGGCCCGGTGTGAGATGAGGCATTTTAGAGCAAACACTGTCAGGGTGACTGTTGAATAGTATTATAATACTTGACTGATTTCCCACCTTCAGAAATGCCTCGAATTAGCAAGCACCTTTCTATCCTGGACACAAACATGATTCCCTTCTTCCCCACTCCCCACCACCAGGAGGAATGAGTTCCCCTCTTTCAAATTGTCCCTAGTCTTGTCTTGGGTCAAAAGTTTTCTTTTTAAGTGACACTTCTGTTCTTCCATCTTCCAACCCAGAACAAATCACGCTGCTCTCTGATTTCTACTTCCTTCCAAACATCTTTACTTTATTGTATCCTGAAAACACACAGGCTGTGGCCCTGGCACATCTCTACCCTGCCACTGTCCCTAAGAGGTCTATCACTGTTTATTCCACTTGGATGTTCAAACCCTACGCATCATATATTTCAATTATTTCTGCCTCTTCCAGAGAGCAGTATACCTAGATATTGAAGTACAGGAGAGGAGGAGGAAGCTTCAACTTGGCTCCTAAATTCTCCAGAGAAGGTCTCAGGTAGAGGGAACACACTGAAGGGGCAGGTGGCTGCAATGTTTGTCTTGACCCCAACCTCCATTCTTGAGGTGTCAGCCACTTACCCATTCATTTCCCTGTTTAATAGTTATGCCTTCACTAAGCCCTATCTGTGAGAATCTTGTCTGTGCTATCTGATGGTAGGCATTAGCTGCATGTGGCTATATGGAATTTATTTTATTTTATTTTATTTTATTTTATTATTTATATATTTTTTGAGATGGAGTCTCCTTGTGTTGCCCAGGCTGGAGTACAGTGGTGTGATTTCAGTTCATGGCAACCTCAGCCTCTCAAGCTCAAGCGATTCTCCTGCCTCAGCCTCCCGAGTAGCTGGGATTATTGGCACATGCCACCACACCTGGCTAATTTTTGTATTTTTAGTAGAGATGGGGTTTTGCCATGTTGCCCTGGCTGGTCTCGAACTCCTGACCTCAAGTGATCCACCCGCCTCAGCACCCCAAAGTGCTGGGATTACAGGCATGGGCCAGCATGCCCGGCTGGCTATGTGAAATTTAAATGTAAAATTCATTCCTTCAGCTGTACACATTTTAAGTGTTCAATTGCTACATGTGAATAGTGACTACCAAATTGGCCAGCACAGACATAGAACAATTCCATCATTGCAAAACGTTTTACTGGACAGCACTAGTCTAAATTTGGTCCTCTACACCCACTTGGAAGCTTTGGTAAACAAAGCCGGATACCTATAAAGCTCAAATGTCATGGACCTTGGTCAAATATTTCCCTCATTGGATGACAGAGACCAGTGCTTTTCAACGTGTGGTCCCTGTACCAGCAGCATCACCTGGGAACGTGTTCGAAATGCAAATTCCAAGGCTCTGTTTCAGACCTATTGAATCAGAAACCCCAGAGGGAGGGCCCAGCAATCTGTGATTTTACAAGCCCTCCAGGTGACTCAGATGCCTGCCACCCACTGGTCTCGATATAATCATGACACCACAGATTGAGAGACTGGGACGTGCCAGTCCTGGTGGTGAACACTTTATGAGTATTATCTCATTTAAACCTGTCAATGACACTGAGATAAACAGAATATTCACATTTTACAGCCAGGAACTAAGATTCTTAGTAGGAAGTAACCAGCCCAAGGCCATGCGGCTAAAAATGGGCAGAGGTCAGTTTCAAACCCAATTTTGTTTGACTCCAAAGCTTATGCACTAACATTCCCTGGCTTGGAGCTGACAGACAGCTTTTCTTTGCCAAGTGTCTTCTGAAGGTACTTGGGAGATCTTATCTGACAAGCTGAGCAGTGGCACCCCAGAGAAGAAAAGCGGCATGGCTAAAGCCCTGCTCAGTGACAGACACCACAACAGCACTGGCGTGGCAGCAGCAGCTGCACCTTGTCCTAAAAGGGAAATAAGCCGGATTTGAGTAACTCGAATGTCAGCCCTCTCCACTTGGAACGATGGTCTTTTTTCCTAGGTCTTTCCAGGCACTTGGGGATCTTCTTTTAAGGTTTCATGTGAGTTCAGAGGGCTGAGTTGATCTAAAAATAAAATTCTTCCCTGGATAACGGTAGATTTGCTTTTCTTAAGAGTTCAAGAAAACCTCCAGTGATTGTATTAGGGGATTAGAGCTAGAAATTGCTGTTCCTTCTTTAAGCTCTGTGGTTGTCCCCCGGCTGGCAAGCAGGATTTTACAGGAAAGGAAACACATGGTTTGTTTTGTACAAAAGTCATGTTCCTGAAATACAGTATTCAGCAAACATCCATTGAGCACCTGTGTTATCCGGCTACATTCTCTCAGGTCATTTCATTCAATCTTCAGAAGAACCCTGTGAGGACCTCTTATTTAAGACAGTAGCTATTATTATCCCCATTTGATAAATAAGGAAAGAGAGGCAATCAACGGGTAAGTGGCAGCCAGAATTCAAATCCAGGCCTGCCTATCATGCAAGTTCCTCCCTCTTTGCTGCACCACACAAGCCCACCTTGTCTAGCACTGGGATAAATTAAGAGAAGAGCCTGGAGTCTGGGGATCTGAGGACAGAAAGGGAAAGACATTCCACATGATGGCAGGTCAGCCACCAGGAAGGCATTGAGGGAACATTTCTAAGAGTATTTTTGTTAGCTGGGCCTTCTCTACACACGGCCATACCACGCATATACGTTCCAGGAGTCCAATCTCTTTCCTCCTGAGGTGGCTCTGAGCTGGTGCTGGCCACGAGCTCTTGCAGGCCCAGAGGGGAGGCATGGCCCTAGCAAGCGGCCTGAGCTCCAGACAAAGCTGAGCCTCATGAAACCCTGACACGAGAGCTGTCAGCCCTGCCCAGCAAATTCTGGATTGTCTTTGGAGTGTGATCCACCTTTGGTTCCAGAGAAGCTGTTCATCTGGTGCCCAGGAAGCCAGGACGGTCACTCAGGTCACCAGTTTCTGGTTTCCCCATATATCTGAAACCTCCACCTGGACACCCTCAGACTCTTGGCCTCCTGGAAAGCAGGCAGAACTAGGGGGTGAGTGGGAAGCGGGCAGACATACTCCTTATACACCACAGCCACAGATGTCCATCACCCTGGCATCGTGACAACCAGAGCCCTGCCATGCCTGTGCCATTGCTGGGTAAGCTGGACAAACTGTGTAGGGCCCTGTGAATGTAGGAAACTACAGCCTCTTTCTTGGGGGAACTCCACACCGGTTCTTGATGGAGAGCACTGAACGGTAACATGCATTGCCCCTCACCCTGCTTGTGACACTCACAAAGGAACCCACGCCAGGCTGCCTGCTTTCACTCAAACCCAGTAAGGGTTTCCTGGAGATATTCCAGTTCCTCTCACAGGAAAAGCTAGAGAAGACCTCCCCATTCTCTTTCTGAGTAGACTGGCTGTGTGCATCCTTCCCTGACAGTTTGGATTCTCAAGTTCAGTGGAGAACCCCTGAGTGCCAGACATGAACTTTTTAGGGAAGGTGCAGCCTCTCCTTGCCCCTGGGCAGATGACCAGGGCTCCCATCTCCCCCAGCCTACACTTCCCATTCAAGGTCCCCAACACTGTTCCCCAGATGCACACAGGTTGAGAGGGGTGGTTATAAGCTGAGCTTCAAGAAGCCCCAGGAGTCTGGGTGCAGGTTCACGCTGTCACGAGGTGCATATCAAAGCCGGAGTTTAAAAACTGTACTGGGAATAGTGCAATTATCTCGCTTCACCACATTTCTCAGCCCCGACTGAGGTTTAATTAAAGCCAAGTAAAAACAGAGTCGCCATTTCAGATATCACCCCACTGCATGCTGGTTAAAAAAAAAAAAAAAAAGGAAAAAAAATCCTTTATCAGGGACTTAAAATTTTTTCTGTGGGTATCTTCCAGCTCAGTTGGATATTATTTCTTCATAACAGTTCCTTTAAAGGAAAAAATATATATATTTAATATATATGTATAAAATGAGTTAATCCCCCATAATCTCCTTGAGTTGTACCTAAAACACAGTTTCTTGCAGGTGACCTTTTCAGAAGAGGCTGTTGCTATGGCAACCGCATTGTTTGATTTAGTCAAGAGAAAAATGCTGCATGGAAATGTATTTAATTTTGCTTAATTTGATGCTGTATTTAACACTTGCACAGGCTGAAAGGAGAGAAGGGCTGAAAGGCAGGAGCCAGCTCATTGGGGCCACGTTCACTGGCATCCTACTCTGGGTGGCAAAAGGGGCCCCCAGATACCACCATAGACTGGGTACCTGGCTGTTGGCCTAGGAGTCGGGGCCAGGACTCCCCTGCGTTCCACTTCTGAGGTGCTCTATAGGAAGAAGCCTGGCAGGGCCCACCAGATGCCCCTCAGATGCTGGGGCCACGGGACAGACACTGCAAGTTGAATGGCAAGGTGAGGCATACCAGCCACAGCTTCAGACTGGGAGTTCACAGCCGGGGTAAAGCTCTCACTCTGGTGCTGCCATAGCCTCATTTTCCTCATCTGACATGCGAGGCCAGTGAATTAAAATACTTCTCGGGTCTCCTTTATCAGCTTGTGAGTCTCCAGATCCAGTCTGATGTTCCCCGCTAGGTTTTGAGCTTCATGGAAGCAGGGCTGAGTGCAGGGTAGATACTTGGTAAATGATTCAATCATTCGGTCAGACAGAAGCCCCCTCCAGGAGATACCACGGCCCAGTTCTGAGAGGTCCAGGCACAACCTTGCTCACTGCGGTTCACAGGCCATGGCACCTACATGTTGCCACACAGGCATGCCCACAAGCACAGAGGAGATGTGAAAACCAGACGAGCCAGGGCACTTGACCAAGGTGCCACAGGGATGACAGGGACGGAATCTAAGCTCTCTGGTTTCCAATAGTCCCGCCAAGCCAGACACATGCCCCTGTTGGGGGCAAACATGGTGACCACGAGGAGAGAATAGGTACAGCCAGACCATAGTGGTCTCCCGGCTCAGCCAGGCTGGGAAAACGGACATCCGCCAGCCTCCTGCACCTCCACCCAGCCTTAGGCTGGCAGCATCCACAAACTCTATGCCTGCCTCTGTTCTGAATAAATTCTAATCCCACTCATTGACCTGATGACCTTGGACAAGTTATGTGACCTCTCTGGGCCTCAGTTTCTTCATCTGAAAAATAAGAGCTGGCGAGGGATATCTAAATGCCTTTTTTACTTTGACATTCCCTGTGATATGATTCTCACCTGCCATTACTGGATGCCAACAACCAAACACCTCCAGGATGGGCTGTGTCCACCACCCCGATATTCACTCATCAATTGTACTAATCCAGCAAGTCGGCCCCTCCCTCGGTCTTCAACTGAAGGCACCACATCTCCGTCGCAAGCCAAGACCCGGCCATCCCGAGGCCCTCAGTCCCAGGCTGCTGTGCCCTCCAGGACCACACTCATCAGACTTCCCATTCGCCTGAGCCATCATCGGGAGTCTGAGGGTCCTAGCTGATGCACTGCTGGGTAGACACTCAGCGCCAGGCTGCTCCCACTGCCTTTGGCCATGCCCTCTGGGGATCCTGGTCTCTCTGACTGGCTCCTTCACTTTCTTGCTTTAGGGGAAACCCAGACTTCCCTACGAGGACCTGTTTCCTCAGAAGCCCTTTCTGTTGGGGACAGCTTTGTCTCTTATGTCTCATATACTTCAGAAGTGGGAGATGGGTGTGTATTCCCTGCTTCCCACTACAGTTTTTTTTTTTTTTTTTTTTAGACAGGGTCTCACTCTGTTGCCCAAGTGGGCATGCAGTGGTGCAATCACAGCTCACTGCAGCCTCCACCTCCTAGACTCAAGTGATCCTCCCACCTCAGCCTCCTGAGTAGCTGAGACTATAGGCATGGGCCACCACACCTGGCTAATTTTTTTTGTATTTTTGTAGAAATGGGGTTTTGCCATGTTGCCCAGGCTGGTCTCAAATTTCTGAGCTCAAGAGATCCTCCCGCCTCAGCCTCCCAAAGTGTTGTGATTATAGGCATGAGCAACTACACCCAGCTAGTCTCTTTAAAAAAAAATTGCACTGATACATAATAGCTGTATATTTGGGGGGTACATGTAAGATTTTGATATCTATACACAATGTGAAATGATCAAATCAGTGTAAAATTGGGATATCCATCACCTCAAACATTTATCTTTCCTTTCTGTTGGGAACGCTATAATTCTTCTCTTCTAGCTATTTTGAAATATACAATAATTTATTGTTAACTATAATTTCCCTACTGTACTATTGAACACTAGAACTTATTCCTTCTATCTAATTTTATTTTTGTACAAAATATGGAATGCTTCATGAATTTGTGTGTCATCCTTGTGCAGGGCCAAGCTAATCTTCTCTGTGTCACACCCGTTTTGGTCTGTTTGCTGCTGAAGCGAGCACCCCACTGCAGCTTCTAAACCATCTCTCTTTCTTCTTTCAAAAACCCAAGCTCACTTACTTGAAGCACCTGTCATCAGACCTCATGCCCCCTCCTACGTATGAAATGCTGTCAGTCTACCAACCTCCTGGACATTCCCCCTCATTCATGGATGATTTTAGCATTTGGGTTGCTGACCCTTTCTCCATTATTATTTCTGCCAGCATCATTGGAGACTCCAAAATCCATGAAGATGACCTGTCTGATACTCTGGCCTCTAGCTGGCTGTCCTTCCTAGCTTCAATGAGCCTTTATTATTATTGTTTTTTCTTCCCACTGTGATTGGCATCCCATGAGCTTTTGCTCCACTCACATGGCCGTTTCCTAGATTTTGGCACACCACTAACTGAATCACCCACAAAATGTACATTGCCAACTTCCCACTTTCTGACCATTGCCACCCTAGCTTACTCTGACACCCCTACTTACTCTAGCAATTCTCCAATCCTACTTCATTAAAAACATTTTTTTCATGATCCGTTTCCATCACTCCCTGCATGTGTTCACTTCCCTCTTTGCCCAGCTCTGATTCCACTATCCAATACTTCAGCTACTGCCATGCTGACCACCTGGGCTTCTTGCAGCTCTCCTTGCATTGTCTTAGTCTAGCAGAACTCCTGCCCTGGTATCCTACCCACTTATTCAGGGTCTGTATCAGAGCAGCTGAACCTTACTGGAGAAAAATGATACAAATTTGCTGACTAGACTCACTTCAAACATGACCACAAATCTCACTCAACACTGTCAGAAAAAACTACCACATTTCCCTAGAAAATTCAATTTCCCAGTCTCTGGGGAAACCTCATACTTCCTTCTCTCCCCAGGTCTCCAACACTCCCTCCCCACCCCACTCTCAGTTGATGACCTTGCAGTATATTTCATACAGAAAACAGATTTCTATAAGATGAGAACTACCCCATCTTCCCATCAACAAGCCCTTTATTGTGTCTGTCTCAGAACTAAAATACTCAGGCCATGCCATCCTGCAATTACCATAGAAAAAGAGTCCTGGCTCCCATCCAAGGTCAATACCTTCACTGGGCTCTGAACCCATTCTCCCGTGCCATTTCAAGGACTTTTCTCCCTCTTTAACTGGATCACTTCCCCTGGCATATAAACATACCTCCATATCATCCTCCTTTAAATAAACTCTCCCTTGACCCAAGTCCCTCCTCCATTTTCCACCTCTTTAGGAGTTCCTCTTCACAGTAAATCTATTCAAAGGAGTCATCTGTATTCACTGTCTCTCCTTTCCCATCTTCCATTCTCTCCTCAACCTGCCCCAATCAGGCTTTATTACCCACCGCTCCACTGATGACTAATTACCAAGATTACTAAGGACCATATCTTGCCAAAGTAAATGGTCAATTCTTTGTCCTCATTTTGACTTCCCAGCAGCATTTGGCACAGCAGGTCAATTGCTGATCTCAAAAAACTTTCTCCTCCAGGCCCTGATACTTCGCTCCTCTGGTTTTTCCCGTATTTCGCAAGCACTCCTTCTCAGCCTCCTCTGTTGGCATTTCCTAAAAATACTGGAGCATCCCCTTCACTCTCCCTTTCTGCATCCTTTCTCTCTCCCTATGTGATCTTTCCCCATTGCTTTAAGGACCTTCTTACACATGCAGGTCTCTCACATCCCCATCTCCAACTGAACCTCTTTTCAGACACCCAGACATCTGTATTCAACTGTCTACTCAACACCTCTACTTCAGTGTCTCAAAGGCATCCTGAGCTTGGCGTATTCAAAACAGATCTCTTAATTTCTCCCCTCAGATCCTACACCACCTTCTGCCAAGTCTCCTCCATCTAAGTAAAACTCTCCATTCAGGTGCCAAAAATCTAGAAATCAGTCTTGGTTCCTTCCTTTCCTCAACTACATTCAATCCATCAAGAAGTCCTCAACAACCTGACTCCCACAACTCTGCTCCATCTCCACTGCCATGGCCAAGACTAAGCCAACAAAGCCTCCACCAGCCCCCTTTACTCCCTCAGCAGCCAGAGTGGTCTTTCTAAAGCACACTCAGCTCTCCTCACTCTCCCCGTTATAGTCCTCATGGCTTATCCAAGACAGGTAAGACCCAAATGCCTTTGTGTGGCCTCCTAAGACACTCTCTGCCTCCCTGACCTCCTTTCTCTTCATCCTCCGTCTTGTCTACTCATTCCCCATGCACACTGGCTCAGGTCCACCCCAGAGACTTGGCTTTTGCTTTTCCTTCTGCTTGAGATGCTCTCCCTCCCATCTACCCATGGCTGTCACTTTCTCAACCATCAGGTTCAGTACAAATATCCCATCCTTAGAGAGCCCTCCCCAACACCCAGCCCAGACACTCTCCCACCAGAGCCTGCTTTACCTTCTTCCCAGCATTCGTCAGGACCTAACATTTTCTTATTTCCATGGTTGCTTCCTTGTTTATTCATTCTACTCCTCCCTACTTAGAATATGAAATCCTTGATGGCAGGGACCCTTGTCTTGTTCAGCACTATTCTCTGAACCTACAATAAAGCCTTGCACACAGTAGGCATCTAGCATTTGTTGACTGCCTTCCTGAAGGAAGCGATTTATGGCTAGATGTGCTGTCTTACTTATCTCTGCACCCCGGGACTGGGCCTGCTGCCACACCAGGCTCATAATCAGCACATAATAGATGCACATGGATGTGCAGCAACTTGGAGTTGGGTGTTATCCTACCGCCCCTGATCTGACTTTCCACCTACAGCAAGAGTTCCCATTTATTCCAACATTCCTCACAGGTGGTCATTCAGCCTTCCAAGGTCCTAGAATATTTTACGAGGAGGCTTAGCATCTAAGAGAGTAGACAAAGGCCATGGCCCAGCGTCCTGGCCTGGGCCTGCTCCAGCCCCCAGCCTCAGGTCAAGTCCTCCTAGCTGCAGCCGACATGTTCCATCCCCGTGTGTTCCTTGTTCACGCATCCTTGCCTGCCTTCTTGGCACTATGGCTGCTGCACAGTTTGTTCTCTAGTCTATAAAAGGTGAAAAACAAAACAAACAAAAGGCCACGGTTTCATGAGTTGCTGTCTGATATGAGCTGGCAGGGCACCTCTGCACAGGGGCTGGCACCGCAGAGGCAAAGGATTCATATATAGGGACTCCGTTCTGTGCTCTGCGGAGGGAACACAACCCCTCAGCGAGCTGGGATGTGGAGCTCGATATCCCTTACCCTTCAGGCTCATCATGTCTTTCCCGAGACCATAAGGTTCTGAAAGTATGTGTGGTGCAGTGGTTAGGAGTGTGGACCCCCTGCATCATTCAGGTCTGGGTGACATCTAGGTTATGTGACCATGGGCAAGTTACTCTATTGCTCTGAGGCATAAGAGTAGGATAATAATAAGCCTTAGCTCAAAGCATTGGTATAAAAGTAAATGAGAGAATAAATGCAAAGTACTTAGCACAGCTTTAGGCACAGAATACACACTAAGTAATAAATATGAGGTCCTCCAACTCTAACCTGTGGTTCCAGAGCCAGTGTGATACTACCTTCACCACTGTTGGCAGGAAGCTACGTCTTTGGCCCCAGCCTGGCCTCACTCACAATATCCAAGAAGATCCTGATTCTGCTGGTTCCTGCTCACATGACCATCCGTGTCCATGTGTCTCGGAAGATAAGCTTCCAAAGGTGGTTAGCACAGCTCAACAGTAGTCAAATATGTATCCAAGTCTTTGTCAGTTACGGTAAAAGCAAAACACAAAACAAAACAAAACAAAAACTATAGAATGTTAGAGCTAAAAGGATCCCCCTGACGTGGTCTAGTCAAACTTTCTCATTTTGCCAATAAGGAAACTGTACTCACAAACATGGGGTGTTGCCCAAGGTCACACCATGACTGCTGGGTCTGGAACCCAGGCCTCCTAACTCCTAGGAAGGCAAAGTGCCCAGACCTACCCTCACTTCCAACTTCCCTTCACTGTAGAAAAATACCATAGAACTCACAAAACCACAAGGCATTTTCCCCAAAAAGTCTCTCCATCCAGCCCAAAGTTGAGAACCTTTTTCTTGGCACTGCTTTCCTCACCCCATAGGGAGGTGGGTAGCAGAGGCATCTCCAGGACAGAAGACAAGCCAGAGCCCTCGCTCTGACCCGCCTCCTCCTGCCCCTCGGTCCACCTTCCCTCCTTCTCCCATCTGCCCATCCTCCTTTTGCATTCTCCCCTTTTCTTGTTTTGCCGCCTGCCTTTTCAGCTGTTTGCTCAGAAGCTGGGCTCTGTTTGCTGAGCCTTCATTCATTTTCATATAACCTGGGATATTTTCAGCTGCTCCTCTGGGTTCTTAGTAGAATTTCAAGTGGCGAGAAGCACAGTGGGCTGCAAAGGTAAACACCCATCCCTGAACTCTGAGCCTGCCTGGGGAGTGTGCTCATTCACAGGCTGCCTTCCTGACCAGCACAGCCAGTCTCTCCGGGCCTGACAAGCGGCCTCTCACCCTGGACTGGGCGGGCTTTTAGGCAGGCAGACTGCAAGTTTTCTTCAACCCAAGACTGGTGCAGGAAGCTGGCTGCTTAAGCTCTTGAGTGATGGGCAGTGACAGTAGGGGCTTTGGCTGCCTCCCCTTGCAGGCCATTCTCCCTGCGCTTCGGCCAGACCCGACAGTCAGTGCTCAATGCTGCTTCTGTCACTGCCTGAAACAAGGCGTGGTGAGGCAGGCGGAGAAGTCAATTCTCTCGCTTCTGGAAAACAGCTTCAAAAAAGCACTGATTCATTGCTGCTCCTCTCCTGTTCACACCGGGACCTGTGAGGCACTGGGAGTCCGTGGGAAAAATAAAGAAGGGGAAACCCCACAAAGAAGGCGGCTGTTCCTCTTGGAGGAAGTGGGAGAGCTGTCCCTGTGCCCTCTTTACGCGACACGATCAAAGCGTAAAGAACATCCCTTTAATCCTTACTCCAGGTCCTGGGTAGAACAAGGCCCAAATCCTCCATGTTACAGAGGGAGAAGGGGAGAGAGGGCACGGAAGGAAATGGAAAGTCAAAGGAACACGGGATACAAAATCAAGATCTGAGCTTGGGCCCCAGTTGTCCCATATTAATCATGTGACCTTAACAAGTCAAACCTTCTGCATCTCTGTCCTCTCAATTGTGAAACTGGGACAAGAGCATTCATCTCAGGGTTGATGTGAGCATTAAATGAGATAATATGTGTGCCTGTGCTTAGCAATTGGTAAAGAGCTTCACAGATGCCATTTATCATGATTCATCGAGAGCCAGACATTCCACCAGCGAATCAATTACCTAAGGATCCAGGATCAGTCATGCTGAGACAGACTTATGGAAAAACACCTGGAGAGCTTTCCTCACACCCCCACGACCCTTCACAGCCAGGAGGACTGTCATCACCAACTCTAGTTCCCATTTGAAACACTTCCCTCCAAGCCTCCATGCAATTTGTATCAAATGATGTAGGAGAGTAGGCATGAGGCCAGGGTTATTGGATATTTGTCAGGTTTAATAAAAGGCACCGAGTGGCTCTGGGCTTATAGTGTTCTGTGATTTGTCGCTATAGCGTTGAGAGGTCTATGGCCCTGCCACTGCAGGCACAGGGCATTAGGAAAGCAAGGGCAGGTTTTATTAACAGAGCCAAGGGACTCGATGATGCATCTGTCACGGGGGTGGGCAAAGGCGGCTTCCCCATCAGTATGTCTGGCTCATCAATGGCTCCAAATGGAGTCACATCATTTCTGGGTACCATGGGCTGAGCAGAGCCAGGAAAAACATCTGGGCTATGAGCTGGAGCAAGGCCCAAGGAGGAGGTGCTCCTTATGGACCCTGGGGGATTTTTTTTTTTTCTTGACAAAGTCATCAATTTGCTGCTCTCCTTCCCTCAACTCTGCTATTTTCATGACAGGACACACATTGAAGGTCTAGACAGAACTGAAATCAGTGTCTTCTGGAACACAGGAACTGAGACTCCTCTGAAAACCAAGTGAGCAGAGTGCTCTGATACAGTGCCAGCATGGCAAATACTGAATGAACAAATGAAAACAGGAGTGGGGCTGAGAGCTGACCCAAATATGCACTCTGCCTTGGGATGGAGGTAGGGAAGAAACCCCGGTGCAAATTATGGGAGGAAGTCTATTCAAGAAAGGAGAGCATGGAACACTGTATTCAGGGAGAATTCAGCAATGGAGATGTCCGGAAAGAGATTATGAGTGTCTTGTCAGATTGACACGGTGTACAAATGGAAATCTGGTATTACTAAGATGAAAGCCCATTTTCTAAAAGCAGAGCAAAATGGCCAAGCTGGACTTGTAGCAAAGTTTGAAAACTAACTCAGAGCTCCTTAAATCCTTCCTAAGAAGGAAGGCCAGAGTATATACTAGAGTCTGGGTAGAATTCAGTCCCATGGCTATCCCAGCAGAGAGGACGGGATGGTGGGGCAGGGAACTGTGAAATCATTCAAACATCTTCCCTCCAAATCCACAGACAGGATCATCAGCCCCCATGAAAGACACAGAAGTTGAGTCACAGGGGTTAGTCCTGCAGAACTTCTTGTGTCACCCCCCAAGGCAGCTAAGGTTCAGCATCTTTGGTCCTAGCCAATCAAGAGCCTCTGAGATGCCTGGAAACTCCTCCCATAGGCCTTTCAAGTCAGACAGATCTCCACCTCCTGAATCAGCCCATGCCTGATACAGGCCCTGGTCCAGGAGCCTGAGTCAGGGGAGAAGAGCAGGGTGCTCGTGATGATTTCCAAGTTTCCTCCCGCCATCCTATCCTGGGAAACATGAAATGCAGAGTGCATCAGAGCCTCTCTGGGAAGGTGGGCTGGGGCCTGGGTGCCAATTGTTTAAATTTTCTCCTCAGTGGAATTACAGGCTGAGGAGTCCACATTGGCTTTCCAAACAAAGAGTGGCAAATTGCTAACTACAAAATCAATTTTTTTTCGAGTGTATTAGCTGTCCCCTCATTATTCTCCACCCCATGAAAGAATTAATGAGAGCCTGAGCCACAAGTGAATGAGGGCTTTTTAGCTTGGGAACACACACTGAATGGCGCCAGGCGTGGGACAATTACAGAAGATATTCAATAGGGGGAAAGGCTGACAAATGCCACATGAAAGCTGAAATTCAAACCTCCAAGGCTTCAGCCCCAGGTCTGGGCCCTTGAGATGACACATAGAGGCAGGATCAGCAGTGCAAGACACCATGTCATGGCAGGACCTGCAGTCTCCCAAAAGAGCCATTCACCCACCTGCAGAGGGAAGACCACACCTGGAGTCCAGGAGAAAGGAATGCCGATGCCAGTCATTCGGTTTGTAGGATTCCTCCCAGGGGAGAGAGGGCTGCTGGTAGTTGCAATCT
This sequence comes from Homo sapiens, assembly GCF_000001405.40. Lineage (NCBI taxonomy): Eukaryota > Metazoa > Chordata > Mammalia > Primates > Hominidae > Homo > Homo sapiens. The sequence continues at coordinate 125,270,207 of NC_000011.10, read as the reverse complement.
TATCTGCGAGGTTGTGCTAAACTCACAGGAATTGGTAAATCCAGGAACACTGAGTTATTCAAATACTAGCCAAGAGTTCTTAAAACCTGAGGGGGCAATGGCTCTGATAGATGGATTCCTTAAGATAGCCAGAAAGACCATTGAATGGAAAAAGGAATGAGCAGAGGCGATGGTGGAATATTCAGAAACTGGATATTTTCATCTTCATTCCTTGTCTTAGTCACTGTTGTATCTCCAGTGCCCACAACAACACCTGGCACATATGAGGCACTCAATAAATATTTGTTAAATTAATGCATGCATAAAACCCAACTTCCAGGAAACTCTTTGCTACTGTGCCCCAAGCCAATCCTTGTGAGAACTCCCCAAAAGTCCAAGGACAACCGCCCCCGACCCCGTGAGGATGTACCAAATGTCCTACATCTAAATGTCCCAGCATCCTTTTGGATGAATGCTACCAAGTGCACTTGAAGAGACCTGGACCACCCTTGCCCCATTCTATTGAAGATAGAAGTGAGTTTCCTGTTTCATTTCCAGACTCACTCTCAGCCTCGCCCTGGACAGTGGGTACCATCTCCATCCATCAACCAAAAGCACACAAAGAAGAAACAGCTGAGAGTCCAAGAGGGCCTCAGTCTAGGAGACTTGGTCGTGCCTCTGCCAGTGTCAGCAGTCAGGCTGGATTCCTCAGCCCTGGCATTAATTGTAGCCCCTGTGCTATGATTACAAAATGGAATTAAATGACATGCCAAATTAAAGAGTTATTTTTTCTAATATATATTTTGCATAGGATGTGTTTGTAACAGCATTAATTATTTACACTGCCACAGAGAGAAAGCATAAATATAAAGAGAGAGATCAGATGGTTCCTGTAGGAGAAATAAAATGAGCATTTCCATCAGGATGATGAATACCTGCGGTCTCACTTTGGGGCTGGGCCTAGGGGGAGGTGGAGAGAGGGGGACATCTTGAGAACAAATCTGACAAGCGTTATCGAGGTTTTTGAGGAAGGAATATGTTAAAAATGAAAGTGAGTACAGAAAGTTTAAATATTTAATACCTGCATTAATTCTAATTCACACTTTCTTTATTTTTCAGATTAAAAATTTACAAGAATTCCCATCTCTTTCATCCTTCTTCCTCCCATGAGACACTTTGTGGTCACTGTTCCAGGGACCACCTTTGGCAGCATCTAGGTAAAAAGGGGCATGAGAACAGCAGCCCCCCTGCCCTCCACCCCACCCCCATGGCACCCTCCCGCCATGGGCATCTCCCCCAACTCCCCTATGAGAAGCCATTGCTGTCGGGCTGCTGGCGCCAGAATGACTAATGGGACCAAAGCCATTTCCTGGCCTCCTCAGCCCCCACCCCAGAAAGGGTCACGGAATTCTCAGAGATGATGCAGCCAACTTGTGGGTTTAAAGTGCTTGTCCGAGCCCAGATCTCACAGGCACAGGCAGAATACCACCACTGAACTGATGTCTTCTTGAAACAAGAGACTTCTGTCCCACACAGCCCCAGGCCCCCCTGCCCTTCAGAAGCTTTTATTCTAAGGCCAACCAGACCAGCTTTATATGCTTTCAATAATATCACTGAAAGCCAGCATTGATTGACTTGGAAGCAAGGGAGAGCTAACTTCCCGAAGTCACCAACACCAGCTCCCAGCTTCAGCCCTGCCCCAACCCCAGCATTAAGCAGGTGAGCAAACTGCTCTCCTACTAAGAACAGCTTATACATCTGAATTCCCTTACAAAGCACTTTCCCATGCCACGTTTGACCCCAGAGTCCTGTGAAGCGGTCAAGGAGCTGTTATCAGCCTTCATTTTATACAGGAGAACACCCAGGTCATGTGACAGACCTAAGGTCTCCCCATTTAATTAAAATGTTTCCACTGTTACAATGCAGCTTCTACAGCACGCGGTTCCCAAAATACTGCATGTGAAAGGGGAAGGGAACATTGGGTTGAGAGATGCTTTTAACCCCACTCCCTGGTTTCCAAGTGACCTGTCTGCGTTGGGGGCCGACGTTTTCCGAGATGAGAGCAGGGAGGGGCAGGTGGGCCAAAGGACTGCATCTGCTCCCATGAGGGCCCGCTGTGTCCTTGCTCCTGTTTTCCCTGAGATTCTCAGTGACCTCAGGCCAGAGACCCTCAGAGGAGAGTTGTTGGCAAAGTTTTCTCAAAGCCCCAACATTTCTGTGACTCCCTGAGTTTTAAGTTGTCAGATACTGTGGCATTTTCCCCCTTCTTCTCACACCCTACCATCCTCCCATCACTTGCCACAAATTCCTGCACAAAACACCTTCCTAAACAGTGTTGATGAGCGCCTTGTTCTCATCAGGCCTCTGATCGAAGACAATTCCCTGACTCCATTCCTACTCTTCCTCACAGATCTATCAACCCAAAAAGTGCCTATAAATCAGCAGAGAAAACACACACACACACATGCACACACACACGCGCACACATGCACAACACATGCACACACACACGTGCATACACACACACACAGGCTTCCTCCATCAGAAAGATGAGCAGGAAATCTCACCTGTGGTAGAAATCTGAGCTATCAGTCTGGCGCTGGGAGATGTTTGGGGTTGTTTGTTGTTTTTACTTCCAGATACCTGCTGGAGTCAGGCCATCCCTTTAAACGAGAAGAGCGGAGCTAGAAAGCACCCCAGCTTAAGGCCTGGAGAGCAGAATCCCTCTAAGCAGTAGCTTCTTCCTCTCCCTCACATAATTCCACAGCCTCTTACTGAAAGGGCAAGGAAAGAGATGGCCCAGCCAGGCAGAGGGAACACCTGAATGAGCTCAGGAGGAGAGGCTGCCATGATAGCTCCTCCCTCTACAAGCCTTCAGGACAAGCACATCCTTCCTGACCCTTCCATTCACTCCAGATACGAGCACTATCCCGGGACAGGACTTAGATCCACGTGGGTACGGGAACACACACATGAGCACAAGGGGAGGAGTTTGGTAGAACTGTCGTTCCAGCTTGACCAAACGTCTACCTATGCTTCCCAACCTCACAGGTTGTGAAATTTTCAAATGATGGAGGGAGGAAAGGACATAGCAGAAGAGAAGGTGAGTTAGCCAAATGGAGATACCGATCAGGGTCCGTGCTTTGGCTGGTGACGGAAACAGACAATGATAGCAAGGACAAAACCCCTCCCTCTCATGGCCTCTAAACAGCCTCTGTCTCAGAGAAATCAAAAGGGAGATTTTTCCACAGAAAAATCAAAAGGGAGATATAGTGCTTGCCGAAGGCACATTCCTAAGGCCCTAGCACAACGTGGAGCGCATGATAGGCATGCTTGTTCTTTCTCCTCATTTCCCCCTGTTCTTTCCTCATTTCCTTGTGCTAAGTAAAATGACTTTAGAACCTGGGTGGGAAGTAGGGAAGAAGCCGTGAGTCCCGTCCTGACCTCCAGACCTTGCATGTGGATTGGTTTTGCTGCTGTAAGGAAAGGGCTCAAGGACAGCAGCTCAGCATCCTGTGGCTGCACACGCAGAGTGAGAGGGACATGGTGGCAGGGCCTATCGAGGGTCTGCGTGGCCAGGAACGAGGAGGTAAGGAGAAAACGTTCTCCCTTCTTACTGGGAGGAGCTCTTTGCAAACTGAAATGAGATTGTCTTACTGCAGAAGCCTACTTTTATTTTTAAAAAGTTATTTTCACAAAAATTAATACCCCCTTCCTGCCTCCACACATCCATAATCCCACCCCTTCAGAAAAGCAGGGCTGTCTTCCAGCCTCTGTCTCGCAGGCATTTTACTAGTGGGGAGGATGAAAGGTTCAAGAATCAAGGACATCACACTGGCTAAATGCCCCCAAAAGTCAGTGTAACATCTCCCATCTCAGAGGCATCTTCTTGGAAATGAAGCAAAGCAGGAAGGCAAAGGACTGGGGGTGACTGGCCGTGTGACCTTGGGCAAGTGACTTAACTTGTCTGAGCCTCAGTTTTCTCTCTCCTAAAATCAGAGAAATCTTACCACTGACGGGGGAGGAGGTGGTGAATTCCTCTCTGCTCGTGCTTTCTGAGCTACTCTTCCAAGCCAGCCATTGTCACATTTATCATATCATTCAACTCTGATGAGAACCCAGTGAGAAAGGAACTATTCCTTTCTTTGAGAAATTTGGTAAGTGTGCATAGGGGTGAAGTGACCTGCCTCGGGGCAGAGACCTGGCCAGTTATGGAGCTGGGGGCCCAGGTTTCCTCCATGGCTGACACGCTTTCCACCACACCACAGCTGTCTCCTGATGGGCGGGTGTCATGCACACTCAGGGCCTTTGGGAAGTTTGAGGGTTGCGGAATGTGAGGTGTGACTACTCTGAGAGTTTAGACGGTGAGGAGAGGAACGCCTATTCCTCTTTAAGCTCCCCCCTTCAGGATCCTCCTGATGAGATCCTTGGTGGCCAGAATTTTCTTCTCTCCTTGCTCTAGAGCCCTTACCCAACCCTGTGAAGCAGAAAAGCCACAGATGACCCGCAACCCTCTGGGGACCATTGGGGTGGGGGCTGAGCTGAGGGGCTTAGACCCCTCAGAAACCCGGGTGACAGCCCCGCACTGCCCCTGCCTCTGTTCAGGCTCTCTGAAGGTCTGGGATGGAGAAAACCCAAGCACAACTGAGCAGCCAGCAGGGTGAGGCGGCAGCAGAGGCCATGGGGCAGAGAACAGTGTCAGGGATGCGTCCACTGAAGGAGGAGTGGGTCAGGTGTGTGGCAGGAATTGGCGTGAGCATCCTGGGTGCTGAAGAGGAACCTCGGAGAGAGAAGGGCCTTGGAACCTCTTGCAGAGGCCGGTGTTTGCCAGGGAGGTTTGTTCATTGAATCGGAAATCAGCTTGCCTTGGTCATACATGTTTAGGAAGCCCTAAGTTAAAGTCTTTAAACTTGTAATGAGCCCTGTAACTTTTTTTTTTTTTGAGACAGAGTCTCGCTCTGTTGCTCAGGGTGGAGTACAATGGTGCGATCTCGGCCCACTGCAAGCTCCACTTCCTGGGTTCACGGCAATCTCCTGCCTCAGCCTTCCGAGTAGCTGGGACTACAGGCGCCCACCATCACGCCTGGCTAATTTTTGTATTTTTAGTAGAGATGGGGTTTCACCGTGTTAGCCAGGATGGTCTCAATCTTCTGACCTCGTGATCTGCCCGCCTTCGCCTCCCAGAGTGCTGGGATTACAGGCTTGAGCCACCATGCCCGGCCATAAGCCCTGTAACTGTTTTAAGACAAGGTGTTCACACAGGCTTTCCCAAGCTGGCTTAGCTTTGGAACTTTCTTTACGCCCCCAGAGCCCACTCTGGGAAGTGCTTACCTAGAGCAGTCCTCCCATTTCACAGATGGGGCCAGGGGAGGATGGGAACCCGTGCAGCTTCTAAAATCGGCCGCCTTCTCGAGTCCCCCACATCCCTAGGGGGCTTAGAACTACTCCACACCTGTTCCCAGGGCTTAGAGAAATTGTGTCTGGCTGCAGCTGTGATGTGTGGAAGAAAGGACATCTGTCTCCTCCTTTTCAGGGGATGGGGGTAAAAGGAATGGGGGGTGGGGAAGGGAGAACTAGGCCCCTTGAAAGTGAGGAATAATTTCACAGAGTAGAAGATCAAGACAGCTGGGCAGCCCCCCGGCCCCGCCACCCCACCCGAGAATGCTCTACGCCTCCCAGGTCTTAGCAGGGACCACCAGGTGACCTCTCAGGAAGCCAAGTCCCAGCCCTAACGTCCAGTCCTGCAGTTATTAGGCCTAAAGAGACACTATCCCTGACCTCAGTTTCCCAATTTGCAAGTGGCTCCTTTCTGAAAATGAAATCCCTTCCAGTGACAAACTCCCCAGGACCCCAGGCCCACCATAGCCTGAGCTGCATTCCAAGGGATCTGGGGAAGGAGCTCTAGCATCATCCAGTTTCCTGGGGACATACGGTGAGCTCAGCCCAGGAGAGGAGAGGGGTTGGGAAGCAGCCGCCCTCTGCCTCTACCCATCCTGGCCCCCAGACAATCCATTTTCCACTGGGTCCCGGTTCCTTATCCAGAAAATGGATGGAGGTCCCTTGTAGCTCCCATAATGGATCTTCACCTCTAAGGATTCCCTTTTCCTAACAGTGTCAGGGATGGCACCAACTTGCTCAGATTCAGGGAGTTAACTCTTGTAGGGGCTTGAGAAAGGTGATCCTCTCCCACCCTCTAAATGTGGGGGAGGACTGATTAGCCCCCCATCCCCTGAGGTCACTGGGATTCCCATGGTCCTGCAAGAGCTGGATGGAAGGGTGCGGAGAAGGAAGCCAGGAAAAGCCCCCTCCCCGCACCCCCTTATACGCCATTCCAGGACTTTGTCCTCCCAGCTCTGAACCCAGCCAAGGCAGCTGTTCTCCAGATTCAGACAAAGACCTGACACTTCTTCCAACTGGGCCAAGCTGGCCAGTCTGTGGACGGGTGGTGGGGGCGGCGTGGCACAGAGAGAGGCCAGGGAGAGCCAGCGCCGGAAGAGTCTGCATGGCTCATCCTCGGCTCCACGCCCTCCGTGCGAAGACCGGACTGAGATAGCCACGTTCTGTGGGGCCCAGTCTGGCCCTCGGCAGCTCTCCCCCTCCCGCGCTGCTCCTCAGCCACATGCCCTTGGGCTGAGCTAAGTCCAGAACCCGGCTGAGTAGGGGAATTGTTCTGAGAAAGTGGCCCGTTGGCTGGTTGCTATGGAAACCGACATACCACAGTGCTGACCCCGGAGAGGTTTAGCACGCTCCCCCAGCAGGGATGCCAGCAGCTGGACTGCAGCTGTTACCGCGGGAGTGGGGGCTGGAGCCGTCGCCAGCAGTCCCTGCTGTTTGCCTAAACTAGGCCCGCCAGCAGATCCCCTCCATTTGCTCCCACGCCGCTCCTCCTCATGCGGCTTCCCCCACTGCTAGGGACGGGAAGGGAGCGGCTGAGCCTGCCCTGGCAGGATGGGGGTGGGGTGGGGGAGCTTGGCTCTAGAGAGAGGAGGTCTCCTTTATGAACCGAGGCATGTCCTTGAAGGGTAGGGCAATGTCCTCCCCATTGCATTTCTGGGGAAACTGAGGCCCAAGGAAAAATAGGAATTGGTCCCCAGTCACACAACCAGGGCATACTAGAGCTAGGGCTGGCACCCGACTGAGTCTAGAAGCACCACACCACTGGCTCTGGCCCTCTGTGCTGTGCTCTTGGCCCTCCCTGCAGCAATTCAGCACACACTACAGAGACTGCCCCGTGCAGACAGCAGCATTTAACCAGCATTACTCCCGGCACAACCTCGGGGAGGGCGAGGGGCGCCGATGACTGAACAAAAGGAGCACTAGGAAACGGATCATAGAAATAGAAAGAGGGACACAGAGAGGAAAAGGAGGGTACGTGAGTAGAGGAGCAGGAGGGAACGCATGGGAGAGGGAAACAGAGAAGTAAGGAGAAGCAGAGAAAGTTAGAGAAAGAAAAGAGAGAGGTGATGAGGTGCCCAGAACGAGTGGAAAGAAAGGACAAGATCACCTCCCTCCCCCAGCTAGTTCCGAGCCCCTCCCAGCACAGACAAAGCCTGTGGGGTAGAGAGAGGATTGCACAGACAAAGCCTGTGGGGTAGAGAAAGGACAGGGAGGGAGGAAGGGTGGGAGGGCTGCTTGGGGAGCAGGGCAAAGGTGGAGCGGGCATTAAAATCGGTTTCTGGGAGGCATCTCCTGCCATCCCACAATGCCTCAAGCTCCCTGAGTGACCTAGCGCAAACACACCAGCCCGCCTCCCACCGTGATGTGGCACTTCTAGACTCAAGTGGGCTAATCTGCGACGGGACGCTAAGCAAACACCCCCTCAGCCAGAGAGGTGAGATAGCGCTCCCTCCCCGAGTGCCTGACCAGTCCTCCATCCTCACGCGTGGCTGCCAGAACACAAGCGTCCTTTCATTCCTCATGGTCTGTTCTGACCTTCGTCCCCACCTCTCCAGAGTCATCACTCCTTCCGGCCCAAGGGGAGACGCAGCTGCATAAAGAACCACCCCCCCACCGCCGCCTCCACTGTCTCACTGTCTGGCCCCTACTCTTCAGCCCTTCCTCATCTAGAGCTGGATCTGACACCAAAGGCGTCTTGTGAGCAGGTGGGCCCACTTCTCCCCTCCAGTGCCCCATCACGGCTCATAATGAATTAACACCCTTCTTAGTGCTCTTCCCCTCCAGGTGCCCTAAAATAGTTGGTTGCAGGGGACTGGAGGGCTGCTCTGCATCCCCGCACCCTCCTGGGCTGTTGGGAAGTTGCTCTGTCTGTGAAGCCTTGGCTCCAGGAATGCCAAGGGACTCAGGGAACAGTTCGGAATGTGCCAACACCATTACACTCTGTAATTTAAGACCTGGCTCTGCAATGGGCCAGCAGATTGCTTTTGCACTTACACCACCTTTTTCACAAAAATTTGGTGTCTCGGGCCAGTTAATTCTATTGTGTTTGCAGATCGGAAAGAGCGGCATTGGAGCTGATGCTCTGCTCCCTCTGGCCATGTTCTCCCTTTTGAGCAAGACCAGCTGGTCAGTTGCAGACACTTAGCCTTGACTTGGGGGTGAGATGCCCTGCTGAGAGTATCACTGGTGCTCCTGCTTCTGGCCAATGAGGTCACTGAAAGGCAGTTCTTGAACAGATGAGCAACCCTGAGCCTACCACTGGGAGTGTGGTGGTGGGGAGGGAGCATGTGGAAGAAGTCTCCACAAGGACCCCTGTCCAGAAGTTTGCAGTCTTAAAGGAAGACAAGGCTGATCTACCACATGCAACAGAGACAAATCAGTGCTTAGCTGCAGGGCACCCTGAATTGCACATTGCCTCAACTTGAGCTCATTTCTTAAGGCAAAGTGCAGGCACTCGCTTGGCAATCATGGTCTTCTGTGGTGGTGAGGTTGAAACCAGATCTATGAAACCATCCCAATGGTGAACTCCAGCCAGAGCCCTTTCTCTGTTTCTCCTCTTTGGAAAAGACAGATAACATAAATATGTGACTCCAGGAAGCAGCAACATCCCATCCTGACAGCAAACATCCCTTTTCCCCCTCACCAGCCCTTCCAAGACAAGAAATAGGCTATAACCCAGGACCCACGATCCAAATCGCTTTGGAACTTGGTCACATTCCACCTGAAAAATGACAAGCATTTACAGTTTCCAGGTCATTACCACAATCAGTATCTCATTTAAATCCCTATCACTTACTGTGCCATAGGTAATTATTATTATCATTTTATAGATGGGGAAAAAGGGGCCCAGGAAGGTGAGATGCTTACCTGAGGCCACACAGCAGAAAGTAGCAAAGTCAGAAATTCACTGAGGCCTTCCACTGTGGGCCAGCTTCCTTCCCACTTCTCCACAAGGCCTCTTTGCTAGTTTCTCCTGTTTCTCACAGAATCTAGCATGTGGTGTTTGTTCAGTAAACATCTCTTGTATAGCAGGAAAACATAAAGTTGTCCTCAAGGCCACAGCGAGACGTCCTCAGCCGTGTGTGTGCATGGAGAGGTGGGGGTGGCAGAAGATGTAGTCTTAATGGAAAACAGGGCTGACCTCCCAAATGCAACTCACGAAAGCCTGCAGCTACTAGGGAGACGTCACCCCCAAGCACTGAGCTGCCATGTTGAAGAGATGGTGGCAAAGGCAACAGAACTCGTCTTTACTTGAATTAACTTCTGAAACATCCTCAAAACTCCCAACCTATGTGAGCATCAATCACCTTTCTGATTAAAAAAAACCATAAAACAGGCTGGGCATGGTGGCTCACGTCTGTAATCCCAGCACTTTGGGAGGCCGAGGTAGGCAGATCACGAGGTCAGGAGATTGAGACCATCCTGGACAACATGGTGAAACCCCGTCTCTACTAAAAATACAAAAATTAGCTGGATGTGGTGGCACGTGCCTGTAGTCCCAGCTACTCAGGAGGCTGAGGCAGGAGAATCGCTTGAACCTGGGAGGTGGAGATTGCAGTGAGCTGAGATTATGCCACTACACTCCAGCCTGGGTGACAGAGCGAGACTTCATCTCACAAAACAAGCAGACAAACAAACCATAAAACAAAAATTGGGCCAAGCATGATGGCTCACACCTATAATCCCAGCACTTTGGGGGGCTGAGGCGGGAGGATCACTTGAGGCCAGGAATTCAAAACCAGCCTGAGCAACATAGCAAGACCCCATCTCTACAAAAAACAAACAAGCAAAAAATAGCTGGGCATGGTGATGTGTTTGTAGTCCTTGTTGGGGAGAGTGAGGCAGGAGGATCGCTTGAGCCCAGGAGCTGGAGGGTACAATGAGCTGTGATTGTGCCACTGCACTCCAGATTGGGCAACAGAGCAAGGCCCTGTCTCTTTAAAAAAAAAAAAAGAATTAAAAAAAAAAGAATGGGGGTGGGATGGCAGAGTTAGGATGGGGTTAGGACAGTCAACCGAAAGCAGGCTGTGTGGTGAGGTGCAGTAGGTCAGTAAGTAGACAATGTGTGAAGCCATAGCAGACTCCCAGCCAGCCTGCCCATAGCAGATCCCATGGCCCAGTGTGGGCCAGGCCTTCAAAGCCAAGGCAGGTGGGCCATCCCCAGGATCCCAAAGGAAGACATGCCAAGGATGCCCTTCAGCCAGAGGCAAAGGTAAAGGGCCACGCGGAAGTCCACAGGTCAGCCTCATGTGGGGAGCAGGGATAAAAGGCCTCAGTGGTGTGGAAGCCTGGGACTGCTGATATGCAGGGGGGCCAGGGTACAACAGAGGTACTTAGGGTGCCTAATGAAAAGAGACCCAACTCTAAAATCACTCGGGGAGTGATCTTAAAACCAAAGCCACAAACTGGAACAAAAATCTCACTTTATTGGTCACTTATTACAGAATAAAAAAAGTTGTCAGAGCTGGCAGGAATCTTAGGGATTACCTTATGTATGTCCTGCCTCAGTGTCTAGAACATAGTGGGTGTCTAACATGCGTCTTAAATGAGTGAATGAATGAATGCATGAATGAATGTATCCTCTCATTTTAGAGATAAGCAAAACTCTGGGACCGAGAATTGATACTCACAATGATGTGCAAAGACCCTAGGATTTTGAAGAACCTCCAGAATCATCCAGGAAAAATTCACTCTCTGTACACTTGTTAATTGCCTTTCAGTGTCATGACCGAGAATGAATACTCTGGATGTGGTGGCTGGCTCCTTGTGAAGAAGAATTCAATCAGATTCCATTTGATTAATCTGCATTGAGATCCTAGTATGTGTCCGACACTATGCAGAAATACTTCACTCCCTCTTCCATGGCAGACCATGATGAACTAGGGTTTGCTGTTTTCACGGCTTCTGTCACTGTTGGAGCTGAGGCTGAGGCTGCAGCAGGAGCTCCTCTGGCCCCGAGGCAAGAGACATGTTCTCTGCATCCCCAGGGGACCCAAAGCAACTTCTGGTTTGGGTTAAAGAGGACTTGGGTGACCCCACCCTGCCAGTCATCCACCCTCTGGCAGCCAGGGCGGCAGCAGGGGAGGGGGCAGAAGGCTGCCACAGTGCTTCTCTCCCCTGCCATTTCCTCTGCAGCTCCCTCTCTGGCCCTGTTTTTCAGACCTCTAGTAATAAAAACAAGCCAATAAAATGAACATGAAAATATATTCATTAGGATTTATAATGCTCATTAAAACTGCCTGTGTACGAAAGCATGACTTAGCTTCATATAAGTGGGAAAAAAATGCAAATTATACTGCATGCAAAGAAGATATTTCCCTAATCGTCCAATCAAATGCCAGCCCAATTATCTGTGGCCAACCCAATGGGTTAAAATTATACTCTCTTTCCTTGGACACAGTGAGGTGCCTGAAAGTGTTTCATTTTAATAAAAATGAAATCTGGACCCTGCAGAAAACCAGCTTCACTAATGACGTGTTTACACAGAGAAAGACAATTTCTAGTTAATGGTGATTACTACCGAGAACAAATTAAACTTCCCGGAGTATATGGGTTAGAGATAATGGGAAAGAGGGGGAAAAAGTTATGGTTTTAGTGTGTGCATGGTGCTTGAGGGGACAGGGTGACAGGAAGAAAGAAGCTAAGGAAAGTCTATGAGGAAGCTGAGGTTGCAGGGGTGCTGGGGTGGGTGTGGCGGAAGAAAGCTTTGGTGACCAGCTGCACTGGTTCTGCCAGGGTTGGGACCTGACAATAAGGCAGTAGGGGGCTGGCAGCTGGCTCTGGGGTCCTAAAACCCCAGGGAAGGCCATCTTCAACTGGGGCAGGGCTGAATTCTTTCTGCAAGCTCAGGTGCCCTGAGGCCTGCCACTTTTCCTTCTTGGGAAGGCAGGTTAACAAATTCCTGCCGTTAACAGTCACTAAGGCTATAGGGAAAGTGCTTCCTACTCCACGCCACTGGCTTAATGATGAGACCAGAGGCAGGCCTGAGCCTCCGAGCTCTCATGCAAAGTCTAAGTGAGCAGACAAGCTTCAGAGGGGCAGAAAAATGGAAACAAAACAGACAGGAGACAGAATGGTAGAGTGACAATGACGATGAAAAGGGCAACCTAAATTTACCTACCCTTCACTAAGTCCTTGCCGTGTGGTGGACACTGTTCTAAAACGTCATCCCTTTTCATCCTTACCTGTGGGCAGGATCGTCAGCTGCTGCTTCTTCATTTTTACAGCAGGGAAACTGAGGCTGAGAGAAGTTACTAACTGCCCAATGTCAGATTCTTAGTAAATGAAGAAGTTGGATTTCAAATCCAGATTTGTTCGATTCCGAAGCCCGTACTCCTAACCATTGCTGGAATAAACATGGAGGTATCCTACTGGGATCCTGCAGGTCTTGAAAACAGCCTCCAGCTCACTGGCCAGCCCCTGCACTTGGCTTCTTTGGCCACTGGAGGCGGGTTTGACCATTGGAGGCCATGAAGATGTTCTATCAACAGCACAATCTCAGAAAGTACCAGATGGTTCCTGCTTCCCCTCTCCCCTCTCCCCTACCTCCGACAAGCAGGTGAGCCAGCCGGGGACAGCGAAGAGGAAAAGGAGCAGGGATTCCTCTAGTGCTGAGTTTTAATGTATGTTCTTTTGTAAACAAGAACAATCATTTGTGAACAGGCCCAGATGCAAACAGTCCCCAAATCAGGAATTCCAGCTCAGAGGCACAGAATAATACAGCTTTGGGGAAGATTTAATAATAGTAAAATTAAAATTGTAACTGAAGCATAATGAAGAATGTGGTACAAACAAGCACTGCAAAGAAGAAGGAAAAAAAAAAAACCCTACACAGATTAGCCCCTATGGAATAGTGATTGGTTGAGAGCAACAGTAAACAATGCACAGAAATGCAACTTAATTATCTCGCAATTCTCAATATTCTACCAAAGCCACAAGGAAAGCTTTGATGTTGGCAGCCGAGACAGAGGCGGCTGCAACGGAAGCAGAAGCCTCTCTCTCCCCTGCTCCTGGAGGAAGATCATTACTAAGAAATCTGCAGCCACTACAGCAGCTGAGCCAGAGAAGAGCAGCGGGATTGATCTGCTGAGAAACCAGGAAGTGGCTATCTGGAAAAAAAGTATCTCTCAGGGGGCTGCCAAGTCAGGGGGTTGGTGAACAAAAATGGAGCTCTGAGGTTCAGGGGCTCAAGGATGAGGACTGGCAGGGGGAGGCACCGCTGACCACCAATCCCCAGAGATAAGTGTGTACCTGGGGCCTGGCAACCCCAGCACTGGCTTGGTGGCACCAGGAACTCACTGGATGGAGTCTGGGTGCCCTTCCCCGGCCCCAAATGCACAGAGTGGGTACTACCTGGTCAGGAAAACCTCCCTTCTTCCTGGTTTTCACCTGAGGTGCCTGCCCAGGGTTTAGGGTGGTGGGGAACAGTCCCAGAGGAAGGAGGATACTTGATTCTGAAGACTTCTGAAGAGACAGACTCAGTGGGCACCCACATACAGAAACCCAGTCCCTGAAGCCCTTTTTATCTCTGCTTGTCTGATGTCCTAGGCAGGCTCCTGGCTTTGTTTAGTTGGGCCCTGAAGTGCCTTGGAAACTGTGTCTTGGGTCTTCCCCTGTTCATGGAATGGGGAGGCTGCTGTAGCTCCCCAGCAATTGCCACTGCCCTGGAATAAAATATTTTCTGTGGCTTCTCAGTTCTGGAAGTTTCACCCTGACGTTTCAGCCTGGAGTCCATCCCCACCGTCTTCCCAGCAGGCTAAGTTCCCTCATTTCCTGAGATTGGAGAACTCAGGGCCGAGGAGCATCAGAGGAACAGTCCTGGTCTTTCTGTATTTCTTTTACTCCTGATTCCAGATTTTGATGAAGGGAGGTCATGGAGCCCTCCAAGGGGATACTGGTGAAAACTGAGGTAGCCTATACTAGATGCATGACTTCTAGCTGTGGGCAAGGGGCTGGGAAGGGTAGAGACCATCTCAGTATTGATTACCTTTATTTGGAATGCTGAACTTGGGAGACTCTGGTGTGTTGGTGCTGGGCAGAGTCTCTCCAGAACCCTGCTCATTTGGCAGGGCGACTTCCAGAAGTGAACAAAGCCCGTCCCCCACCTTGCCCCCCACCTCCCAACAACCACCCTGTTACTCTCTAGTACGTCACCCCGCATGTGACTTGGACAGCTCTTGTCTCATTCTGAAAATATCTGGTTTATGTGTTTATTTATAGTTGATTGTCCAATCCCCTTCCCCACTAACACAGAAATTCCTTGAGGGCTGGGGCCTTGTTGGTGCCATTCAGCAATGAGCCCCAGTGCCTGGCATGGGGCAAGCTCTCCATAAGCATTGGTTGAATAAAGGAACAAAATGCCCAGGTTGCTCCCATAAGAGCCAGGGTCAAGGGCCTCAGGACCCACTGTCATCCCTGTCCTGCCTTTGTCAGTCTCATCCCGGGGGTGGGCTGGGCTCATTTCAAATGCCCAACCTCATGATATGAGCGAGGCTAGAGCTCAGGGAAATGAGGGGTCTTGAGGCATCACGGAAATGCTCCTGGGGTCTGGAGATGTCATGGAGACATATAGAGAACCCTCACTGGGTGGTTCCAGGCACAGCTCTGAGTCCTGGGTATGCATTCGCTCGTTTCATCTTCACAATGCCGATTTTTGATCCTGCTAAGCGCACTAACCAGCCATGTGGCCAGGATAGTCACTTTCCCTCCTGGGCAGCCTTATTTTTTCATCTATAAAATGGTGGTAAATGGGCATTAATCTGGAATACTTGCTAGACAGCAAACCCTGAAAGGACAGGGACTGTGTATCATTCGCGTTGCATCCTCAATATCTAGCACAATGCCGGGTGTGTGGTAAGTCTTTAATACATGTTTAAGAAGTGCGTAAAGTGATTTTCCACTTAGCTCCATTCCAGGATTCTAAGACTTCTTACCCTAAACCATCCACTGTCCAGCACTGTGCAGGCCACTTGCCATCCCCATCTGCTGTTTCCAAGAGCCCCTTGGGACCTCAGACTTAGAATTCACCTGGACACCGTCATCAATGTTACAGAAGGTGAGGTGGGAACAGGGCTCAGCTCTGGAACAGGAGGAAAAGAAGGTTGGCTAGAGCAAGCAGGGGATGCCATGTTACTCACCTGCACCTGGGGCTCAGCTTTGACCCAGCTCGGATGACAGGTAGTGTCACAATGCGGTTGTGATCCCCTACACAACCTGTGCAGGGTACAGGTATTCAAAACAAGCCAGTGAGTTAGGCGGGTCAGAACTGACTGTTCTCTTCATTGTATAGATGTGAAACTGAGGCTCAGAATGGTAAGCCACTTGCCCAAGGTCACACAGCCATTTAGTGATCAGGCCTCAAGACGAGGACTCCTGGCTCAGACCTGGGACTGCATTCCCTTTTCTTTCTCCCCTTGCTGCCCTCAGGCAGATCCCACTGGGTGAGGAGGGAGCTGCTGAGGAGGTGGCACCAGCCCCATGGCAGGGAGGTGGGCTGGGTAGAACCTCCAGGAACCCCATCGCCCCTTTGCAGCCCTGGCAAATGGCCATCAGTGCACCATCTGAGATTCAGGGAGATGGAAGCCACTGGTGAGTTTTTACACTTGGAATATATAAAGAGACATTTTTTTCTTTGTAAAAAGCGGTTCGGAAATTGCCCTGGTGCTAAATTTTTGCTGAGGACGTCAGATGTGTACACCTCTTCCCTTCAGTTGTCTAATGGCACAAGTGGTTCGCATCTCCATTTGTTTGTTTCCCTGGTGTGCGCGCTCTTCAGTCCCTAGGAGCTGGAGGAAGCCTGGTGTTACATAAGAACCTCATCAGGATAAACATCCAGCCAGACGCGGCTTCCTTCGATGCTCCCACCCAGCAGGAGCACTTATCCCAACCCCCACATTTCCCCAGAGTGCAGAGAGATGTGTGTTCCTGACAACCGCCCCCTTATTACCAAGTGGGTCCCTGGGAAGAGCTGAGTCCAATCTGGGGCATATCTAGACGCCTGGCTGCTCCTGCGATGAAGGGAACCAGGGGGTCCTCTTTGACTCCGACCTCCAGGGTCCCTCCTGAGCATCCTGGCTTCCCTAATAGCATTTATTTATTCATAGAAAGCCTACTAGGTGCCAGGCTCTGTGCTGGGTGCCAGTGATAGAGATGAGTGAGCCAGGATCCTTCCTTGGGAAAACCCAAGGTAGAAATGAGGTGACAGCCATGCCAAGGAATCACGACAAATCAGCGGTGCTATCACTGAGAAATGTATGAAGTCTGGGAACCAGGGAGGAAGGAAGTCCTAGCTCTGCCTGGGACCATCGGTGGCATTTGCACGGGACCCTGAAGGACACGTGCACATGAGGAGCAGCAGAACAGCAAGCGGAGGGCAGGGCTGAGCCACCCTCCTCTCCTCCTCACTCACACCCAAACAGGCTCTGGCCAGCAGGACTCTCTCCTTCCTTCTTTCATTCTGAGAAGGAAACTGCCACAGGGGAGGCCCAGTAGCCTGCGTACTTCTCCCTGTGCCTCTGTTTCCTCCTCTTTATGACAGAAAAAATGATAATATCTACATGATAGGACTGAGAGGCTATCATGCAAGTGCCTCAAAGAGTATCTGGGACAAGAGTAGGCCCTGATAAATGTGAAAAAGTTTTATTAAGATTTTTATTGCTATCACCACGAGTGTTGTGGGCAAGCTTCCAGGGACCCTAAGCAAATGCCTCAGAAGCATAAAGATATTTTTAGTTGTACTTAAATTCTTCACTTCCAACCCAAACATATCAGGAAGGGCCTTCCTACTCGTTCTTGACTGTGCAATGACAACTCCCTTAGAAGAGGTAGCCTTTGACCCTGGGAGCTGCTGGTGAATAGCCGAAGGCCTTGGTATGAGTTGTGTTGCCTGGGACAGAAGTTGGAGCCAATCAGTGACCTGCTCAGCTGACAGCTCACAGCATCCAGGTGCTTTTAAGAACTCGACAGATGCAGCTGTCTATGACCCCCTGAAGGAGTGAGCTGATGCCACCTGTAACCCTGATGCCACCTCCAACCCAAAGGCCGGGTTGGTAGAGGTCCTCTGGTGACAGTGACCAGGGTGGCCAGCTTCTGCTGGGATTTGTGCCTGGTCATCTCGCAGCCCGGGGGAGCTACATGGACCTCTCATTGGGTACCACACCTTGTCCTCGTTTTCAGGACCCCACCACTCAACATTCACCAGTTGCCCAAACCAGAAACCTAGAGCCCATCCTTGGTGCCTCCTCTACCTCCCACCACTCCCCCTTCTGAGCCTGCCATTTCTCCATCTGAAACACCTCATAAAGGTACACAGGTCTCTCTCTCCACTGCCTCTGGCTTCAGGCAGGTCATCATAATCTCTGGCAACAGCTTCCTGCAAGGTCTCCTTGCCTTGTTTCTTTTTTTGCCTTCCTCCAATCTATTCCACATATTGAAGCAGTGGCCACCTTTCCAAAACACAGATCTGGCCAAATCAATCTCCTGCTTAAAACTCTTCCACGTCCTTCGAGACTCTCCAGAGTCTCCAGCCCCAGCTTTCCCCACAGCCTTTGTCCCACACGATGCTCCTGAAATGTGGGAAATTTTGCATTTCACCTCATCAGCCAAGCCCTCTCTGGCTACCAGGATGTGATTCACCAAGCTCCCTCTGCCTGGAGTACTTCCACTCACTCCCTGGCCACTTCAGGTATCAGCCCTGATCCCACAAGGTTTCACAAAGTGCCCTCTTCACCGCTTGACGAGCGCTGTGGCCTTGCCTGATGGAGGCACTTAACATATTGTGCTAGAGGTGCCTGCTTACTTGTCAGCTGTCTCTCTTTGCTACCGTTCTATAAGCTCCAAAAGGCATATCTCTAACCTGAATAAGGCCTGAACAGAGTGGGCAATGGACAGGTGTTGAATGAATGACAATAGAACAAATGAATGAACAATGAAGAGACAGGATATATGAACTAAAAAAAAAAACTTGATTGATATAAAATAACATCACTGAGGCCATCACCACAGTGGAATCTGAGCTGAGGAGGTAGAAATATAATATATATATATATTTATATAATATATAATGAGGAGGTAGAAACACAGGATGGAGGCATGAATCCATCTGGGGGTTGAGCCAGCAGGAATGGAGGAAGAGAGGTTGGGTTGGGAACCAGCAGAAAGGCAGGCGGACCTCAGAATCAACTGCCCCTTCCCCTCTTGCTCCCCTGCACCCCATCTGTGTAGATCTCAGCTCCCAGAGAACAGAGTCTCATCAATAAAGGGACTTACACTATTTCATAAACTTTCTTTAAATTAAAATCCAGGCAACGCACACACATACACATATACCCCACAGACATCTTTGTCGCTGAAAAGTTGCTCCCTATAAAATAAAAGAAGCTGTTTAAATGTCTTCCTTCCAAGCTAGCCCCACAGAGCTGGAGCTGAGAATACATTAGCCTTTAATGAAGTGAGACTCTCATCTTCCAGGAGACACCTCATTTAGCGCAATTGTTTCAGAGCCATTACAGAAAGACAATTACAAGGAAGCGGGGAGAGTAATTGGAAATGCTGGCAGGAGTTGGGCGAAATGATAATAAATAAAAATATTCAACCTAATAAGCTTCCAGGAGGGATGGGATGAAGAAAATCAACATAATTAGAACTGAACCTTAGCAAGGAAAAACAGACAGCAGGGTGGCAAGTGCTCAACTTGTACAGGAAGAAAGAAGAAGTCACACGCCTCCCGTGATGACTCGGGGGCTACAGGCCGCTGGCCCCCTCCAGAAGCTGCCAGGGGGTGGAGGGGCGCCCGCAGCCCAGAGCCTGTTGGGCAATCAGCGTTATGCTGTTCCCAGCCACAGAAACCTGGGTGTGTGAAAAAGGCAAGCCCAGCCTGGCACGGCCAGGGGTCCCCCATATGCTGAGGGGAGGCAGAAGGAGGAACCTGGGCCCAGCCCCATTCTGCCCTGCCGATCTCCAGTTGTGCAGCTGTGGGGAGGAGGCCTCAGCTTTCTGAGCCTAAGTTTTCCCATTGTGGGATAAGGGAGGCAGACTGTGAGAGCTGTAAGTGCTCCATCTATGTTGTGTGAAAGCCTGCGGTCTCCTCCGATAGGTGTGTCTTCCTCTCATATTCAGTCCTTATCTGGCAGGTCACCTCTGTCGTTCTGAAATTTCAACACAGGAGCCTAGAAGTTAAGCCTAGTGACTCAGCCTAGACACCCTCGATATAAAAATCATTCCTGACCTCTCTCTGTTTTCCCCAGGGAGTGGTGATCCCTCCAGACTAGCGCTAGGCCCAGGTCTTTCCAGTGGGGTCTGGCACAGCTCCCGCAACACAGCAGCATTTGTTGAGAAGTCTGCCTGTCTCTAAAAGGCTGTGCGCACCGGAGCTCTTGCAGAGGAGATGATACAAGGCCTGGGACTTGTTTCCAAACAACCCCAGTGAAGAGGGAGGGCTGATAGTTGCTGAAGCTGGGTAATGAGTACATGGAGTTCATGATCTACTGCTTGTTCTCTTTCTTGAAATCTGTTTGAAAATTTACATTACAAAAATTTCTTGTTTAGTTATTTTTGTTTGTTTTTGAAAAAAAGAAATATACGTAACTTGAGGTGAAGGACCTCAAATTTATCACCCCAAGCTGGGCATGGTGGCATGCACCTGTAGTCCCAGCTACTCAGGAGGTTGAGGTGGGAGGGTCATTTGAGGCTAGGAGTTCGAGTCTAGCCTGGGCAACATAGTGAGACTCCCATGTCTAAATTGTTTTTTTTTTTTTTTTTTTTTTTTTTGAGACAGAGTTTTGCTCCTGTTGCCCAGGCTGGAATGCAACCACGTGATCTCTGCTCACCGCAACCTCTGCCTCCCGGGTACAAGCGATTCTCTTGCCTCAGCCTCCCGAGTAGCTGGGTTTGCAGGCATGCGCCACCACACCTGGCTAATATTTTTAGTAGAGATGGGGGTTTCACCATGTTGATCAAGCTGGTCTTGAACTCCCAACCTGAGGTGATCCACCCACCTTGGCCTCCCAAAGTGCTGGGATTACAGGCGTGAGCTACCGCGTGCAGCCCAAAATTTTTTATTTTAATTTTGTCGCCCCAGTTCCTATCTTAGAACCTGGTACACAGAAGGCACATACAGTTGTTTTTTGGTATCTGCATGGGATTTGTTCCAGAATCCCACTTGGATACCAAAATCCATGGACACTCGAATCCGTGATACGAAATGGTGTTGTATTTGCATATAACCTACACATATTCTCCCATATACTTTAAATCATCTCCAGATTACCCATAATACCTGATACAATGCAAATGCTGTGTAAATAGTTGTAATACTATATTGTTTAGGAAATAATGACAAGAAAAAAGTCTGCACATGCTCAGTGAAGATGCAGCCATCCCTTTTTCTTTTCTCCAAATATTTTTCATCTGCTGTTGATTGAATTCGTGGATGTGGAACCTATGGATACAGAGGGCTGACTATTCTTGTTTATTTGCTGCACCATGGTTCTCTAGCTATACTATTTAGAAGTAAATCATTGAGGACCAAATCAAAGTCAAATTTTAAAACTTTAAAAGATTCTCCAATAGTATCCATTAGTATCCCATAGTATCCATTTAAATCAGTATGAGTCCAGCCACACATATTTGCAAGTGCCTGCCATGTCCTAAGACCCGGAGATTCCCAGGGGAATAGGATCCCCAGATGTTTACAAAACTCTACCAGTAAAAATTTATAATCACCCTCAAGATGCACACATATAAACATGTGTGTGTGTATATATGTGTTATATATATTATATATAATATATAGGTTATATATACTATATTATATAAGTTATATATAATATATTATGTATGTTATATATACATATATTATATGTATATATGTATGTATATATACATGTATATACGTTATATAATGTATATTATATATGTTATATATATACGTTATATATATTATATATGTTATATATATACGTTATATATATATATTATATATGTTATATGGATGGAGGATCACTTGAGGGCAATTCAAGTCCACCCTGGGCAACATAGTGAGACCCATCATATAGGACACACCATATACTGGTACAGTAGTGTGGCTTGTATAAAATGTATATATTATAACATATAATATAAATGTGTTATATATAATGTGTATATATAACATACATAACATGTATTATATATAACACATATCATATATGTGTATGTGTTGTATATATGTCTTATATATCTTATATATAATACATCTATATTATATGTTACAATATATACATTGCATATAAGCCACACTACTCTACCAGTATATGATGTGTCTTATAAAACACATTTCAAAAATAGAAATCTAAGTAAAATAAGATTTTTTAAAAATACAAATAAGTAAAGTCGCAAGATTTTCTTCTCTTATTCCAATGGCCCATCTTGTTTACTCTGTTTTGGAGGCTTTGCCTGTAGAGTATCAGTGTCCTGGGACCCGACAGAGCTGCTGTGCAAAAGTAATTCCAGTCTGCTCAGTATACCAAGCAGAATTTAACACCTGCTTTTCTTTTGCTGGCCATAACATCTAGTTTCCAGTAACTAGTGACAAATTGCCTTCAGGTTCATTAGAACCCTGGAGCAGAAAACTCCAAGCAGTGGATGAGAGAAAAACCCAGACACCTCCCTCTGAGACAAACAAGAAATAGTCCTGTTCATTTGTTCATTTGGGAAACATCTATTGCAAATTCAGCACTTGCCAAGAGCCAGGCCAGGCAGAGCGAGGGCTACAGAAGCATCAGCCATGGACCGAGGACTGACATGGCCCAGGGGAAAAGGACAGACACAGACATACCTGGGATGGTCAGTGGCAGGAGGTTCAGGCCAGGGGCTCTGGGAGGAAGAAATTGCTTTCCCCTGAAGGATCTTCTTAAGAAGACTTTGTGGAAGAGGTGGATAGGAGCTAGCGGGATGGGAAGAATTCGGCCATGTGGAGAGCAAAAAAAGACTTTGGGAAAAGGAAATGTCCTTGGCAAAGATACAGGGGCAATACATTAAGGGTCATTCTTCTCTGCCTATCCTGCGCACCTCTGGAGATCCCATATCCTGAGGCTGGGTGGGGAGACAGCAAATCCTTACTAGAATTGCAAGTAACAGAGACATGGAAGGGCTCTCAGACTGAACACCCTGGAAACTAGAGAGGGAGGCTGCTGCTCTGACAACCTCTCTTCAAGCATGCCAGTGAAGGAGGCTGCTGAAGTTGTCCAACAAAACAAGCATTTATTGAGTGCAAAAGGCTAACGAGAGGGGAAGGCATTCCAATAACCCAGCATTCTCTGCTGCTGTGGAGGGACTGGGCATAATCTGCCCTGCAGACAAGGCAGAAGAGATGACCCCAGGGCCTGTGCTGGCTCTAGGACATCATACTTTGGCCTCTAGTGCCCTTCACTAGAGCTAGGCACCTCTGGTAGAGACAGTATAGAAACCCAGGGTGAGGAAGAGTCCCAGGAGGATGTTCAGTGGGCACTGTGAGCTCAAGGAAGATGAGCCCAGCACAGATGTTGTCACAGAGGCACTCCTCATCAGGAAACTGGGTTCCAACCAGGTAAACATGGGGTGTAGAGGGCATTCGAGGCAAAGAGGACCTCATGTGGATAAGCACAGAGGAACAAAGGGGTACAGAAGCCCAAAATCCTGCCGGGAAAGGCAGATGGTTCTGGGATCTGCCAATTCCAAAGAAAGCAGAAACTGTTGGGGCCTGGGAGGAGACAAGAGGCCCTGGGGGTCGTTTTCAGGCTAACCCTGCTGTGCCTAGCACTGGGTACTACACACAGCCAGTGCTTAATAAATGCATTTTTATTGTAGATTGTCATTTCTAGGAAGTAAGGGCTGGGATAAGCAACTTATTCTTGTAAAGCCCCTGGCAGTGTCACATGCTGAGATGCATTTATTAAAGTCTTTTGATGAGAGAGGGAGGAGAGAGAATGGGAAAGTGAGGAGGGTGAGCTGAAGCAGGGGTTGCCCATCCTCATCTCCACAGCCTCCCTAATGCCCAGGATCAAAGCACAGGGCCTAAGAGGGAAAAGTAGACAGGAGCTGTGGAAGAAAAAGCAAAATGCACAGTGATGTCTTGAGTCCCCATCTAGGGTCAAGCATGCCTAACATTTCCCTTAATATTCCCAACAATCCTGTGGGGTGAGATCATTATTATTCTTTAATAGATGGAGAAACTAAGGCTAAGACATGGTCATAGGGAGGAAGTGGGACAGCAGACATTTGAGCTCAAATTTAATGTCCCTCCATTGTACCATCTTCCTCCAGATGCTGTGGTCCTGCCCAGACCACAGGGCAAACCGGGGAAGGGGAAGGCAGAGATGAGCACCAGTAGCGTGTCCCAGGAATATTCCTGCTATGGTTTGAACATTTGTCTCTTCCAAAACTCATGTTGAAATTTAATTGCCATTATGACTATATTGGAAGGCAGGGCCTTCAAGAGGTGTTTAGGTCATGAGTGTGCCACCTTTATCACGGGAGTGGGTTTGTTATTGCAGGAATGTGTCCCAGTCCCTCTTGCTGTCTCTCTCTGGCCCTCTCTTTTGTGCTTCTGCCATGTGATGCCTCCTGCCATGTTATGACACAGCAAGAAGGCCCCTGCCAGATGCCAGCACCTTAATCCTGGACTTCCCAGGCTCCAGAACTGTGAGAAATAAATTCCTGTTTACTATAAATTATCCCATCTCAGGTATTCTGTTACAGTAGCACAAAACAGATGAAGACACCTCCTGGCTATTCTTCCTGTTCCCTGGACATCTCTAGGTAGAACCCCAGGAATTGGTGAGGTTCTTCTTCCTGAGGTCTGGGGTCCACAGTAGCCTCCTATCCCCTTTCCACCCTGGTTTCTCGCTCCAATCTTATTTTACATTTTGCATCTAGAAAGATAGCACTCACCCTTAAAAACAAAACAAAACAAAACCCCTGGACTTTCCCAGGCCTTGGCATCACTTCCCTCCCAGTAGTTGGGAGTCCTAAGGTTCCAGACCAGCCTGAATTTCAGTTTCCTCACTCAGTACTGAGAAACTCAGTAACCACTAAGGTCCCTTCAGCAACCTATGAGCCTCTCCTTCACTCCTCAAACTTCTTTTCCTTTTGCTCCCTGCCCCATCCCTCAGAAGCCAGGGTTCCCCTTCTCCTGGTGAGTCAGCAGCAGCCTGAGCTTACCCATCATAGGTCCCCAGAAGTCCCAGGATAAGCCATCCTAATGGGGGCAGGCTAGGACCAGGGCCTCTGTACAACCCGGCCAGGGCATGCTGGTCAGAGGATTTGGGGGAGGCCGCACCATTCCTGATTCAAAGCCAAGTCCAATTGCTTCATTTGAGAGAGAGCTCCAAGTGCAGTGGAAAGCACATAGTCTTTGGCGTCATGCAGACCCAGGTCTGAATCCCGGTGGCTCTGCTTTTTAGCAGTGGAAACATGAATGTGTTGCTTGGCCTTTCTGAGCTCCAGTCCCTGGTTTGTCCTGACTCAGAGGGCTGGTGGAGGGTGACCACAGATAGTGCATGTGAAGCACTTGGCACAGGCCTGTCACACAGCAGAAACTATTCTCTGATGCCTCCTAGACTGGTATATTAGTAGGACTCCTAAAGTATAACACTTGACAGTCATGGGGATCACATGGCATAAGGGAAGAGAAGCTGCCAGCCATGCTCAGCCAGCCACCAAGGCTGAGTAGTTTCAGGATAAAACACACACCTTCCAGCATGGAAGGTCTCCCCCAGGGAGAGTCCCAGATGGGTCACTTGATACACTTTTTTAAAAATTGGGTTTAAAGTTATAAAACAGCAACAGTGAACTTCTCCTGCCTCTGCAGGTACATGGTCCCAGGTGGGGAGTGGCGGCATTAATTAAATTCACCCAGTCTCCCCCATGAGACCAGGTAGTCTCAAGCCCAGACACCACCCACCACGTGGTCTCCTGCACCAGGAAATGGGTCCTCACAAGTCCCAGCCTGGAAAAGGATCCACTTTCTAGACCAGTCTCACAAGCACCCTGCCCTCCCCCAGATGCTCACCCCAACCTAGCCTAATTCAGTCCTAAGTATTCCTAAGGTGCCTTCCAATTTCCCGCTGTAATAAATGGCACAGAATGCAAATGGAGGTGGATGTGGGACACAGATGTTTGCACTAATTTAATTGAGGGAACACCTTGGATTAAACACTTTGCAAAACACTCACAAATAGGTTCAGTGCATTTGGTAATGAAAAGCCTCCCAGCCCCCTGGCACTTTGCTGAGGCTGCCTGGGGCTGGGAGTGGGAGGGCAATGTGGGAAAGGCCTAGAGCAGGCAAGACACAAGATGCCTCCAACTCAGGGGGAAGGCGAGGGAGCCAGGTCCCTGGGAGGGTTTATAGCAGATTCTTTGCCAGCTGGGGCCAACCCCACCAAGAGACAGATCTGGAAGGGTTGGGGATAAGGGGAGGCAGCGTCTGCATCCCCAGGTGGAGAACTGCTCACCTCTAGAGGTCGGCAACAGGCAGATGCCTCTCCATCCTCAGGACGCAGCTCCAGCATGTAGGCCTCACTGCCCAGCTGGCTGAGGGCCAGACACCCACCTACAGGGGACTGGGGTCCCCAGACCCTGTGACCCCAAGGAAGATCAGCCTTGCTGACATTTGGAGCATGAGGTTGGCTGGGAAATATCTCAGAAATGTGGGGGTGATTTGCAAGGCAGTACTGATCTCTCTGCAGCTTCTTCTTCCTTGCTTTGCCCTGTAGCTCAGGGTGCTTCAGAAGCTCCAATCTTGTGCAGTTACCAAGCTCCAACCCTTCCCTTCATCTTTCATCCTTCCATCCATTCATCCACTTGGCTCTGGGGCTCCAGCAATGAGTGAAGCCCAGTACCTCCCCTGGCAGTGCACACTGGTAAGAGAGGCAGGCTTTAAGGGTCCCAGGTACAGGCTGGGCATGGTGGCTCACGCCTGCAATCCCAGCACTTTGGGAGGCCAAGGCAGGCAGATTACGAGGTCAGGAGATCGAGACCATCCTGTCTAACACAGTGAAACCCCGTCTCTACTAAAAATACAAAAAATTAGCCAGGCATGGTGGCGGGCACCTGTAGTCCCAGCTACTCGGGAGGCTGAGGCAGGAGAACGGCATGAACCAAAGAGGCGGAGCTTGCAGTGAGCTGAGATCACGCCACTGCACTCCAGCCTGGGCGACAGAGCGAGACCCTATCTCAAAAAAAAAAAAAAAAAGAAAGTCCCAGGTATACTGTGATAGACTCCCTCATGGCAGTAAACTTGGTAACCTGGGTGCCTGGAAAGAGTGCAGCAACTATGGCACAAGAGGTGAAAAGATCAGTGGAGAAAAGAGCGAAAAGCATCTTTGGCAGAGGGAACAGCATATGCAAAGATAACGAGACATGGAGTCCAGACAATGGCAGAGACTTGGGAAGACGATTTCCATGGGCCCACTTTGGGGACAGGTGGCTTAACTGAAGATGGCCCACTTTCTCAGACTCATCCTCCCACCCCAGGGACAGTCCACCCAGAAGGGGAGAGGGAAGGGCCTCTGGGCTGAGCCTCCAGGCCCTGAAAGCTCCCACTGTTGGCTGAATCTAGAACCAGTTCCTATAACCATTGCTCTACAAGTCCCAGAGTTCAAATCAGGCCTAGATGATTTTACATTCCTGAAAACAGAATCCCTAATTTTCAAACACAGTGATCACTTCAAGTGTGATAACCATTATAGTAATAACCTCTTATATTTGTGCAGTGCTTTATAGTTTATAAAACACTTTCACATATCTCTTTTAATCCTCCACCAACAACCCTTCAAGAAAAAATAGGAAATATTATTATTCTTGCTTTCTAGATGAGAAAATTAAATCCCAAGTTCCCAGCTAAGTAAATAACAGAACCCAAGTCTGTCTGACACCAAAATGCACACTTGTTCAATCCTTCACTTATCCATTGCATTCGCTGAGCATTTGTTGAGCACCTACTGTGTACCTAGAAACACTGCAGGCTCAGCAGAGCATGATGGGGACGTGAGGATGATTGCAAGCCTAGATGAAGAGATAGGCCATGGACAGACGTGCCCCGACAAAGAACAACAAGCAGGGCACTAAAACTCAGGAGCCAAGAAGGACACACCCGCCACTCTCCTGAAAGACTGCCTCGCTCGCACACTCACACACAACCCGCCCTCCCCCCATCCCTGCCCCGCATTGCACAGGAAGACCTGAGCCATTTCCCCTGGGCTGCTCTATCCCCAGCATGGAATGCAGACTCCTCCACCCCTGATGTCCCCCCACCAGCTGGGCAGCAGTCCAGAACCAGTAACCAGAGGCCACCCTTCAGGGCCTGTGCACCACTCAGGCCCCCAGCACATGCAGACACACACAGGCAGGTACATGCAGGCATCCTAGAACATGTATGAACCCTGGCATCGTGGGGAGAGAGAGTAGGGCAAACTCCCAGAGCGGCTTAGCTTCCAGTAAGGATGGATGGGTGGATGGGCAGGTGGGGGTATGAAGAGGGGAGACTGGGAAGTATAGGAGCTTTTACCTCCCTACAGGGAGATGCTCCTGGGGTTCCCCAGTGGGCCCCGTTACAGACCAACACTGCCTTGCCCTCCGATGACAACAGGCCAGCCTCAGTTCCCTCTGCAAAAATAGTACCCACCTCACATGTGAGCATGTGCGAAATGAGACAGCGACACACCAAGCACAGGGCCCCCACATAGACGGGGAACCACAGATGAAGTGCCCCTACTCATCTTGTGAAATGAAGGTGATGAATGGATAGGCAGCTCCCTCTGCATGGTGCATGGTGTCAGCAGAAATCAGTCTCCTGCTCCCCGCCGCCATCCCCCTCCACCTTCACCATCCATCCTGGAGCTTGGGGGCTTAACTGGAGAGTACCTCTCCATCACTCCACCCTCTTCACCTTGAATCATACATTCATCCTTCATCCTTTCTCTCTCTCTCTCTTTTTTTGTTCATTTGTTTTGTTGTTGTTTTTTGATGAAGTCTTGCTCTGTCACCCAGGCTGGAGTGCAGTGGCATGATCTCAGCTCACTGCAACCTCCACCTCCTGGGTTCAAGCAATTCTCCTGCCTCAGCCTCCTGAGTAACTAGGATTACAGGCATGCGCCACTACGCCTGGCTAATTTTCGTATTTTTAGTAGAGACAGGGTTTCACCATGTTGGTCAGTCTGGTCTCGAACTCCTGACCTCGTGATCTGCCCACCTTGCCCTCCCAAAGTGCTGGGATTACAGGCGTGAGCCACCGCGCCAGTCCCCTCCTTTCTCTTAATCAGTCTTGTAGGGTGCCTGTTATGACCAGGAACGATTCAAGGTATTGGGATTGAAAGAAGAATGGGGTTCAATGGTTTACATGGATAGATAGACTAATAATTGTGTTTGAGTCTTGTGATGGTCTACAGGCAAAGGAACGCAGCAGCATAGGGATGGGGGAGGCTGGGAAGGCCTGTAAGGAGGAAGTCACAGAGGAGATAAATGAGCAAGGGCCGCCCAGGCTGAGGATAGTCCAGATAAGCAGCATGTGCAAAGGCACCGAGGCATAAAAGTACACAGAGTATTTGTTGGGGGAGATTGAGCAATCCGGCATAGTTGGGGTTTCAGCTATAGGAGTGTGCCTGTGTATCTGAGTGTCTGTATTTACAGGGATGGGGAGCAGCTGCAGGGTGAGAGATGAAGTTAGGAAAGTAGACCAGGGTTGAACCGTGAAGCCCATGGTCAGCCAGGCCAAGAAAGCTGAACTTCAACCTGTGGATAGCAAAGAACCACTGGAGGTGGTCCAGCATGGGGATGGCATGGCCGCATATCACAGCAGCATTAATTAGGCTCCAGCTATCGCAAGCACAGCGCTAGGCTCCTCCAGATACGGGAGGCTCTCCTTGGCTAGCTCTGATGATAAATGGGTCTAATGAGGTATTTTCCTCTTTGATCCATGCAACTATCCCTGGAGAAATGGCTAGCTTTGGAGCAATTTTTCCTCTCTGAAGAGCCAGCTTGGCTGGCTAACTGCAAAGGCAAGAGGAGGGGACCCTACACCATCACTAGTCCCCCCACAGCCAAGGATACTGGGAGCAGCACTTGGAAACCCTTCAGAACCTTCTTATAAGCCTCCCGGTTCTCCCTCTGAGGATTTGAGAAGGATCTGAGAATGGGTAATGGTGGAAGTGACAGGCACCACAGAGAAAGAAAAAAGAGGGAAATCCTTTCAGGCTGGACAAGGATTTAGAACTGCATTTCAGTGGATGAAGAAAGGCGATTTGGGTGGTGGCAGCCACCTTGCAGCTTCCAAACTCTGCTCAAAGCCTCTTGCCCTGCTTGCAGCGGGAAAGGGTCTCTCTCCCTTTCCACCTCTTCTCTCTCCTCCCTCCCATCCCTCCTTCCCAGCTCCTCTCCAGAAAGGTTTATGGAGAAGACTCCAAATAGCCACCTCTCCTGCAGGCATAGTCACACCAACTGAAAGGAGATTTAATTAGCAAAATCTCGTTAGGCAAACGAAATTATCCGTAAGACAATACTCTTCTGGACAGGGGGTATGATTAAACAAAGCCATTAATTGAGAGAGTCGCCTTGGCAGCTCCCAGATGCGTTCATCTCTGGGCCGGCTCCACTCGGCCTCCTTGGGCCAGGGAAACAGACTCTTTGCCTCCTCCCCTGCCCGGTCCACCCCCTCCCCACTCCATCTCACTCTTCCGGGGCGCCTCCAGTTGGGGCTGCAGACCTCGGCATCTCATCAATCGGCCTCTCTGCCGCCAGATTCCTGCTAAAGTGCCTTGATTGCATAACGTCTATTTGCATAATGTAAATTGCAATCTCCTAGCTCAGGAGGCAGGAATCACAGAACAGCCATTATTTTTTACCACTCCACAAAAATTCTACATTTAGAAAGCAGATTTGCAGCTCGGAAAGCCTGAATCCGAATCCTCCAGAAATGCCATTAAATCACACCAATTAAGCTGGACCAACTAAATGCCCCTGTCACTGCTCTCTGCACACTCAAGGACTACCAGCCTAGATGGAGGCCATGAGAACCTGGAGGCTGGGGCCACGGAGCTGGCTGCAAAGCCGGAAGAGGCAGGAAATTCTGCCTTATAAACCTTAGCACACACCCTTCGAGCATAGGTTCCCATCAAGATCTGGTCGAGCGGGGTGGATCGAGTCTGTTGTTTTTACGCTCATTGCCTGATTTCTTGCGGGCACTCTGACTGTCTGTAGATGCAATCTACGGAGGAAAGAGCATGTGAAGAAGAAACCTCCACCTTTCACAAAGGTAATGGGAAGATCCAAAGTGTTTCACATGGGGTAAAACATCCACCCTTTTAGTGGTTCTTTAATGACCTTTTCTCTCTCCTTGCAAGTCCCCTCCAGCCAACTGAAATAAAAAATGAGGACAAACCCTACTCAGGCCAGGCTGGGCTGGCTGGATTCTGAGCTGTTTTTGAGAGCTGTTTCCTTAGGGGTCACTGGGGTGAAGGGTGAGTTACAAGGTCTCTGGAAAGCGGGCATTCCCTTGGACAGCCAGCCAGGATCCTAGCTCCTCTGCAGCAGTATACCTGGCTAGTGTTTTGCCTCTTTATTGCTCATTCAATATTCATTTGTCAAAGGGCAAGACACTAATGTGTATTATTAAAATATCAATAGTTTATGAGTGAACTTTTATGGAGAGTACAGTTAAAGGCAAGATTCTTGACCGTCTCTGTCAGAAGCAATGGAAAGGAATAGCCTTTCTTTCCAACTCCACTTTTTATTTATTTACTGGGCGAGTGAATGGCTGGAGCCTTAGTGAGTACCTATTGTGTGCCAAGAATGGCTCTAGGTACCTGCACATGCTGGATCGCAGTGAGTCCTCATAGCAGTCCTGGGAAGTATATACAACCCCATTTCTATTCCAGAGATGAGGAAGCCAAAGGCCAAAGAGATGTGCCCAGGATCACAGGGGTGCCAAGGCTGGGCTTCAAATCTGATCTTTGTACTTCAAATCCAACATTCTTCTCCCAAGCTGGAGCCTTGAAAATCTAAATGACCTTTATGTTTGTGTCCATCTGTTTCCTTCATGTGCCCAAATTAAATGTTAGTTTCCTGACCTAAGTTTCACAAAAGGGGACAGAATAGGAAATCATTCCATACTTTCACCTAGACTCAACTCCATGAAGTAGGCCCATTTAGATATAACTAAGCAAGTTCCCAAAATCTTATCTGCACATTTAGAATCTTAGAAATGACAGTAGCATTGGGGATGATGCCATCAGACATTTCCATTTACAGAGGAGTCAACTGAGTGTCATACAAGAAAATAGTGTAAGTCTCAAGAATAGAGAGTCCTTAGTTGAATTTCAATTCTGTTACTTCCTAGGGTATTCCTCTTGCTCTCTAAGCCTCCTCTCCTCTTCTGTAATAGAGATAATAACATCATCCCATAACATAGTGTGAGGGTTCAGTGAGAAAATGCACCCTAAGTGCTTAGCATGATGCCTAGCATGTAGTAAGTGCCCAATAAGTGGAAGAATCCAAGACTCTTCCTCCAAACTCTAGCACTTTTTATCAAGACCAAGTCCACTCACCCCTCTCGCCCCTGCCCCCTCCCCTTTGGTGTTAGCCATTCTCAGCTCTCAGCCCTTTGGGGATACGGGCTGGTTGTTTCTACTCTTTGGTTGCTTGGGCTTTTTTTCTATCCCCTTAAGTCACAACAAGGCACCTAGGACATTCAGATCCTCTTCCAGGATTTAGCTGCATCCGGGTCAGAAAAATGGCAAAGGAAAGAGACTATAGTTCTTGGAGGGCACAGCCTCCTCAGGACATAGTATGTGGCAGAGGGGAAGGAAGGAGAGCAGGGGACGTGAGGTCAGGGAGGAAGGGCTGCCCAGAATTCCCCAGCTACAGCACAGACCCTTGTAGCTTCTTAAATCCTAATCTTTGTGTGAAACCTACCCCAGCTTAGAAGTCCATGGGGATGGAGGTCCAGGGAGCCCTGGATGTAAGTGAAGGGCTCAAGGCTTGTGGAGTCCTGGCTCACAGTCTAGGACTCCTCCAGACCTGACACTTGAAGCTGTGGGTTACAGACTCAACTCACTCTTGTTGAGATCGACCCTGAGGTCGAAGTTTCTGCTAGCTGCAGGACCTATTAACACCAGCATGGCCTGCCCAGGAAGGAATCCTTGCCTGGCCTCCGAGGGCCCTTTCGACTCAAACATTCTGTGAATTAAGGGACAGTTTAATTTATCTAAGGCAGGGGGTTCTTTAGCCTGTCTTTCTAGGGAGAACAAATCACCCCCAAAGAAGGGTTCCTTTTATTCTTTCTGGGAAATAGATGAGGCTGTGCTGTGCCAGACCACTAACTTGATGAGTACCAATTGTGGTAGACTGTATTCTCTAAAGACGACTGCAACAAGATACATTCCTATTCTTCATCCTGTTCTTTCAATGTGATGTTGATACTCCTTGGAGAGATGGAGAAGGGGGGTATTTATGTTCCCTTCTCTTAAACCTAGGTGGACCTTTGCAACTGCCCCAGTTGAGAGAATGCAGTGGCTATGATGCTGCTTGCCTTTGAAGGGCAGGTAATAAAAGGCAACACAGCTTCCACTTGGCTTTTACTGTCTCTTAGATGCTCACCCTTGGAATCAAGCTGCCATATTGTGAGGAAGCTCAGGCTACATGGAGCTGTCACATGGGTCTGGCCAAGACAGTCCAGCCAACCTCTCAGCCAACAGCTAGCATCAAAGCCCAGAATGATGAGGGAGCAAGCCTTTGGATGATTCCAGCAACCAGCTTTTGAGCTGCCCCCACTGAGATTCCATGGTGGCACCTGGTGGCACAGAGACAAGCTGCCCCACCACGCCCTTTCTGAATTCCTGACCTGAAGAATAAATGATGTTAAGCCATTCTGTTATGGGTGATTTTTTACATAGCCTAGAAATGGGACACCATTGGAATTAACTTGGAATATTTGCTGTTTCCCTCTCAAATCCAGCCCTCACTGGCCTTGTCTCTGAAACTTCAGACTTTTAGACCCTTCCCTCCTCAACTGGGCCCTATCACCCTGAGCCTGCCTCCCCGTCTCCTCTTCTTCCTTTCCCTCCAAAAGGCAGGCTCCCCATGCCTGAGGCCACCCTGGTAAACACTCCCTGAAAGGTCATTTGAATCTTTCCATTTCAGAGGCCTGGGACCTGAAGAAACCTGTGTTTCCTGCTTCCCATCTGTAGGCCCAAGGCTGTGTCCCTGCCAGGGAGCTTTCCTGGGTGTGGTGGCCAGAGCCAGGTGCCCGGCTGCCCTCAGGGATCGGGGGGATGCGCAGGCCTATTTCCCCCCACGCTCTCAGCTCTCATTAAGGTTCATGCTCAGCTTGCTCCTCATACTTGACTTATGAGGTCCCTCTAACCTCCGATGCGAGGAGGAGACATCGATTCTCACAAAGGTCATTATCTTCTAGTCTGCCCCTCCACCCACCCCCCGCCCCACCTCCTAGGCAGGCTTTCCTGGAACAGGATGGAGGGAGGTACCCTTCCCCCAACACCCCAGCCTGGAGATCCGACTGCTCCTGAGCAGGGCTGCAGAGGAGGTGCCCTGGGAGCCCAGGCCCGTCAATCACAGAGGCGACCGGCGCTGAATCGCAGGCCATTAGGCGGGAGGGCCGGCGCCCTGCTCACTCACCGGGCAGCCATCGGCAGGATGTTAGCCGATCGCAGGGCGGCCATTCTTATGATTTATTCAAATACTCATTACAGTCAATCTATTTTTACACAGAGGTGAAGATGTGCGCTGATAACGGTTAATCATTTATAATTCCATGGACTGGTTGGAAGCCAACGTACTATCAAAGTCGCGGCAGCAACAGCTCAGCCTCAGGTAGCCCCATAAGCAGCGTGGGGAAACTATGCCTGCCCAGGGCAACTCAGTCATCCAGGTAACACTTACTAAAGAGCGACTAGGCTGAGTGTGCAGTGGGCAGACTGAGAAGTAGGAATCCCAGACTTTACCCCCCAGGAGCTCACAGCCTTGCTGGAGAGGGTTATGGTTATGTGACAGCCAGAGGTGGGGACAGAGGCAGGGGACACAGGCAGGGGCAGCGTGTGTGAATGCTGCGGAATTTCAGAAGGGGAAGAGATCGCTTCCAGCTGGCGTTACCTAGGAAGGCTCTGCAGAGGAGGCTGGACTTAGGCCGGGTCCCACAGGTGGGTAGACTTTTGCCAAGTGGGGAGAACCAATATGAGCAAATAAGCCTAAGAGGTCAAGCTATTACTGGGCTGATGGAAGGGAAGCGGTCAGCAGCATTTCCTTTTTCCTCCCTCATGCCTCCCCAGAAATAACCAGATGTAAAAGCAAGTGCAGGCTATAAACTTGGCCGAGTTTGAGGACTGATGTTGCCACTTCCTCCTCTCATTGCCTTCCAGGCTTAGCCCACAGGCGATAGTGGCTGGGGTCTGGGTCGGCCTTGCAGACTCAAGAGCTTCCTTCTCCGGCACTCATGACACATGTAACACATCAAGTCCACCTTAATGCACAATCAATATAGTCTAATTAAATACGATGTCATATTACAGGGCCTCTTTGTCACATTCAGACATAATCTAATTAGAGCTCCACTGTATATTACATTCTGACTAGCTCTTTGTTGAGTGTTTCTCTTGCACAATGCATGGCTGTTAAAGATCAGGTTCAGGGCTGGTCTTTAACCCCTAACCTTATTGAGTCAGCATGGAAAACGCCAATCAAAGTTACTTACAGTTCACAGCCCCTTTTCTAGTGAGCAGCATGGAGGATAGAAAGCCTCAGAAGTCCTGCTCCAGACTTCACCTGCCAATGAAAGAAAACATCTTTATAGACTGTGTAAGATGCTGCAGAAGTGAAAGCCAGGATGGGGAAGGGGGTAAACCCAGAGGTGGGTTTGGCTCAGGAAAAAGGCCAGGGCTGGCAGCCATGTGCCCGCAGTGCTGAGTGAGAAAGCTTCCTAGCAAGAGACTCCTAGCAAAACCATTATTGTTTAGAGACCTAATCAGGGCAGAGCGAGAGGTTCATGCCCTCCTCTACCTGCTTGATGCCTCCATTTCATAGGGCTTGTATTCCCCTTCCCTATAGGACTACCAGAGGAGAAAAAAAGCCTCATGGTTGTCAAGTGCCCTGAGCTGACCAAGGTAATAATCATTTACTGGTGCCTCCTACCTATTGGAAGACCCCATGCAGGGGAACAGAGCAGAAGGGTCCCTATGAAACTTTGCAATCTAGACAGGGAAGGCTGCAAAAGGCAAGCAAACGACAACGCTGACCCTGTTGTCTACCTCAGGAATATGAAAGTCTTGCTGCAGACAAGAACTTGCAAGTGAAGGCGAAGAGTCCAATTGGGCAGGAAGAAAAATGTGCATAGAGAAGAATGATGGTGCAGGACTGGAAAGATAAAAAAATCTGCCTGCTTTTAATTCTCTTTCTGAGATAATACAATTTTGTAAAAATAAAAACAGTCAACACATATTTATCAGTTGTCTGCTCTGTAATCTACACATGCTGTCCTGTTATAAAAGCACTGCCTCCACATTGCTGGGGAAGAGAGATCACCCATATACAAGAACCCCCAATAAGGCCAGACTGTATACGAAGTTGTGCTAAAGTGTACAGAAGCGATGCCTATTTTCTCTCCACAGAGACATGAAGTCTGCAAGAGTCGCGGCACTCAAGGGAGTTTTCATGAGGAGGTGGAATTTGAATGGGATCTTGGCGGACTGGACAGACAAGAATTGGCTGGTGGGAGGGAGGAGAAGGCATTCCAAAGACGGGGGCTATCCAAGCAAGGGCCAAGGGGCAGAAAGGCATGGAGGGTCCTGGGATGACGCAGAGACTGGTCTGCCTGACAGACACTAGAGGAGAGAGTAGCGCCAGCTCAGCAAGGTGGGGCCAGAGCATCCAGGGGTTTTGGTGTCAGGCAATAGAGGGCAGGCTAGCCTGTGGGATCACAGAGACACTGAAGGATGTTCAACAAGGACTTGACATAATGTAAACCCTCACATGTCCCTGCCATCTTTAGCACTTTCCCTTTAATTAAGACAAGCAAGCCTTTTTGGAAGAAGGTGGAATTTCAGTTAGAAGATTCAGGCATGGGGTGTAGTGAGATGTGCTGAGGAAACCAAATTTTCTCTCTGGTTCATGATGACTTCCTCGAGGCAAAGTCATTTCCTCAGGGGCTGTCTCCTTACACCTGCATGATCAAGGCTCATAGCTCATGGAGGTGCCTCAGAGGCGGAACCAGACCACTGGACTACAAACCACTGAGGAAAAGGACCATGTCTTCTGCATCTTTATATCCCCAGAACCTAGCAGAGTGCCCAGCCTGTGCTGGGTTCTCAGTAAATATCTGCTGAAAAGTTGAATGGTGGACTCTCATCATTCCAAGCAGAGTCCACCACCAGCACCTCAGAACCAACCCTTGGCTGGCAATGGGTTCCAACTTGTATTATTCTAAACTACTTACGTATTACTACTGAGCATGATATGAACTTGGCATATGAAGTCTCTAGATTAAATTACATGGAGCTGTATGCTCTATCCCTGCCCTGTGGGACTGTCTGTCTGAGA
The DNA here is from genome assembly GCF_000001405.40 of Homo sapiens. NCBI lineage: Eukaryota > Metazoa > Chordata > Mammalia > Primates > Hominidae > Homo > Homo sapiens. Next base: position 125,233,274 of record NC_000011.10, on the reverse strand, counting down.
CACCTGTGACTTGAAAGAAGATATGGCCAACTTTTCAGGTGCACATGATGCAAAGCTGAGAAAAGCAGTTACTGTGCTGGAGGGCTAGATTCAAGATTGTTATAAAACTTTTAGCAAGCTGAAAGAACAGGCTAAAAGTTAAAAGTTCACTTTTCCTTTCCCAGTTTTTATTTCTTGCACAATAACATCATGACAACTACCAATGAAATAATTTTGAAAATGAAGAAAAAAATGCCCACAATCTCATTACTTTAAACCATCAAATTAGTATATCCTACGTCCACGTGCAAACCCACTTTTTTTTCACAGACTCTTGTAGAAAAGATTTGACAGGAATATATATACCAAATCCCACTCTTACATTAAAAAAAGTATTGCAAAACAAAACAAAACAAAAACAAAAACAAAAAACCATAATGGGATGACCCAGTTTGAAAAAAAAAAAAGACTTGGATTATTTGATTTAAATCCAAGCTCAAAATGAGCCCAGGATATGATATTGTTGCCAAACTCACTAAATGTGATCATAGGCTGCAGTAATAGCCATATGGTACCCAACTGAGGGTTGAATGATCTCCTCCATTCTGAACTTACCAGTTTGTATTAGTTCTATATGTAGTTTTAGCATCATATTTTAGGAACTTCGACAATGATGAATAGAAAAGAGAGGAGAGAGAAGATGTCTAGTGGTTAAATTGTGGGTTAGAAGTCTAGTAGTTCAAAGGGTAGGCTCTGGAATCACACTGGATAGGTTTCGATTCTGGCTTGACCATGGGCAAGTTACTTAATGCCCCTGTGCCTGTTTTTCATGTATAAAATAGGGCTAATGCTAACTCCTCCTCTGAGGGTGGTGGTGAGGATGAATGACTTAATATACTGAAAGGTTCGTAGAACGCTGCCTTACACAAAATAAGCACTCGCTGAATGTTAGCTATCTCTGCTGTTGTGGCTGTTTTCAGTATTATTAGGAGGCTATGAGGCAGAAGATATGGTAGAAAAAACTAGAGATGTATCTTCCTTGTCCCTTTCTAAAATTATCCACTGGTCCTTGCTCTAGTGACTAAAGCAATACAATCCTTCTCCCACATGGTAGTCCTCCAAATATTTGAAGAAACTATGTGAGACGGGGACTGTGTTGCTCTAGAGGATAGGATTAGGACTAACTTTAGATGTTAGCGGAAGCCAATCTGCAGTTCAACATAAGAAAGAATTCTCTGGCAATGAGAACCATCCAGAAATGAGCGAGTCTTCCTTGGAAGGTAGTGAACTCCCAACACTGAGAGGAGAATCGTGCACTGGGTGAGAAGCTGCTCAAAGCATGTTTCCCTGATTTGGGTTTCAGCCATCAGTAAAGTGTTGAACAGCATTCGAAGGCTGATAGTGTTGACAAACTTGTATTTTGATAAAACATTAATAGTGTCTTCTCTCACCATCATTTCATGAAATAATTCATCTCCCCCAAAATAAAGAGTGCAAAAATCTCACAATAAAGAGCCATCCTTTGAGAAACGGAGCATCATTTTCTCTCTCTCTCCACACACACACACACACCCCCCACACACACCTGTGTGTGTAAGCACATGCAATCTCTACACACTGTACTTATGTTTCACTCATCAATATGCACCACTGAAAAAGTCTTCCTGGACTGGCACTACCCCATGGATGCCTGTTGGGGAACCATCCATGTGCCTGATGTTTTTAGGGCCTTCCAAAGCCAGCTGTCTGTGATCCTCACAGGCAAATAATCATGGCAAAGGCTTTCAGCCATGCAATAATGCAACCAGAATTTGAACTCAGGCTTGTCTTATTCATCGTGAAAATAAAATGGAATCATAAATGAGATTGGCGATTCACATTTGTAGATATGAGGGAATTTATGAAATGGTAAATGAGGAGGGAGTTGAATGGTCATGCTTATTTGGAAAAGAGGCGGGGAGAGGGATAGAAGAAAGCTTCCCATAGGAGGTAGCGTGATAGAACTTGTCTCTGCATCCTCAAGGATAGCTGTGCAGGCATCTATGAAACATATCCAGGTAAAGAGGAAGATTAGCTGGGGGTTTAGCAAAGCCATAGGTCTGACACAGAGAGCACCAGACCGGGGGGTCAGCCAGACATGGATTCATGCCCTGACTCTGTTATTAACTTACTGTTTGATCTTGGACAAGGAACTTTAATCGCTGTATGCCTCAGTTTCCTCATCTGCAAAGTAGTAGAGTTAAACTACCAGATCTTTAAAATAAAACTCCATCTGACAATCTCTGAGATTGCCCAAACCAATCCTCCAGAGAGGGCACTAAGTCTCTTGCTAGCATGGTGTATCATTGAGGTTAAGAGTAAAGATGCTGGAGTCAAACAGTTTCAGGTTTAAGCCAGGGCCCATCATTTACCTAACCTTAGCTTCTATGAACCTCAATTTTCTCATCTTTAAAAGTGTGCTAACAGTAGCACCTTTAAATAAGATGGTGCATGTACCATCTCATTTGTGCAATGCCTAGGACATATTAATAACTTAATTAAAAAATGGCTGCAACTGAATAGGAAAAAGAGAGGCAAATCCAGAAGACTGAGGACTTCTACATTCATCCTACTGCCCATGACAAGTTTTCCTATTCTTGCCCAAGCCAGACTTTGGGGATGAGGACCAAATTGTGACAACTCCTTCTTGAACACTAAGAGTCTCTCTGGATGCTCCTGTCCTCTGCAAAGCCCTCTGTAGGCCTATAAGCCAACCTTCCAGAAGAGAAACAAAACTTTGGTGGAAAAATCTGATTGAGATGGGCCATTCCAGGAGCAAACACCTGATGGACCACTCGTCCCTCCAACAGCGTATCTGCAGCTCCCACCATATCTCACTGAGTCCCTGCTCTGTTCCACCCGTGCACCCTCATCACCTGACAATGTTTTGCAGTTGCTTACACTTGTTCCATGAGGTTGTCAGTCAGGCACTGTGGCCCCTGACCAGCAGGCTCTAAATGACACAATAGTTATGTAATTAAATAGATATAATTACCTAGTGCTAACTTGTTGCCTCTGAGACTCTTATGCATCCAGCACTGAGGGTACTGCACGGCCTTCCTCAAAGCCCACTGGGCCTGGATGCTAATTCCACACTAGTCCTCAGCCCCCTGTGCCACAGGCAGTGCTGGGCACCCAGTTGCAAAGGACCTGGAAAGGCTTCCTCTGTGACACCCCTCAGGCCCTGCCCAGGCCAAGCCTCGACTCTTGGGCCTGGACCTGTCAGTATAGGTATGAATATGAAGTTATCTTAGGAATGCTGGCAGTGGTGGGTTAACCTTAATATTTATCCCATATGGGAGGAAGAAGTGGACATACTTATGACCTTTCTACACCAGGCAGAAGCAAGCAATTTACCCTCCAAGCCTGGGATGGGAAGACTCACATACACTGGGTGGTGTGGGCTCACAGAGTGGCTTGGTCTCAGCAGAGGTAAACCCTCGAGCATGAGGGTGGGCCTGCTCACAAGCAAGCCCCCCCTGGCCCCATGGACATCCTCTGTAGTGCTAAAACACCAAGACCCAAGACTTACTAATTCTCCCTCAGAAGCATCACTGCTCTTCTACCCATCCCATTGTCATTAACCCAACTCTCCTTGTCTCCAGCCTCACACTGTTTTTGCGCATCCACCCTACCAACCCTGCCCTGGGAATCTTCCTAAAACACAATTTTCATCTGTCCATGTCTCCTTTAGTACCCTTCCACGACTCCTTATTGACTGGCAGAGGTTGCCAACTACCAGCCCCAAGGTTGACTCTTGCCTGTCCAGTGTTTTTATATCTGCCAACATCTAAACCTTGCAAAATTTCACATTTAGAAATCTGGATTCCTAACTTTTCTCCAGAAATTGTATGACCTAAACATGCCAATTCTGCATTTCCACATGTCGATCATTGGATGAGGTAGAGTATCAGCCGCCTCCTTTTAACTGGGCACATGTCCTCCTGTTTGCCCCATAGAGAGAAGGCAGGTGTTGCCCCAGAAGTCTCCCCCGTCACGGGGCCAGACACCTAGAGGCTGACTCATGCTGCCTGCTGAGCAGTATCGGGTTCAAGGTGATAGTGTGGGGGTGGTGGGGGTGTCGCATTATGTTCTCAGCTGTGCCGTACTCAGCTGCATGCTGGAGGAGGAGGGCCAGGAAATGCCAACACCGCTCCCACATGGACCCACCAAGTGTCTCTCCCTCTCACCTGGGCAACTCCTCCACTCCTAGTCGGGAAAGAGCTGGGGAAAGGTCTTACTGCAGTTTCCCAGGAATGCCAGTGGCCAGAAGGCAGGTGCTGAAGGCTTCCCTTCATTGTGGACACTTTCCCCACCCCCAAATCTGTAGCGGTTGCACCCCCTCCTTTTATTTCCATCCCATTCCTCCTATCAAAGCCCTAACAGCACATATTTTGTTAATTGTACAAACCTAATGGGGGAATGCATTGGCAAAAAAGGGTAATGGCCATCAGACCAGCAATAAAACAAAATTAATGGCCCATAGGAAGAAATCATGTCCACTTAATCCTGGCTCCGAAACTCTAATAGAATAATGGAATACCAACCGAGGGTTTTTTCTCTCTATGCAGATTGCTTACACCATGTTAATCACTTGCAAAGCAGGCCACATACCACTCCGGCTCACATGACCCTCCAGGGAAAGTAGCAGACCAGAAACATTCAGTGCAAGGCTCATTACTGACATGGACCATACAGCAACACCTTCCCTCCCTCCCCCAGGTGACTCCGGGACAGCCAGTGTGGGGTGTCATTGAGAGCCATCAGGTGTGGTGGGCCAGAAAGCAAGACACCTAAGACCTAATAATAGCAAACATTTATTGAGTGCTTACTATGTGCCAGACACTGGGCTTGCTGAGCTCCTTCTATGGACTACATGACTGCCACCCGTTTTCATCCTCTATAGCTGCATGGTGCAATAAGGTAGCCAAGGGCCACGTGTGACTTTTAAAATTCGAATTCTAATTAATTAAAATGAAATGAAATGTAAAATTCAGTCCTCATTCTCACTCACCACATTTCAAGTGCTCAACAGCACATGTAGCTAGTGGCTGTCATACTGGACGGCTCAGATGGAGCACGTTTCTGTCATCGTGGAAGGTTGTGCAGGACTGAGTTGCTCTAGAATGTTAAGGCTATTGTATCTTTTTTGTTTAACTGATTTTTAAGCAAAGGAGGGGAGAGGAGCAGTACACTACCCAAGGTCATGCCATGCCACTGATACACGGCTGAGCTGGGTTCTAACCCTCATCTAACCCAGGCTTGCTCCAGCCAGGACCAGCAGTGGAGGCAGCAGGGGGCCTCCTGAGCCTTTCAAGGCTGGTAGAAAGTCTCTTCTGTTCTCTGTGGCTCCTCCGGGGCTCTCTGAGAAACTGCCTTTTGCAGCAGGTGCCACAGACCCAGTGAGGTCAGTAGTTGCTCAAACGGCGTTAATGAAGAAAATGAATATTGACTTAAGGGACAGCAGAAAATAATTAAGACACCTTAAAAACATGCCTCCACTTTTTACATACTATAAACCCAAAGGAAGCAAAAGTGGCGACTGAAGCAGATACTTGTACACTTGTGTTCATAGCAGCTTTATTCACAGCAGCCAAAAGTGGGAGCAACCCAGTATCCATCAACAGATGAGTGGACAGACACAATGTGGCATGCATACGTCTACATCCAATGGAATATGATTCAGCCTTAAGAAGGAAGGAAATTCTCACACATGCTACAACATGGATGAACCTCGAGGATACTATTCTAGGTGACATAAGCCAGTCACAAAAAGACAAATACTGTATGGTTCCACCTGTACAAGGTACTGAGAGTGTCAAACTCACAGAGATAGAAAGTAGACTAGTGGTTTCCAGAGGCTGAGGTGGAGGATGAGGGACTGGGGAGTTGTTGCTTACTGACTACGGAGTTTCAGTTTTGCAAGAGGAAAGGCGTTCTGTGGATGGATGGCAGTGATGGTTGCACAACAATGCGAATATACTTAATGTCATCAAACACCAAGGCAAATTACTGACATGCACCATCTAGCAACCCATTCCCTCCCTCCCCCAGGTGACTCCAGGACAGCCAGCGCAGGGTGTCATTGAGAGCTATCAGGGGTGCTTAAAAATGCTTAAGATGGCAAATTTTATGTGATATATGTTTTACCACAATTTAAAAATACGTATATATGCCACCACTAATATCTCCCAATTTCTATCAAGAATAATAAAAAAATAAAGAGCCTGAGATCTTTAGGAGTAGGGGAAGGAGCAGCTCATCAGTCCAAGGAGAGGATAAGGGAGCCAAGGCCTGACAGAGAGAGCAAGGAACCCAGAGCCTCCCAGCCCCAGCGGGGAGAAGTCAGAGGAGAGGCTGCCAGGGAGGAGGGACTGTGTTCCTGAGGATGGGACAGCTGGGCCAGCCTGCAACAGGGAAGGCAACTCCAGAAGGCTGACACTGGAAAAATGAGCAACGATTTAGGATTAAAAAAAAAAAGGAAAAAAAAAAACCTGGTGAGGGTAGGAGAGGGGGCCAATTAGGAGTGTAGGAGAGTATCTACGCTCCTAGTTGTACCATCTAGGTGTATATCCACAGCAATAAAACGATAAGCAGGAAATCTAAAAGAAGAGGGGAATAGGAGGAAGAGAAAGAGATGAGAGGATTTGGGCACCTAATGTGATGCAGCAGTCAGTAATGGTTTGGCGTGTTGGAAAGGGTGTAGACAGGACCTAGGAGACGGCCCTTGTCCTCATAGTGTTATGACTCTGTGCACATTGCCCTAACTCTCTGGGCCTCAACTTCCTCATCTATTCAACCCAGCGGCTGTACCAGAGCAAGAAGAACCTTAAGGTGGTAGCAGTCCACAAATCCCTGGAAATTTTACCCAGAATAGTATTTGTGTGTAAGTTTTTCCGGGGAGAGGTTTACAGATTTTACCAAGATTTCAAGGCTATCCACATCCCCTGAGAGGTTAAAAATCAGTGGAGAAGATACTCACTGGGTTCACATTCAGCCATAAAGTCCTAAAATTCCAAGAAATCTTGGACCAGACACCAATAAATCTTTGGAGGGGTCAAATAAATCCAGATGTCTATTCCTGCCTTGCCTGCAAAGCAGACATATTGTAAAAATGAAATGAAATAATTACATACTTTGAAAAGTTAATATTACGTGTCTTGTGCAAGTAAATATTGCTGTTGTTGGTTCACAGGAAGCAAGAGAAATTCTGCAGCAGGCAGAAAGGAGGAGGCAAGTTGCCACACCTCTGCTTTCCTGAACAAAGGCAGTGTGATGAAGGGATGTGGATGGGCTACAGGTTGATCCCTGGGCTTTTCTCATTTGGTTGGAAATAAAGAGGCCTTTAATTCCCCTTGTGGAGAAGGGTCTAGCTCAGAGAAAAAAAGAAATACAGCCTACCCAGGAGGTGCACCCCAGGGCAGAACACATGCATCTCTTTGTGCTAACAAGACCTCATTTTGCATCCAACTTTACTTTGGAGGAAATTTTCAACTGTGTGACTGAGAAAAGTGACAGACTGAAGATGCATCAGGGGAAAACAGCACAGGCAGAGGACAGTATTTGGCACCAGAGAGCCAGCCCCAGACTGGAAACCCTGCATAATGACTAAGCCAGGGTCGCCAGGCCAGAGGGGACATTGCTACCGTGGGCTGTGCCCTCCAGGAGTAAGCCAGCCCAGAGGCAGTGGGTGGGGGAGCTGGAGTCTGGGGCAGCTCAGTGCAGAAGTCAGTGCTAGAAGTGAGATGGATGGGCCTGGGCAGACTCTTAGAGATCATCTCTCTTGACCTCCTCATTTCACATTTGAAGAAACAGTTCAGAGAGTGGTGGAGACTTACTTAGAGAAGTCCAGGATTGGAAGTCATGCCAGTAATTCCCTTCATTCATTTACAAAATGTTTTCTGAGCATCAGATCCTTCACTAGGCTGGGGGTCAATGACGAACAGCAATTCCAGTTCCCTGCCCTCAAGGAGCCCACAGTCTAATGAGGGGACAGACAACCAGTTGACTAGGGAGTTAAGTATGATCCAGCAGCTCTATAGGTCCTGCAGGACGGGTTCTCCCCAGCAGGCGTTTCAGAACCTTCTATTCACTCCCCTTTGGGGCAGGCACATCCAGACAGGGGCATGTTGAGGGTAGGCCACACTTTCTCAGACCAGTGCTGGAGGGAGTAGAAAGAATTTCACTATCAAATCCAAGCCAAGCTAACAGTCATTGGCATCTCAGAAAAGATGCCATCCAGGCAGCCATCCGAAGGCCACTGGAGGGAGCACCCAGCACCCAGACCCTGGGGGAGGGAGATGGACCCCACTCCAGCAAGCCTGCCACAGTCCTCTCCAAAGGGCACCACGGCACTTCCCATTCATTATTCCCTAACTTGCCTCCGGGGGGCGGTCCTGAATATTGTTTCATAAATAACTTAACAGGGCTCCAGCTTGTTTCACTGAGGTTAGACAGATGTGTACGGTGCTGGCTGATTATGAGGGAGTTTGGCTGTGCTGAATGGTTCTGGGATGCTGATTCTCTGCGGAGGGGTGGCTCAGTGGAGAAGGCAGCCGCGGCTGGTGTCCCCACCTGGATCTGGGATCACAGCAGGATGCTGAAAGAGCATTTGTTTCCAATTGTTCTTAGCCACTAATTTGGCTCCTGGGTATAACACCAATCTGAGAACAAACGGAGTAGGAAAACTGCCTTTCTGAGGGAGGCCTGATTTCACCATAAACAGGCAAGGGGCGGGAGATTTCCTGAGTTCACAGCACAGGCCTCGGCCTCCCAGGCAAGGCCGGCAGCTTCAATCTCCAACCCAAGTCACCCTGACTGCACGGCCATCTGCCTGCCTCACCTGCGCATGGCTCCTCCGAGGGGCTCCAGCAGAGGACAGATTACTCTGATGGCAGGTAGATAAAATGGGATCCCTTGCTAGCAGTAACTACCCTGAACAATCTCTCTCCTGAGCAGCTGACAGTCTCCACCTGGCACCTGCCAGCCACAGAGCTTGTGGGTGGCACCGGCTGGATGGGCTGGCCCGGGCGACTCCCCAGGCACGGAGAGGCCAGGGAAGGCCCTGCTGAGGCAGGACTTGCTGGAAGAACCCTCTGTTGGGCTGCAGGAAGGTCCGCCTGAGACATCCATCAGAAGAAGACACAAAGGCAGCTGTGTTTCTGGCGGACTGAAGAGCTAGCAGCGTCCAGGGGCAAAGGGGAAAAGCTGTGTGAGCAAGGCCGCAGCAGCCGCTGCCTTCTCAAGACTCATGTGCAAGATCGCCAGTAACAAGAGGCCCTTCTTGTCGCTAAATTGCCTTCCTGTGGCTTAAAATAATTGAATCAGAGAACTTTCAGTGTGACCTTCTTGAAAGCCAACTAGGAGATATCATGCCTTTACCAACCCTTGTGGCCTTCACTCACAGCCTCCCAGCTGCAATGTCATCGTTTCTAAGCCAAAAATGCCTTCCTCACCAGCATGTGATTTAGCTATTCAATAGCTTCATAGATCCAACGTAGTATAAAAATACTGGAGGAAAGAGGACAGTTGTTTTTTTTTGTTTTTTAATCTTCTGGAAGTCAAAGTACATGCCACGAAATCTTTGCATTAAAGTTTATGAACCTTGTTCAAAAGGAAAACTCTCAGGCCCTTACTGACGGCTTCGTTACTCTGGTTTTACACATATTTCTAACAGACTAAGTTACCTGGTACCTTGAGCCTCAGCTGATTAGAAGTATTAAAAGAGGGCTGGGCGTGGTGGCTCATGCCTGTAATCCCAAGACTTTGGGAGGCCGAGGCAGGTGAATCACTTGAGTCCAGGAGTTTGACACCAGCCTGGCCAAAATGGCAAAACTCATCTTTACTAAAAATAGAAAAAGTTAGCTGGGCATGGTGGCGGGTGCCTGTAATCCCAGCTGCTCAGGACGCTGAGGCAGGAGAATCACTTAAACCAGGGAGGCGGAGGTTGCAGTGGGCCAAGATTGCGCCATTGCATTCCAGCCTAGATGACAGAGTGAGACTCTGTCTCAAAAAAAAAAAAGGACTAAAAGAGGAAGAGTGTGGGCTTCCCCAGAAGGTAAACTGAGGTATGGAGGGTTGGCCTAGGAGAGAGTTAAAGGGCAAACCAATGTGTCATTAAATGAGGCTCAATCATGTTCCAGATAATTTACTTAAGAAGACAGGGAGGATGTCCACTTGTAATATTTACAACATCCTCAGGGTACTTGAAGAAGTAAACCATTAGCCATCTAGAAAATCCCAGACGAGAATCCTTCTTGGTGGTTCCAGGCTGCCGGGCTCTTCCTGTAGGTTGTCTGGTGTGTTCAGAAGCTGCTTGCATTCACTCCTAACTAGGCTCATTCATTCATTCAACATTCATGGACTCCTCCAGTTGCTGGGTCACCCCAACAATGCAGAAAGCAAGATGAAAGCAGAGACACCTTTCGATGCAACACACACACACATACACACGCACACACACACACACATACACACATACACACACACATACACACATACACAGGCACACAGACACAGACACACACACATACACACACACATACACAGCACACACACACATACACACACATACGCACACACATACACACACACATACACAGCACACACATACGCACACACATACACACACACATACACACACATACACACAGACACACACACACACACACCAGGAGCACCTATTACACATTAGGTGCTTGACAGATGCACATTGTATAGATGTTAGAAAAGGCATCTGGAAAGAGCAGAGGCCAGCCAGTCAGACTGTTCTTTAACCCAGTCCCTAGGTACTCAGGTGAGAATTTTTGTGAGAAGGGGCTATAATCATTCAGGGTTCAACTAAAAATATCACATGAAAAACATCAAACTGCTCCACCAAGAAAAACAAAAAGACAACATAGCCTCAACCCTGAAGAAAGTGTGGAGAAGATCCCCCCAGTGCACCTCAGAGAAAGGTTGAAGGAAAGGCATCCGTGTCAGCCCCAGAAAAAAATCCCAACTGGAAGAGAGCAAGGGGGGTGGCTCAGGATGAGGAAAGACCCATCACTGTGGCCCCAAGGCAGTTGTCACCCCTCTGTGGGCTCAGCTTCCTCATTCAGACAAGGAAGAGTTTGGGGCCATCAGTGTCTGACGTGCTTCTGGCTTCCAGGTCAAGTTCCCAGCTTTGTTCAAGGGCCAATTCTCCTTGTCCCTCTGATTTATTTTCACTGCAGCTTTGAAAGGCATGATTCTCATCAACAGTTCCTCTCCAGGCACCGCCAATCACCCCAAAATACGCATTTGATTTCTTCCCAACTGTGTTAGGTCTCTGCCTCAGGTACGCAACCAGGCGACAGCAAGTGATTCTTCTACAGCCCGGGCGGGCAGTGGGCTGTAGGTCATGGCACTACTGTCATTTTGGGGACAGGAAGTTTTTATGAGACTCACACGGGGTGGTCGGGGAGGAGGAGGGATTCCAGCAATCTGCCCTGAAGAATGCAGGTTAATAATTTATATGTGCATTTAAAAAAAAAACCTACTGAAACAAATTGCATACAAATTGTGTGACAGTCGAAGGAAATGTGCCAGTGTTGCTCAGTGAAGCATAATAAATATATGCAGCCCATAATAACAAGCTACTTAAACTCAGGGCACTATATGATTTATTAATTGTCTTCTAATCCTTTCCAGCTACAACTAAAACCAAGAGTGTGGCCGTATCTCACATACTGACTTATACGCCTCCAACACTAAACGGCGTGGCTGCGGTTAGCTCTCGGGTCCATTTTTCATTCTGGCCCCCAACTCTGCAGACGGGCCTGGAGCAGGGTGGGCTGCTTAGCAGACTGCTGTTCTCACCAAAGGGGGTAAATGTGCCCCAAACACACTGCACTTATCACATGGATGCCACACACTTCATGCTTATTTTGCCTAGAGTTCCCCTCACCTGGCTTCCCTTTCCCATCCACCTCTCCCACTGCCACCAGTACCAAGGTGCCCCTGGGTGGACCCTAGTCCACTATCTCCTGGGATGCCCCAGTGCCAGGCTCACAGCCCCAGAGTCCACTCCAGCAGCAGTTGCAGAGCCAATTAGATGGTGACAATTTTTGTTTTGTTTTTTTTTAGACAGAGTCTCACTCTGTCACCCAGGCTGGAGTGCAGTGGCGCGATCTCGGCTCACTGCAACCTCCACCTCCCAGGTTCAAGCAATTCTCCTGCCTCTGCCTCCCAAGTAGCTGGGATTACAGGTGCCCGCCACTTCATCCAGCTGATTTTTTGTATTTCTAGTAGAGTCGGGGTTTCACTATGTGGGCCAGGCTGTGATTCGCCCGCCTCGGCCTCTCAAAGTGCTGGGATTAGAATTAGAACAGAAATGGGAGCAGAACACAAAGTCCTGCCCTCTCCCTGGGACGTACTGACCCAGTGGCGAATGTAGGATTTTGCTGTTGTGTCTACTGGTTGGGCCTCCACCCTGTCCCTAGTGCTACAGATGCTGGCCTTTGAAACTTCGGAGGAACATCCCCTCTGCTTTTGTAGTCAGAAATACTGCTTTGGTGTATGGATGGATGGATGGAGAAATAGAACAAGGCCGGATCCTAGGCAAGGTATGACGGGAGAATTGCAGAGACTGGGTTCAAGAGGTGAAATGATTCCCCAGGGCTGATTGCCCCAGTGACCTGCCATTGTTTCCTTTTCCCCCAACATGCTTCTCTCCGGCCTTCCCATCTCACAATGGTGGCATCTTCCACCAGGTACCCATGTCTGGAGCCATCTCCGATGCTGCCTCTGCCTTCTCCCTCAATCCCACACCCAAGCTGTGGGGATTCCATGCCTAAAAAAGACTTCTCAAATCTATCCCTTCTGTCTCCACTGCCACTCTATAATTCGGAGCTCAGGGGTTGGAAATCAGCCGCTCTCGGCAGAACGCAGCCGCAGATATTTTGTGGGATTTGCACAGTGTTTGTGTTTTGTTTTGCTTTTAAAAAGGTAATATGGAACATGGCTCAAAAATCAAAAAGTGTAAGAAGGTAAACACTGCAATGTTTCCCTCCCATTCCTGTCTCCCACCTGTCCAAGCAAATACAAATATAGATTCTTGTTTTCCCCTTTTTATACACACTTTTTTTTAAACTTGGTGGGTTATTTTTTTCCTTTTTACACATATTTTGGAGATCTTTATCAGTACAAAGAAAACTTTCTCATTTCTCTTTTTAAATGAATAGTATTCCATTGTCAGGAAATTCCATAATTTAATGAATTGGTCTTCAATTGATGGATATTTGGGTTCTTTCCAATCTTTTGCTATTACAAATAATGTTACAAAGAAGGTACTTAGACATATGTCATTTCCTATAGGTACAAGAATGTCTTTAGGATCATTTCCCCAACATGAAATTGCTGGGTCAAAGGCATATGATTTATCATTTTGATGATATTCGAAATGGCCCTTCAAAGGGGTTGTGCAGATTTACACCATGAGACAGTCTGTTTCCCCAGGGCCTTGCCAATAGAATGCGATATCAAATTTTTTGGCTTTTTGCCCATTTAAAAGATAAATGAATAATGGTATCCCAGGATAGTTTTAATTTGCATTTCTCTTACTATGTGCAAGGTTGATCATGCTCTCATACATTAAAAGCTATTTATATTTTCTTTTCTGTGAATAGTCTGTTCATATTCTTTGCCCATTATTTTTTCTACTGGGTTGTGTTTTTGTTGTTGTTAATTTTTAGGAGCTCTTCATATATTAGGGAGAGTAGCCCTGTGATATGAGTTGTAAAAATTTTTCCACAGGTTGTCATTTTCTCTTAGCTTTGTTTATAATTTTTTTTTTTTTTTGAGATAGAGTTTCACTCTTGTTGCCCAGGCTAGAATGCAATGGCGTGATCTTGGCTCACTGCAACCTCTGCCTCCCAGGTTCAAGAGATTCTCCTGCCTCAGCCTACAAAGTAGCTGGGATTACAGGTGTGCGCCACCACCTCCAGCTAATTTTTTTTTGTATTATTAGTAAAGACAGGGTTTCACCATGTTAGCCAGGCTGGTCTGGAACTCCTAACCTCAGATGATCTGCTTGCCTTGGCCTCCCTAAGTGCTGGGATTACAGGTGAGAGCCACCATGCCTGGGCTACTTATAATTCTTGATGGTAGTTTAAAAATGTGTAGTTTGAATGCCAACAGGTTGAGAGCCAACACCCTCCCACTGGCTGCAGCCCCCACTGCTCCCTATACTTTTGCAGTTGACATGATTTACCCTTTTTGATTGCCAGCCTGGACATGGGTGTGATGCCTGGAACTGCCACTACCATCTTGTGACCCAGAGGAAAGCCAGTTGGAAAACAGAGCTAAGATCCAGAGGATGACAGAGAAAGAACCTGGGTGCTTGTGGATGTCATGGAGCCCCTGAATTTCTCCAACCCTAGAGCAGTCCTGGTACTGAACTTTGTAACACATAAGAAACTAAATGCCTCACTCTTTAAGCCTTTTTGGGTTGGATTTGCTGCTACTTACAGTCTAAGGCTTTCTAACTGATACACATCTTGACTGCTCTTCTTACAAAGGTCTGGTCCCCTCTAATCCATGCGCACTGCTGCTCAGGCCAGTGCTCTAAAATATAAACCTGACAGCTCCACTCCCCATCTAAATACATGCACTAGCTCCCCATCTCCTGCAAGATACCATCCAAGTGCCTTAGCTCTCACCCTGTCCCTGCCTACACCTCCCAGCCTTGCTCACACCTCCGTGCTTTTGCTCAGCCTATCCCTCCTGCCCTGAGCTCCCTTTTCTTCTTTCTGCTGTCTAATTCCCAGGACGGTCTATTCTGGCACCACCTCCTACCAGCAAATTTTGGAACAAGTTCCTGTCCCCCCCCCATCACTGCCACGCAGCACCCAGAGTCTTCTCTATGGCTGCACAAACCCCAGTGTCCATGCATGTTTTTACATGGCCGAGCCCCCACCCCACTCACTTCCCCATGAGTTCCTTGACGGCAGGGACAAGGTCTTATTCACTTCTGCATCCCCAGTACTTAGCTCGGGGGCCAGCGTGAGGTGGTATTCATGGCATTTGCAAACCTGAACGGAGCGCCCCCCTTTCATCCTGTTTGTTCCCACAGATGCCCCCTCAGGCCTCCTGCATCCAGCTCCTCAGAACCAAAGCCCTCCCACCCAAGTCCACATCACTTTAAAGAGCAGCTAGAAGAAAGGCCCTATCCAAATCTGCCTGCTCTAAGAGGAGAAGGAGAAGACCCATTGAATCACCAGATCAAACAGGGCCGTCTGTCTCTGCATGGGCTCATGCCAGGGTCCCCAGCGCTACAGCAAATCATCCAGTGCAACAGAAAGTTGAGGTTAGGAGCTGGGTTCCTAGCCACTTACTAGCTCATGAATTCAGACAAATTACTTAACCTCACTGCAATTCGGTTTCCTTATTTGTGATGGAGGGATCAGGAGGCCATTGTGAAGATGAAACAAGCGTAATTATCTCACATAGAAATTGCTCAGTAAATGATAGCTGTAATATTCCCCCTCCTAGGCTCAAAACCACCCCCTAGGTAAATGAGGAAAAGTCCATGCAAAGTAGACCCCAAACACTTCCCTAGGGTGGGTCTCTTTTCCAGCTCAAACAGCAGTATGGGGACCACATAGCAAAAATATATTCATGGGGCAATCACGCAGAGGAGACAGCCGATGTGCACTGACACTTCCTGTGTGCCCGCCTGCGCTAGGTGGCTTCTACCTGTTTCCATGCACATTCCCCACAACAACTCTGCAAGGAAGTATTTGTAGCTGGCCTTGCAGTGAGGCTTAGAGGAGTTAACAACTGCCTAGTGTGAATGTCCATGGCCATGATCCTGGCTACGTGGAAGCGTGAAGATCTGAACCCAGCCCCACTGGGCTCCTGCCTGAGTTCTTTTCCTTGTCTCATGTTGCCTGCAAACTACATGGAGTGAGAGCTGGTCTGGCAAATCTAGGACTTGTGATCCCTGCTGATTAAGCCTAATAAGGTGTCCAGAGAGGAGTGTGGAAGGAGAGAGATCCAGGAGTGGGAAAGGAGGGGATGGAAGAGTGGAGAGAGAAGCTCCTAGAAAAGGCTTCTCTCATATCACCAGCGTGCTGTTGTCTGGAGGGTCGTGTGTGCACATGCCTGTGTGTGTGACTCCATGGGTGGGTGTTCATGCATGTGTGTGAGTGTGACTCTGTGTGTATGACTGGGTGTGACTTTGTGTGTGTGTGAGAGAGACTGTGTGTGTGTGTGTGTGTGTGTGTGTGTTTTGAGGGGATGGGGAAACTTTCACAGCCTGGCCTCCTGCCTAATTTCACGCACATGCACATCCTGGCCACACCGAGCCTGAACATGCCCCATGTGAACTCCACATGTGGTCAACAGTGGGAGTCTTCACCTTTTAATACGCCTTTAACAAGGTCCCCTGTTGCAGGCTGCTCAGGCCAGCCACGTGACCTCAGTGGTACCAGCTCTGTTACTAGCCCCTGACTGACCTGGCCAGACTGCTGAAGGGACAGTGGAGGGGAGGAGGGAGGAGGGAGGGAGGAAGCACCTTCGGAAATGCAGTGGGCTTCCCTGGGCAGGCCTTCCCAAATCCAGAGCGCTGGGGCAGAGAGAACTCTGAGAAAGGCACCTCTGCCCGGGTGTCTCTCAGTTTTCACAGACGACCAGAGCACAGGGGAAAACACACACCCCTTCTCATAGGAGCAACCCTTTTGAAGAAGAGGGAAAGGGGTGGGAAGGGAACGAGGGGAGAAGGGGCAGGCTGGGTTCTCAGCCTCGGTGCCTCCCCAGGCGGGTTTCTCAGGCCCCCTCAGCACCTGCCGGGACTCACCCCCCTACCAGGACTGCCCTGAGTTTATCTGTCCTCTTCCTGCTGGGTGGAGGCAAGAGCAACTTACCCCATCTGACACTGTCTATGGGAAGGAAAACGGGGCCCAGAGAGGGGCCCAGGGTCACACCGTGGCCTGTCAGGAGCAGACAGACTCGAAACCACAGCTCAGACCCCTCCCTGCCTTAGTCCTCTGGCTACTCATGGCTCTGCAGTCCTCTGAGCCCTGGTAGACAACAGCTGTAGCTAAGGATTTTCTCCTTGAGCAGGACAAAAAGAGACAATCTCACGGGACCTGACCCAAGGTGAAAAATAGATATCGTTGTTTAATGTAAAAACATCTCCGCAGCTGGGGTAAGCCTCATCTTCTGCATTCTTTAAAGCTTTTGAGGATCTAGTGTTCTGAAATCAATCTAGAGAAGCAATGAAGTTGAGCAATTCAAGTCAGCAGCAAGCATGGACTGCAAGGCCCTTCTTTAACCATTCCCTGGCTTCTCTGATGTTGGCAAAACCAGATGCAGAGAATAAATGACTGAGCGCTGTAAGTGACCACCTAGCCCTGAAGAAAATATAATCATCCAGTCCTCCTGGGGCCTTGTGATGTCTTCAAAGACCCTTTCACTTCCAGCCTCTGCTTTTCACTTATGAGGGTAATGGGAAATAGTTAGTTAGTTAGTTAGTTAGTTTATTTTGAGACAGAGTCTCGCTCTGTTGCCCAGGTTGGAGTACAATGGCACGATCTTGGCTCACTGCAACCTCTGCCTCCCAGGTTCAAGTGATTCTCCTGCCTCAGCTTCCCTAGTAGCTGGGATTACTGGTGCACACCACTATGCCTGGCGAATTTTTGTATTTTTAGTAGAGATGGGGTTTCGCCGTGTTGGTCAGGCTGGTCTTGAACTCCTGACCTCAGGTGATCCGCCTGCTTCAGCCTCCCAAAGTGCTGAGATTGCAGGCATGAGCCACCGCGCCCAGCATGGAAATAGCAGTTTATATCCTGGGCCTGCTCCTGCTTTTCTAGCTGAATGACCTTGGGCAAGTTATGCTCGTTTTACAGGTGAGAAAAGTAAGGCACGAAGGGATCTCAGGTTGGCCTGAGTCACGGAACTGTGACACACACAGTGCTGATTCTCCTAACTCACAGTCCTGAGCCCTCTCCATGGCCCCCAGCCTTTCTTTCAGCCATTCTAGCCTTGATTAGAAAACCAATGATTACTGCACTAACTCCTAAGCCCCGTCTTCCTGGTGGGGGAAGAACAGCCTTCTTGCAGCAAGCTGATATTTGGACAATCCGAGAGCCTCCCAACTGCTCCGGAAGACACGGCCTTCCCCTCCCAGGACCTAGCAACGCTGCCAAAACAAGAGGAGAAAGCTTCCAACAAAAGTTTGTTTTCATGGAGATTTTATTTCCTTCGCGGACGCTCTCCCACCACAGATTTCTCTTTGTTGGAGCTTGCATTCAGAAGTCACCAGATACACAGCCCCTGACCCCGCAGGCCCCTGGGGGATCTCACGCCTTTATCTCTCCTCCCAGGCCCACAGGCTGCCTGCTTCCCCACTCAAAAAGCCCTTTGAGCCACTATGGATAGAGAGGGGTTCTCGGAGTGGACAGAAGCCTTGGAGGGGCTGAGCTGTCCACATCAAGGTGGGGAGGAGAGAGAAGAGAGAGAAAAAGAGGAGGGTGGAGAGGGAAGGGCTCTGTGTCTAAGGGTTGGCAAGGAGTTGGAGAGGCTGCACCCCATCCCCTCCACCCCTCAGGCAGGGGCTGCATTGCCTGATTGATGGTGCAGATGCTAACTAGGGGGTGCTGACAGCAGGACGCAGACCTCAGAGGCTGGCCCAGGGTATGGCTCAACTTGCACCCAGGCAGGGCCAGCCCAGGCAAAACTCAGAAGGGTATAAGATTTGTCTTAGGTGGAGGAGCCTTTCCTTTTTTCCCTTTTCAGGATCAGCTATCCTCCCAGGTACATGATTTAGACCTCTTACTCTGGCTGTCACTCTTAGCCAGAAGAAAAGAGGCTGACAACACAAATCCATGCTCCAGAGCAACCCCCTCCCGAGTAGGGCATTCAAAAGAGGGGGACAGAAAGGGAGTAAGAGGGAGAGCAAGAGCGAATCAGAAGAGGAAATGCCAGCTCTGAGGAACAAACTGGGAATGGTAGAATTTCAGGTTCAAGGGTAGGTGGGGCTGGGAGGTGGCCGCTCATGGAGCCCACTCAGATGACAGCCTAGCTCTCTTCCAAGCCACCCTCCAAGAGGTGGGTCCTGACATGGGATGGCACAGCGTAGACATTAGGGCCAGGCAGAACTGAGTTTGATTCCCCATGATACAATTTGCTAACTTTGTGATCTTGGGCAAGTGACATAACCTCTTTGGGTCTCATTCCTATCATTTGCCCACATGGAGATAATATCATCTCCAGGTTTTTGTGAGGAAGTGAGATAGCCGAGCCAAAAGGCCAAGCCGGGCAGCTGGCAAGCAGTAGGTGCTGGAAACCCCTCCCTGGCCCTCCTTCTGCGAGGACTGAGGTTGGGGTGGCACAGGCAGTCCTTGTCTTTACTTTCCACATACGTGGTTTGGGGCTTTTTTCCTCTGTGCGCACCATCTCACTCCCCTCCCGGATCACATGTGGCCAGAATTGCCGTAGAATTTGAAATGTTCACATTTTAAGTGTTTTTTTAACTTTTGGGCCAGGCACAGTGGCTCACGCCTGTAATCCCAGCACTTTGGGAGGCCATGGCGGGCAGATCACTTGAGCCCAAGAGTTCAAGACCAGCCTGGGCAACATAGGGAGGCCTTGTCTTTACAAAAATTACAAAAATTAGCTGGGTGTGGTGGCATGTGCCTGTAGTCCCAGCTACTCAGGAGGCTGAGGTGGGAGAAGCACGTGAGCCTAGGGGGCAGAGACTTCAGTGAGCCCTGATTGTGCACTGTACTCCAGCCTGGGTGACAGAGTGAGAGATCCTGTCTCAAATAACAACAACAACAAAATCTTTTGTCCTGAGGAGACAATGAGCACTGACAGTTTACAAAGCATTTTTCAAAACCAGCATCTTATTTGTTCCTCAAATGGTCTTATTCCCATTTAACAGATGAGGGAACTGAGAGTCAGGGATCCAAAGCCATCCCATAGGTAAACAACAAAGGTAAGATGAGAGCCAAGGCTTGTCTAATGTCTGATGCAGATGTGAGCTCCACACTCTCTACAAAGGGCAGGAAGAGGTGGCAGATGTGAAGAAACTTGGGGCTTAGACACAAAGGGACGCCACAAAGGATGATAGCATTTTGAAGATGGGGGAGAATAAAATTCTAGAGCCTGGATTTAGAAGACAGGGGGCTGAAGGCATCTCAGAGGAGTGCCTGTGGCCCAAGGAGGCCGAGAGAGAGGACAACTTCACATAATTTCAGTGGTGAGGCTAGGAGTTCAGGGAAAATTGTCCTATTTCATCTCTGACCCAAAGATCTAGGGAAGAGAGCTCTGGGTCAGATGGTGGTGCAAGAGCCTACATATGGGGTAGACATGGAACCCGTTGAAGTCTTACTTCCCAGGTTGACCTGGGCCAAGTCAAAGTGAGTTCTGAGCCTAGACCCTTAATTGCCATCTACCTACAGGATCTCCACCAAACAAATAAACAAAGGATGTGGGAGCAACTAGGGAAGGCCATTGGTCCTAACTGTAGAACCGGTCAAGAGGACCTCCAGCTTGGGGGCTGGCTCTATGGATCATGGATCCTGCCTCCTCTCCACAGGAACCACCTATCAGCCCAGGGATATAAAAAGCCCAGCTGTGAAGTTCCTTTTCCCTCTCCTCTCTTCCCTCTCTGTTCAGTGTAGTCCCCTGGCAACACCGAGCTCTGACAGGCTCTTTAAGAATCCCCTCCTAGAATCGCTTGAACCCGGGAGGCGGAGGTTGCAGTGAGCCGTGATCACGCCGCTGCACTCCACCCTGGGCAACAGAGCAAGACTCTGTCTCAAAAAAAAAAAAAAAAAAAAAAAGAATCCCCTCCTATTCTTCTGTCCAGTGTTGACCTGTCGGGGCCACATCAGATACAATGTCAGGTATAACCACACCTGGGTGGGAAGAGGACCAGAAGGATTAGTCCTGGAGGACACTCCTGCCCGGAGATTTCCAGGATCTCAAATCCACCATTACCAGCTCCAGAAAGAATGCTCCCCTCTACCTCGTTCAGCACACATAAGACTGGTTACATGTTTCTAGACTGATCTCCTGCTTAACCAGCTGCAAAGGAACTCTTTCAAAGGGAAGATGAGGAATCCCTCCTGGGTCCAGAGAAGCCGTGAGTCTATATTGTGAGCAATTTCAGACAGTCTCCTCTTGCTTTCAAATGTACTTAATCAACATGAAAAGGATTGCGAGGGCTGGAGCTCTTACAGGTAGAACAGAGAAGAATAATGTTCATAAATCATTTAGCATACAATCCAAACAGAGGTGTATTTTTTTTCTTAAAGGAAAAGGCAATGCCAAAGAAATAGAGCCATATAGGAAACCAAATACATCGTGACTTGTCCCCACATGTAGTGTGTCTCCAAGTAGGGCAGGGCAGCCTGTTTACATCATTGTCATCTGCAATCTGACCCTCAATACTGATTCTCCAGCTTGGCTTCCTCCCCCATTCCCAAAGCTCAGATCAGCAGAGGAGTCAGCACCAAGGAAGGACAACTGATAAAAACAGCTGCATTCCCACCTCCCCCTGCAGCCCAAAGCAGGCACCAGCTCTCTCCCGAGCAGCCGGCTCCACCCTGGGCAGCTGGGCCTGAGCTGGAAGCTGCAGGGGCCAGGAGGGCAGGCCCAGAAGACCAAGGCCACATTCTTCCAGGGCTCAGCTCAGAAAGGCCTTCCCTGACCACCCCAATAGAATAATGCCCAGGCCCCAGTCGCTCTCTGCCAGAGACCTGCTTTGTTTTCCCTTCAAAGCAATTATTACTAGTTTACATTGTATTATATAGATGTTTATTATATGTCTCCAACCAGGATCTAAAATTTATGAGGGCAGAATATTTACATGTGTTGTCAACAGTTGTATTCTCAGCACCCAGAACAGTGCCTGATACATAGTAGGTACTCAGTAAATATTTGTAGAATGAATGACTGAACAAATAAAGGAATACATAAAAATACATCCTTCTCTCTCTTCCAGGTAATGTTCCAGATTGAGAAACCCTTGCCTACTCCGAAGTAGGAAGCTGCAGTTGGGAGTGAGAAGTCTGTGAGGGGTCTCTGCTTCTGACTGTCATTTTGACCCAGAGGAAACTATCCCTGCTTACCAGCCTCACCCTCTCCATCTGCAGAATGGGAATTACTCCAGTGCAAGGAAGGAGAGGGAGGAATCGGGGAACTGACGTTCACTGTCTTCTCTAAGTGCTGTGCACTGTGCTAGGCACCTGACCGACAAGCATCGTCTCATTCATTCCATACACAACCTTCGTTCAAGATTAACATTATTATTCACATGTTATGGATAAGGACACTGAGGCCCAGAAATATAAAGTAACTCACTCAAACTTGCACATATAGAAAGGAGGTTTCAACCCAGATCCGGAAGCCACTTCTACACAACAGGACGCCCCAGTGCAGTTTATCCTTTTACCCCTGTAAAGGACACATCACTCCAGAAGAAAATTCACACTCTGCCCAGTGGAATTTGAAGATCCTGAACTCTGCACTTTCCCAGAAGTAGGAGGCGGGACAGTGAGGGTGACAACTCGTCTTGGTGTGTCTGAAACTTTCCGGGTTTTAGCACTAAATTCCTGTGTTCCAGGAAACCCCTCAGTCCCAGGTGAACAGAAACAGTTGACCTCCCTAAGTGAATGCAGCCATAGCCAGAGACCCTGAAAACTCTGAACCAAAGACCACGGAGTTTTCTCAGAGGGAGCACCTTCTTCACATCTTCCCACAGGCAGTGAAGGGAGGGCCTCGCTGTGCTGCACCCCATGCACACTCATCCAACACTGCACCTGCATCCACATTTGTGCCCACAGCAGAGGGAAGAGCAGGAAGCTTCAAGGCATCATTGCCTTCCTGTGCCCTGAATGCAGGCTTTGGACTCAGAAGAAAAGCATGGGCTCCTTCCCTAAAGGGCGAGATGACATCCCCAAAGAGAGAAGGGCAGATTCCTGGAATTCCAGTCAGTGAGGCTTTGGTTTTAGCCAGACTCCCTCCGACACAAAGAGCAAAATTCAGGACTGCCAATAAGTTCCTAAGAACCACTGGCCCATGGGATGGACTCTTCAGGACTCCCAGATCAAAGGATTCAGAGGGAAAGGTCACCTCTGTGGGATCCTCTTTCTGCACAAGAAGCTGTCCTTCTATTCTCCAGCCAGAGGTTGGCAGAACCTTTACGGCATAGCTTCATTCTCCTGCTGCCAGAGAGATGACCTGTCCAGGGCTCAGTCCCCCACACCCCCACTACCTTGCTTCACCTCCAGTGATGGTCAGCATGCATCCTGGGCCACCTCTGACCTCGAGCATGTGCTGATCTGGTCTTTCTTCTGGAACCAGTGATAAAACAAGAGCAATACCAGCCCAGAACTGCAGCAGAGACCAGGTGGAGGTGAGGGTGGGAGTGAAGAATGACACCAGGGTGGGTATAAGGGTGGCACAGGACATGACTCCCTCCTGCTTTTGACGTTTCTATTTTCAGGGCCTTGGGAGAGGCGCCCTTTTGCCTCTTTATTTGTTTTTCCACAACAAAGATGGCTCTGATCTATATCTTGCAGCCCTCCCTTGTCGTCATCCTCCTCCCCCTCCAGCCTGCCCCATCTATTACTGTGTGTTAGCATGTTGCTTTATGAATGTTCTCCAACTTTTTCATTTGTGTTTTCTGTAGCCATTGGTTCTGTGCCTTCTGAGTTTTCCTAATTTTCTTTCCTTCTTCCTGAGCATGCTATGTCTTTAACCTTCCTCTTCTTTCCTACTACCCCAAAAGCAGAACCCTCCTTCTCCTTCCCAAGCTGACCCCACCTGGTCTCTGACCCTCCATCCCATAGTGATGCCCATCAATTGTGAGTGTGTGTGCGCGCACATGTGTATGTGTGTGTACCTTCAACCTCCTACTTGGGCTACCAGCCTTGATCTACAACATGCAAAATCTACCCAGACCCATAGGCATTATACTGAAGTGGAAAGAACACTGGCCCAGCATACAGGATCTCACCTGTGACACTTCTTGGCCCTGCCTGTTTCAGAGACTTTGCTTCTTCACCTGTAAAGTGGATTTAAAGTCTCCCCACCCTGACTCCCTTAAGTGTTGTGAGGACTAGGTAAGGCAAGAGATTTGAAGTGCTTTGTAATTCATAAGATGGATTTAAAGAATTATGTAATTTTTAAATTATTTTCTTAGCCCTCTGGAATTATATTCCTCCCATCTCTCTCTTCCCTTTCACCACCAAACTTGTGAAAGAGCGATTTGCGCTCACAGCTGCCACTTCCTCACTTCCCATTCTCTCCTGAGACCCTGAAACCCGGATACTGGCCCCACAACTCCAGTGCAGCTGCCATTGAGGTGGCCAAGTACTCCCATCCACCCAAGAAGTGGCCATTTCTCAGTCACAGCCCTCCTTCACTCAACACATCCACAGAATGCAGCACACGTCCCCTCTCGCTCCCTGAACCTGCTCATCTTTGAGTCTTTACTATTTCTGTTAATGGTACCCTTTTCTTCCAACCACCCAAGCTGTATGAATCTTGGAATTCTTATTGATTTATCCCTCATGACCATTCAAACTCTCTTCTACCTCTCACCTTAACCTGAAAACAACCCAGACCCCACACATTCCCACACAGGCACATTTTAAGCCCTAACTGGCCCAATTTCCACATACGTCTCTCATATTCACTTTCTCCTGTCCCATTACCAACATGCTTGCTAAATCCTTCATTACTTCTCACTCCCAGACCATCACATTAGTCTCCTAACTCACTCCTGTCTGCTCTGATCTGCCTTACACATTAGTGTCTGCAAGATTTTTTCTAGTGCAAAGTCTTCTCTTGTTACTCCTTATATCAAAAACTTGCAATGGCTCCTTGTGGGCTATAGAAAAGTGCAAATTCCCTCAGCTGGCATAGAAAACCTCCCAAGACATGGTCCCAATCTAACTTTCCAGGTTCAACTTACAATCTACCTCGGTTCTGTGGCCACACTCCCAGTAAATGAGTGTATTTCAGGTCCCATGACTATGCTCCAAATTTACCTGCCTCAGGACCTTTGCATATCCCTTCTATCTGCTGGAATGCCTGTTTTCCACTGATGCCTATTAGAACTCTACTCCTCCTTCAAGCCCAGCTCAAAAGTGATTCTCATCCATGAATCATCCCCTGGTCACCCCAGGGAGAAGTAATGTTTCCTCATCCAAACTCATAGCATGTTGCCTAAGATACCTTTCATCTTTGCATTACAGCTACTTACATTTGTCCTATCTCCTCTATTAGACACATTCATTACAGAATTCCATTCAGTGCATTTTAAAATCCACAGTAGTGATGCAATCAATATTTGTTGAATTAAAAAAATGGATGACTAAATTAAGTCTCCCTGGCAGTTTTCAATCCAAGGACCACAGGTAAGCTTTGCTTACTGATGGCTGACAACCAGAGGCCTCCTCCTCCATTCAAGAGTCATTTGGCACAGCCAGCCATGCCCCCGACATGCTTATTCCCATCTCTTCCTCACCTCCCAACCACCCATACCCGTCTCCAATCTCTTCCACCCTGACTTGCCACTAAAACCTCTCTCCCCAGGTGCCAGTAGCTTTCATGCCGACAAGCGAAGGAATACTCTCTTATTCTTTCCCTTACTGGATATTTTGGTCCTTGTTTCAGCTGACTCTCATCCTCATCACCAAGCTTTCTACTACTTTGGTTCAGTAATGCCACCCTTTCCTGATTCTCCTCCTAACTCTCCTACCCTCTCTGTGTCTCTTGTGGTTTCTCTCGCATCATGTTTTAAACACAGTTTTCCTCTGGATTCTGCTTTTGTCCACTGCTCCTCCCGCTCTGCACATGCTCCCTGGGAGAGCTTATACACCCGTCATGGGCTAACGGCACTCACATTTCTGTCTCCAGCCATATTCTTGAATGTGTGTATTCAATTTCCTGCTAGACGTCTCCAGCTATATGTTCCATAGATGTTGGAACTCAAGATGAAAAGAAGACAGAAAAAGAAAAAAGGAAAAACAAAGAAGGGAGGAAAGGAAGGGAGGAGGGAGGGTGGAAGGAAGGGAAAGAGAGAGAGAGAAGAAGAATCTATCTTCCAGAAGACCTATTTTTCCTCTTATGTTTCCTGTGGCAGTTGTTGAACCACCACCCCCCTAGAATGAGGTCAAAACTTGGAAGTCTCCCTGGAGTCCCTCCTTTCTCTTACTCTCCCACATACAGATCAGTCCCCCACCCCCTCACCCCCCGCCACCTGAAGATTTTTCCTTCTACCTAGTTCTGGAACCCAGCCCCTCCCTCTCTCACAGCACCACCCCTCAGCCCAGGCCCTCAGGCTCACTTGCCTGCTGTACTACAGGAGGTCTCTAACTGGTTTCCTGGTCTTGCCCACGTTCATCCAGCCTTCTTATACTGCCAACGTGATCCTTCTAAAACACAACCTGTCTAAGTCACTCACCTGAAATCCCTTCATGCTAATGCTGGCTGCAGTTTACTGAGCGCTGTCTTTGCTCCAAGACGTCTGTTAGCTTGTTATGCTGATTAGCTCACTCAGTCCTCACAACATCTCAATGAGGTAAGTACTATGATTTCGCCCTCTTAACAGATTAGGAAATTGAGGCACCAAGAGATGACGTTTTTCGCTCAAGATCACCAGCTCGCAAGTAGCAAAGCAGGGCACCTGGCTGCTTCTCAGCCGCTATTTCATGCTGCCTCTTCAGGGGACCCCACTGGTTAGATAAGAACTCTACGCTCCTTAGCAAGGCATTTGAGGCTGTCTGTGACCTGGCCCTGCCTGCTTTCCCACTCATCTCTTGCCACTCCTTGGACCAGAATCCTGACCTGCTTACTTTTTGCACACACACCACGCTGGTTCATGCCTCCACGCATTTGTGCAGAGTAATCTTTCTACCTAACACCCCCTCCTCTACATTTTGACCTAACTACTCTCTGCTCAAGTCAGGTTAGACGGCACCAGGGCTGGTTCCTGCCAACCTCCTGAACAGCATCAGTCCGAGCCTACAATCCCTCTCCAGTGTGCCCACAGCCCTTGCCCTTGAAGTTTCCTTCTCGGTTCTCCCCCCCACCGCCCACTAGACAGTAGGCTCCTCGAGGGTGGGGACTCTGTCTCCTTTGTCTGTGCGCCTGCAGAGTATGACACAGTGCCTGGAACACAGTGAGTGCCCCATAAATATGCACTGAGCTGAGCTCCATCCCAGCCCAACCAAGGCCCCGGTCATTTCAGATCCCAGATCACCCCGGTGCACAGCCATCTCTTTCTTCCTGGAATTCCCTTAGCACATAGAATCTGTGCCACTCATTCAGTGATTAATTAATCCTGTTCCATCAGGTGATGTCTCCTGCATTGTAATCTTCATTATTATTTAACTTTTATTGTTACTTTTCTTTTCATAAATTGCCTTTCCATTTAGAGGGTAAAGTCCTTGAAGATGGAAGTTAGGGGTTAGGTTACATGTGTATTTTCATCTTTTTAAGTATCTTGTAGATTTTAAGTGCCCAATAAATGTGCAGTGATTTAATTTAACACAGTCTGGGGAAGTCGAGATTGGGCTGCAGTATATGTTTAGGGCAAGGCGTGGCATGAGAGAGAAGCGGGAAGACATATTTAAAAACAGGGGCTACTTAGAGAGATAGAATATTTGGGCTGAAAGGGTTATAACCCAGTCTCTGCTTATCCTAGCTCCACCCCTAGCAAGAGAGTCACCTGATGGCTTTGAAATGAATTTTTACTTGGATGTAATAAAATACAGAGTTACAATTATGAATTCAGAAACAGAGGCCACAAAGTATGCAGAAATGCCAAAAGTATCTTTGCCCTCCGTGATCAAGAAGCTGCCTGCCTGGCCTGCTAGACACTGAGGAATGTGCTGCATGAAGAACATGGTTGTGGGGAAAGAGCCCACCTGGGCCTGGGTTCAGACTTGGCCTTTCACCAGCTCTCCCCCGCTCCCCACCCACCTCCCCGGAAGGGACTCCACACCCAACAATACACTTTCATTAAAAAGAATGTCCAGCCCCACTATGTACCACACACATAAGCAAAATAGACACAGAATGGATACAAAATAAATGCCAAGAACTCAGACCTCAAAAAGGATCCATGATTAAAATATGTATGGAGCATCTTCTGACTCACTCCTTTCTAGGAGTAACATGTAATGAACACGTAATGGACACAAGCCCTGTGCTCAGCACGATGCTGGGTTCTGGGACTACAGCAGCAACAGCAAGAGTCCCTACCTTCCAAGGGTCAACAACCACTGTGCGCAATGCACCATGGGGATACAAGGAAAGATCAGACATGGTGCTCATCCTCTGGGAGTGTACGGTCTTGTTTTGTAAGATGTGTACAGTGTTCTCTGAGAGCCAATCACACCAGACAGTCTCTGCTAAGCACCAAGAACAGGTATACCCCAGGAGCTCAGAGCAGGGTAAGGAAGGGGTAGATTCAGCCGGGCCTGGAGGAGTGGGAGAGAGGATCACAGCGGGAGAAAAGGAGTCAGCAGAGGGAGGAG
Source organism: Homo sapiens (assembly GCF_000001405.40). NCBI lineage: Eukaryota > Metazoa > Chordata > Mammalia > Primates > Hominidae > Homo > Homo sapiens. The sequence goes on along the minus strand of NC_000011.10, from coordinate 125,204,739 downwards.
AAGGACAATAGAAGGCAAACCTTAGAATGTTGCAAAGAGCTGTCTCTGACCGGGAATGTGGCCAATTCACAATTGAAATGGGAGGCGAGCTCCTTTAAGGCAGGTAGGCTTGGAAGAGAGGTCTGGAATTAGAGCCATCGACTTCCCCAGAACTCACATGGATAAAACCAGGAGAGTCCCAGGCAAACTGGGATGTGTCGTTCAACCTGTGACAATGGGATTAAATTGGGAGCTTGAGCCACAGGCCATCGATGACTTTTTACTGAGCGAGCACAGCACTGCTAAATCCACTAGCCATGTGCCACTCACAGTGTGGCCAGGGACCAGCAGCATTGATGTCACCAGGAGCCTGTTCAACACAGAATCTCAGCCCCACACAGACCTGCTGAATCAGAATCTGCATCTTAACACGGTGCCCAGCTGGCTCCTTTGTATTGTACCTTAACATCTGAGAAACACAGCTTTAATCACCCCTTCTCCCCGGAGACTTAACTCCAAAACCAAGGCCCTGCTACCCAACTTGCCACCAAGCCATGAACTACACTTCCTCTTCCAGGAAAGGAGCAGGCCTTTGCTTCTCACCCTGTTCACCTGGTCACTGGGATTCTTTCCCGCTCTGGTGTCTCTGGCATTCAAACAGCTCTGAGAAGGAAATTTGCTTTCTAGGTCGAACCTCTCTCCCTGCCTCCCCCCTCTCCACACGTCTCTGGGGAAGGCAATTCCAGGAGGCCCAAACAAAGGTGCCCCACCCTCTGAGCAGAGGGACACAGAGGCTTGTACTTCTCTCTACTCAGATGGTGAAAGTGAAGCATGGTTTGGGGAAACGAAGCTTGGGAAGAATGAGCTAACACAAGACTCCCCCAGAGATGACACAGAGATTCTGGAGCTCTGAGTTTTACCCATTGCTTCGGGGGACATGGGCACACATGGACACACTCTCCAGGTGCCATGCAGTGAGTTAAAGTGAATCGTTTGCTGACCCAAAGCACCCAGGACTCCAGGCATTTTGCTGGTTGGCTAGTGGAATACCACCCTATCCAGGGCTCAGCCTGGCTTGACTCTGCTCCCAAAAGCCCCTAGAGAGAGCACATTTGGGTTTGTGGTTTGAAACTGTGGACCTCTTTCTGTAGTTGAGAGGGGAAGAATGTCCTCCAAGGAGGGAGAAAAAACTGAGGCCTTGCAGTCCTGTCCCCAAAGAACACTGTACAGCTCTGCCCATTGCCTGGCTCTGCCGCCTTCCCTGAAGGGCCAAGGAAGGGAGACCTACAGGAAGGAAGCGGAGCCACTTGTAATTGTCCTGATGTCCAGACAAGGCAAGTTAAATAAATATTCAAAGTCAGGCATGGTGGCTCATGCCTATAATCCCCATACTTGGGAGGCCAGGCAGGAGGATCGCTTGAGCCCGGGAGTTCAAGACCAGCCTGGCCAACATAGCGAGACCTTGTCTTGTCTCTACCAAAAAATTTTAAATTAGCGCACTTGTGGTCTGAGCTACTCGCGAGTCTGAGGCGGGAGGATTGCTTGGACCCAGCTGGTTGAGGCTGCAGTGAGCCATGATCAGCTGACTGCACTCCAGCCTGTCTCATATAAATAAATATTTAGAGGCCAGAGGTGAGGTCCTAGCCTGAACTCTGTACCTCTTGGTTAGATCTGGGGATTTTCTGAGCAGCATAGTCAGAAGGCCTAGCACCATGGTCCCCAGATACCAGAGATTCCAATAAGAATTAAAATGAAGAGCACATAAGGAAAAACTTACCACGGTGAAATTCTATTCTGAGGGCCATATATTCAGGGACTGCAAATATTTTACCTCATAATGAAAGGTTTTTTAAACTCTAAAAATACCTGGCAGCTGGGGGTAGAGAGGAAAGGTGGGAGAATAGTGAGTTAATTTGCCCATCTCTAAAAAGAAAAAAATAATTGTTTAAATAATATAATCAAACAAAGCTTTAAAAATGCTCTGTGGAGCCTGAAGGGGTGATGAAATTATCTGTCCCAGAGCACTCACCCCTCCCCCCCAACCCACAGCCTCCCCAGAGCCCTAAGAGCACATTCCACGGCTCCTCCCCCTGCACTCCAGAAGGCTCCAATGGAAGGTGGGATGGAGGATGCCAGACATCCCTCGGTGTCCCCTGCCAGTGCTCAGCACTCTGTCGGCCTGGACACCTTGGTGCCAGTTTCAGCCCTTCTGTGTGCCTGGACTTCTTCTCCACGGTGCACCTGCCAACTGCCCAGACCTCTTTGGGGACAGACACTTCACCCACATGGCAGTGCAGCCACCTCATCCCTGGAGGGTATGGGGTCTGAGGGGAGAGGTAAAGAGGAAGGATGGGCTCTAGAAGCCAGTGGTCACCACTCCTTGCCCACCCCATCAGCATTAACATTCCCCCAGGACACACAGCCATCAGGGATAAGGCCCCTTGGTGAGGGGTGCAGGGGGCAGGGCAAGCAAAGGGGCAAGGAGGGTCCCAGCTGCAGCCTGGCTGGCCCCTGGCCCTCAGCATGTCTGCAGCGAGATGGGGGGCTGTCTTGGGGATGCCATTCAGGCTGTGTCTTTTGCAGGAGGGGAAGCCAAAGAAAAACATGTATTTATAACATGAACTTTCCCCCTCTCCTTCCCCTCAGCTAACTGATTAATTAAATGAATACAAAGGCCGTCTTGTTGGGAGTCCCAGCCGCACGGACCCTCTGTGTTTTCTTTAAGCCGGCCTAGCAAACAGGAAACAAAAGGCTTAATTCTGTCTGGCTTCATGAAGGGGGCTGTATGTCACAGCCAGAGGCTGGGGCTCCACCAGACCCCAAGGAGCAGCCACAAGGCAGCTCGTGACCCCCAGCCTCCCAGCCGAGCCCACATTCTTCCCCAACCTAGGCTGATGCTAAACTCACTGGGCTCTTGGGGGAAATGCCTACCCAGCAGGAAAGAAACTAAAAGGAGCCAGGAGTGCCTGAGATAAGGCTCTGGAAGAAAACCTTGAAGGAAGTAAGGCTGAGGAATTTGATCCACATGGCCATTAATAACAGGAGAGAGGGAGGGGGTGAAGTCTGGGGCTTTCCTGATGGTGTCGGATGAAAAATCACCATTTTCCAGCTGGCACACTTCCTGCTTCCAGTGAATCTGTCAGATACTCCTTAGCTTGGCAGCCGCACAGGTGGCGCAATCTTCCTTTCACAGGTGGAAACTCCAGCTCGGAGAGGGACACAGGCAGCAAATCACACAGCACCAGGCACCTTCTCCAGCCAGCCTTGACTCTCTCTCCAGGGCTTTACCTGCTCTTCTGTGGCCATTCCTTGTGGACATTTTCCATATCATCTGGAAGTCCCCAGAACTTTGGAGGGAGGCTGCTTTTTTTTTTTCTACCAAGGAAGAAAGCAATATCTGGGAAGGATGCAGTTCCAGAGGTCACAGAGGTTCTGAAGAGCTCATCAGGCCAAAGGCTCTAGGCATCAGCAGTGAGGGGGCTTCACTCAGAGCTCCCGCATGTCTCCTCTAGCTTCCAAACCCCACTGGAAAGTGGAAAGGAAGACCCCGCTTCCTCTTGGGGGTAGAATGGCCATAACCAAGCAGCAATCTGGGTTCAGCCCCAGCCTAAGCTCTCAGGTCAGAAAGGGTTCATGGAAACCAAGGTCCTGGGAGACCAGTGAGAAGGAGCTAAAATGAGCAATGATGGCACAGAGAAGGTGGCCCCAGGCTGAATCTGAGGACAGTGGTCTGCATTAAGGGATCCCCATCAAGTTCTCTACTTCAGAGACTCACGATTCATTCACCAAAGCTTTACCAAGTCCCTCGATGTGCAGTGTACAAAAGGCAGAGACCCCCTGCCCATGAGGATCACACGGTCTAGAGGGGGAGTCCCTTTGGAAAAGAAGCAAGAGACAGCAAGGAAACAAGGGCCCTGCCTGGGTCATTCACTCAGTTGCTTAACCGTTCCTCATCAAGGGCACTGGGGATGCAGTGACGGTCAACCCAGGCCCTGCCCTTGACCTCCTGGAGCACGTCTCATGGGCAAGTCAGACAATAAACTCCACATCACATAAATACATACGTGACTGCAGACTGTGGTGGCCTTGGTGCAGGAGAAACATGGGCATGGGTGACGGCTGTGGCTTCAGTGTAGAGAACAGACGGAGGGCCAGGGGGAGGTTGGGAACCGGCGGGAGGCACTGCAATGAGCCAGGCAAGCGGTGGCAGAGACTTGGGCTCAGGGGGCGGCATGGTGCATGGAGAGCCATGGTTGGGCCAAGAGTCACACCTTACATGACAGGTGGAATTCACAGAACCTATCACTGGGCTACGAGGAAACGAGGGAAGGGTCAAAGTCAAAGCCAGTGCCCAGGTTTTTGACGGCAGAAACTTGGTGAATTCTGCTGCTATTCGGTGAGATTGGGCAGGTTGGGGAGGCACAAGTTAAGGTGTAGGGGGAGGAAATCAAGCTGGCCTGGTCCTTTCTACTCCCTCCCCTGCCTCTAACCCTTGGGAGGGACTCTCTGCTCATCCCTTTGCCTTATTTCTTCATGGGACTAATGGCTGTGACCATGGAGAACAAAATGCTTTGGCAGTGGGGCCCTCTGGTCCCTGCTCCGGTTACCATCTGGGGGAAAGGCCAGCAGCCAGGCTCTGACATTGTACACTGAAGGCAAGACAAGGTGCTCTTAGCACAGACAGCCCTAAGAGGCCACTGGTGTCACTGTCTATAGATGGGAAAGTGGAATCACAGAGGACAGGAGACACCTGCCCAAGCTTCTGAGCCATGGGTGATGGACTGAGGTGATCTGGCTGCAAGACCAGGGTTCATTCAATGAGTGGATGTTGCTCCTGTCTCGTCCAGTCCATACACATAGCAACGAGAGACCCAGTAAGTTTTGTTTTGTTTTGTTTGTTTGTTTTGTATTTTTGAGACAGAGTTCTGCTTTGTCACTCAGGCTGGAGTGAAGTGGTGCAATCTCGGCTCACCGCAACCTCCACCGCCTGGGTTCAAGTGATTTCTCCTGCCTCAGCCTCCTGAGTAGCTGGTATTACAGGCACCTGCCACCACATCTGGCTAATTTCCTTGTATTTTTAGTAGAGATGGAGTTTTACCATGTTGGCCAGGCTGGTCTTGAACCCCTGACCTCAAGTGATCCACCGGCCTTGGCCTCCCAAAGTACTGGGATTACAGGTGTGAGCCACAGCACCTGGCCAACCCAGGAAATCTTAAGCAACCCAGGAGCCCACATTGCTGACCTGGGAGAGTGAAATATGCCACACTGTTTTCTTTTGCAATAACTGATTTAACTTCCTGAGTTGGTTTTTCTCAGATGGATAATATATTTAATTAGCACTGAATGCATGTGCGGGGCTGGCAGGAGCACCTGGACCTCAGTGAAGGTGAGAACCGAGGAATGTTTTGCCACAAGAAGGGGGTACCTGGGCAATGGTGGGAGCAGCCGTTCTCCCCCTCACTGAAGCTCTTTGACCTCCTCAGAGCAGTCTAGGAGCTTGGGGAGCTCTCAGAGGGACTGGGGCTGGTCAGCAGAGCACAAGGGAAATAACATGCCACCTGGGGCTGGGCTGGGGCAACAGGTGAGATCAACTACCAAAGAGGAGAAAAAAAGGGAAGAAGGCTGGGCGTGGGGGCTCAAGCCAGGAATCCCAGCACTTTGGGAGGCCGAGGAGGGCAGATAACTTGAGGCTAGGAGTTTGAGATCAGCCTGGCCAACATGACAAAACCCTGTCTCTACTGAAAATGCAAAAATTAGCCAGGCATAGTAGTGGGTATCTGTAACCCCAGCTACACAGGAGGCTGAGACAGGAGAATAGCTTCAACCTGGGAGGTGGAGGTTGCAGTGAGCCAAGATCGTGCCACCACACTCCAGCCTAGGAAACAAGAGTGATACTCTGTCTCAGAAAAAAAAAAAAAAGAAGAAGAAGAAGAAGAAGGAAGAGGAGGAGGAGGCGGATCAGGAGAGAGGTGAGGGAGAGGTGAGGGAGTAGAATCTGCAAAAGAACAAAAAATCAGAGGAGAAGCAGGTGGCAATAAGGGAGGGCATCCGTGTCTGAGGGGCCCATAGATCAGATCTATAGTGTTGGGACCACCGATTGTCTTAGAGCAGGCCCCTGTTATCACAGGTCGGAAACTCGAGGAAGTGTACGTAAGAATGAGCCTGCACTGATTATTTTACTACCCTGTGAAAAGCCTGTCTTCCAAATTCACTTGTACTGAAGGAAAATATAGTGAGACACTCAAATTACCTCACTACCATGGAGGGGAATGAAGATATCGAAGGAGAACCTGAAAGCAAGTTTCAAAAGGAGAAATTGTCCCCATGCACCGTCCTTCTTACCCTCAGGTAAAGAGGGGATCCGCGGCTGAAACTGATTGATGGGGTGTGGTGTCGTATCGCCCTCTACCCCCACCTTCGCCTTCTGGCCTTTCTATCCAAAAAGCGGATGGGAGCAACCCATCTAGACACAAAATTCCTTGTCTTCTTCGGGGGAGAAAAATCAGCTATAGAAATGATGGTGGAACATTTGACTTCTCCATGTGAGGATTCCATGCTGGGCTCCTGACACAACTCATCCCTCTGCTGCTCTCTTTTCTGGTCAGTAGATGTGAGAGCCCCAACAAGTCCCAAGAGGATGGGCTACCAGGCCCACCCCAGACTGTGTTGCTGGGAAACACAGACGAGGGACCATCAGCCCTTTTCAAGCTTCTATCCACCAAAGGCCTTGCCTCTGAGGGCTGCCTGAAAGCCCAGCTGCTTCCCTGCATTGGTCCTGCAAGGACAAGGATTATGCTGCTAGTGTGGTTTGCAGGGAGTGACCATTAGCTTCCCTAGGGTCTCTAATCTGCAACCCCTGGCTGCAGTTGTGGCCCAAAGAGGTGACGGCAGCACGTCTGTGTGAAGGGCAGAGTGGAGCAGATACCGAGATGACCCACCCTGAGATCACCAGGACGCCATTCCAGGAGTCCCACCAGCTCTGCACCGGCAGCCGTAGCCAGGACCCTGGGGGATGTGTGTCTTCCCCTTGGGGACTTTCCAGCTAACCCCTACGGTGGCCCTGCCAGAGCCTCAGCTGTGTTTTTTTGTTGTTGTTGTTGTTGTTTTTCCTCTGCTTTGGGGCAGGGAAGGGGTTTGAGGCAGACCTGTGTTGTTACGGGGTCCCCAGAATGGGACCCTCCCAGCTAAGGCCCCAGGAGAGCCTTGACAGGCAGCTGAGGACTCCTACTGAAGACCGGGGCAGAGCCTCTCTTAGGCAGCTCTTGGGCTGAATAATAGGTTTCTGTGGGTCCCCAGGCAAGTGGGAGTTCAGAAAGAGAGATCCCCACTCAGGGTAGGGGTGGCCTGATCCTTGGCTTCAAAGACCTCGTGGGGAGGCTGAGAGGACCTGGGTGGGCAGTCCCGGGGCACAAGCAGCAGTCTCTGGGTTCACTGCTCAGCCACCCCCTAAGCCTGGGCAGTAATTAAATGACTCTGAGGGTCACAGTGGCTGAATTCATTAAGAAATGTCAGCTCCCTCCCATCTCAGATGCAATGAATTACACAGGACCAAGGTATCCATGAGAGTCATCACTCAACTACTCCAAACACCAACCTGCCTCAACTAAGCAAGATCTCTGTCCCCTCAGAGAAGCAGGGGTCCCGGCTGGGGCCGACTCCAACAGCAGCAGCACTCTCTGCAGCGATGGTGACCCTGTGAAATGTGGCTAGTGAGACTGAGGAGCTGACTTTCTGATGTGAGTTCATTTAATGCATTTAAATTTAAGTAGCCACATCGCTTACGGCTTTACCCAATAGGGTAAAATCCAGTGATCCCAGGGAAGTACCTTCTTCATACCCGCATACCAGGCACTACTACAAAGGCCTCTTCTCAAAGTATAAAGCACCAGGGTCCCTGCTCATGAGGAGAGGACCCTTTTATCTTCACTAATCATCAGGGATATTTCATTCCCTGTAGCCACTACAGGACAGCTGTGGTTCTCTACCAATACTTAGAATCATGGAAAATTAACAAGGATGAGATATTGGACATGATCGAGTCCAATGCCTTTGTTCTAATGATGAGGAAATTCAGGGCCAGAGAGGTGAGGCAGCTTGCCCAAGGCCACAGGTGAAATTGGAGCAGGGTTTGACCCAGGTTTGGCTTCATGGCTCTCAGATCTTCCTCCTCCCCTGCACTGCCTCTGAATACCAGCACTCTCTGTGACAGTGGCCCTTCCACCCTTGTCCCATAAAAGTCTGGTTAGCAACACACAGCATGAAGCTTCTTGGTGAGGATGTTGGGAGCTCCCATGATGGAAAGGCTTCCAACCACTTGGGATCTGGTGTATGGGGACAGAAAGTGGGCTCAACAGAAGACGGTGTCCCGGGCTCAGGCCTTGTTTCAGGCCCTATCCTAAGCTATACGCCTCAGGGAGCCCTAGAGAAACCAGCAAAATGTGCAGCCCAGCCCCGACACAGTCAGCACGCACAAGAGTCAGTGACTGAGAGAAAAGATGCACAGACCTCACAGCCCCTTCTCGGGTGCCACGGGAATACACAAGCTCTGGGAAAATGACCATGCTGACAATCCTGCAGGCTCAGGATCCAAGAGGAAATCCCACCTGTACTGTTGCCAGCTCCATGCTTTGTGTGCAAAAGTCGCCCCTCTAAGGATCTTGACACAGATCCCCATGCCCAATGCCTAAAGACAGAGCCAAGCCATGCAGAATGCTGGTTCCCCAGCTTCCCAAGCAGACCCAGAGGCCACCTAAGTGGTGGGGGAGGGGACCGGCCTGAGGCTGTAAACCCAGTGTCCTTAACCTGGAGTTTCTGTGTCTGGGATATTGTCAATGAATTGTGTGTGTGTGTGTGTGTGTGTGTGTGTGTGTGTGTGTGCATGTACATATTCCTTGGGAGAGAATTCATCATTTCATCAGATCCTCAAGGAGGCCATCGCACAAACACTTTAAGAACCCTGACATTCAAAACCAGTGTTGGAGTTGGAGAAATTATCAGGCATTGCCATCTGCCGATGGGACTGCCCCACTGGCCATTTCCCTGGCATCTCAAACTCAGTGTTGTAAAAAGGAGACCCTTGCCCCACAAGAACTTCACTCTCATTTTCATGAGTAGTGTGTCAGCTCACCGAGTCTTCAGGGTGTAGATTTCCCCCTGAACCAGATTTCCAATACCTACTCCATCACCAGTTCTTTCGGTTCTTCAGAACAGCTCTCAAACCTCTCCTCTTTTGGCCTCCACACAAACCAGGACCCTCGACCGTCCCCAAGACCTCCCCGCCTCCCCACTCACTGCCGACTGCTGAAAGTCTTCACCCCTCCTCCTGCTTCCCAGGCCTCCCAGCTCCAAGCCATCCTCATGTTCCTAAAAACTTTTCGTTTTATAATATCACCTACTTACTTAAAAGATTATGAACTGAGGGTAGGAAAAGCACGTGTCTTGAACGAGTAAGCAAGAGGATAAAGGCACAACAGAAAGACCAGATGCTTTGAAGCAGACCAGCCTGGGTTCAAATTCTGGCTCAGCTTCTTTCTAGGCTGAGAATCAGTGTTTATATCTAAAGGTAAGTTTAGGTGGGGTACAATTAAAACACGGTCATAATGAATGCCCTCCTTGAAGAAGCCATGTTTCTTGTGGAGTGGTTAAGAGTTCAGACATGGAAACAGACTCCCTGGGTGCTAGTCCCATCTTCCCAAACTCCTGGTTGTGTGATGTTGGATGGGTTCCTTAAGCGTTCCATGCCTCCATTTTCCCGTCCATAATACAAAAGAGGATAACAATAGAGCCCGCCTCCTAAGAGCGTCAGGAAGGTAGGACCTACATAAAGAGCTCAAAGTCATGACTGGCATGTTGGAAGTGCTGCATACAGGTTAGTTATTATTATCTGGAGGGTTTGTGGTGAGAATTAAATTAGCTGGAGCATACACAGCACCTTGCCTGCAGCCTGGCATATAGTAGGTGCTCAATGGACGGCAGCATCTTTCCCATCACTAAAAATGCGTTGAATGAGTCTGTTTTAACTCATGACATTTTACATTCGTGGCAAAATATCCAAGTGGGAGCACTGCAGCAGCAAGCAGTTTAAAAGGAGGGATGAGGCCTAAGGGACATTGAAGCAAGAGTGGGCCTTTGGGGTCCTCTGCAGTGAGGGGCTCACCAAAACCCCAGGAGAGGCTGAGTGCCCCTCTCTGTCAGCCAGTGTGATCCCAACTCGGGGGCAGGAGGGCCAAGTTCCCCAGCTATAAGGGTCCTGCTGTGAGGACACAGGGTGAGGACCCTCCTGTGAAGCAGGGTGGGGGTGGGGGACTGGGAGCTACAAACCTCCTTGCCTGTGAATCCCCCAGCACCTGCTCAATATCTTCTAGGTTCTCAGGAGACCCTGAAAAGACTCGCTGTGTTATCTTCTGATGAGAAGCATCAGCAAAGACCAGGAGAGGATTATTGCTCTCAAGAAAGGCCGCAATGGGAGCCGGCCTGGGGTGGGGAAGGGGATGCCAACTGCTCTTAGCAAGGGATGACTGCTCTCTCCAGCCCAGAGGGCCCTACTGGAAAAGGAGAAGCATGTGCAGAGCTCTCCTGCCCTGTGCTACGCAACCGCTCTCCACACAGGGCTCAGCAGAGACCAGGGAGGAAGGGCTCGCACAAAGGCATCTAGGTTTGACTTTGGAAAGCCCAAAGACATCACGTTGCTCTTGGTCTTTACCCCTCCTACGGGGCCCTGCCGGCAGCTCAGAGCTTGGAATAGCTCCCAACCAGCCCTTCGATATTGTCTTAGCTGAGGAAGGGCCTTTGCAGTCAGTAGCACACTTGGTACTCACAACACTGTGGGGAGAAATTTGTAACCCTACCCCCATCCTGAAAATGGGGAAACTGAGGCTTGGAAAGCTTACATGGCTTGCCCAAGGCAGCAGTTCTTGAATGTGCTCCATTCCATCCTTAAATCCTTGTCCCCTGCTCTGAACCTCCTATGCCTGCCCCCAACCGTGCTGCCTCTCATCCAGCCCCACGTCTTACTGGTGAGGACACTGGGTCTTGGTTCACATGATGAGTCCCATCAACTCCTGTTCCTAGGTCAATGCCCCTCTCTGCACTGAGGTTACTTTGTCCCTGGGTTTGAGGCAGGGTGGGGTCCAGGTTATCCCACGCATGGGACAAAGCATCCATGCCTCTTGTAATAGGAAGAGTGGCTCTGTATTTCATGCAGACATTTGTAAGTTATAGCCTTACACAGAGAGAAAGAGGCACATAAATTAAAGCGGCCAACTTGTATGCACACATGCACACTGGCACGGACAGAAGGCTCGCTTTAAATGGAAAAATTAGCAGCTTGAAACAGTAAAAAACCTCAACTTTGCCTCAGAAAGATGCAGGGCAACTTCACAGAATTTTATGTGGCCCATAAATTAGAGCCGAGAAAGGGCCTCTGCAGCATTCCTCGGTAGAGAGGGGGCTTTCTGCCGCGCAGATACACTGTGTGGCAGCATTACAAATGTCCCAAGCAGTTTATATACAACAGCACAGCATGAGTTTGCTGGGGGATATTGGAACTGGTAATTGCTATTCTAAAACTGGTCTTGTAAGCTTGGAGAAATGTTTTGAGGGGGAAAAGAGCCAATTTAAGAGCTTTATAAAGCTATAAATGCCTTCTGAGCAAACCAAATGTAATCTATCTAGCGAGACAGGTCGTCCCTCAAACTCAATGGCAGAGCCCACAATGCTGCACAGCTGACAGAAGTGACCCTGAGGGTCCCACCCGGCAAGTGGTTCACCTGTGTGGAGGCGAGGGACTGCCCAGATGACCCCAGGACTGCCTTCAGGTCACCTCAGGGCAGTCTTCCCTGCATGCAAACAGCCCCTCGCTCACTGAGAGCTCACAGCTGGTTTCCCTGCCAGCTTCTTTTGATTTCTTTCCCTCAAAAAAGCAAAACCAAGCCCCCTCGACCTGGCTGGCCGTGATTTCCTGTGTGCCACCCAGATGTCCTTTCCTCCCTGTGGCCTCTGAAACAGGGAGGCTGAGACTTGGGGAACAAGGCAGACAGTCCTCCCACCTGGCCTGGGTTCCCCATCCAGAAAATGGGCAAACACCTCCCTTCCAGGGCTGCTGAAAGAATTAAGAAAATGTATGTAAGCACCTGCCACCCCACACTCAATAAAGGGTGGCTGTTACTATTTCATTGTTGTTATCACTTGTGGGAGGAACAAGTGTGCTCTAAGCAGAAGGCACTTTTGTAGGTCTCCACCTTCCCCAGACCTAGCTCCTGCCAGGCTCCCCCAGCGTCAGGTTAAAGGACATCATTTATGAATTCCCGCCAGCAGGACACAGGATGGACGCTGGCCCAGCTTTCCCCAGGAAACAATTGCAGTGCCTGTTTCCTGACTTAATTTGCCCTTATCTTCCCAAGCTGCCTTCAGACACATTCTTTAGCCGCAGCGCCTGTGAATGAGTGCATAGCTCTGCCCTGGCTTTGCACGGCTCTGCCGGGACCCTGGAGCCTTCTGCCAACCCTAGTGACCAGCTCAGAGCCTCCTCACATCAGTGAGATGTATGAATTTCCCCACGTTTATGGTGAGAAAAAGCGAGACTCAGAGAGACCTGCTGGAATTGGAATAGAAGCCAGATTCCTGCTCCCTCTACCTCTGCCCTCAGCCCTCCCCCTGCCGCAATTCCCCAGCCTGCCCCTCACATCTCTTCACAGTGCCCTGTGCCACAATAATCCCTCTCTCTGCTCAGATGTCGATATTTCATCACAGAAAACAAAAGCCATGTAATGCACAATTACCCACTTTCCATTGTGTTTTAACAGCTCTATTGACAGCGCGAAGCACCACACTGGAGCAGTAGAAAGGGATTCGAGATCAAGCTTCCGGTGAAATGTGGTTTTAGTTATATGTATTTTTGTAGTTTTTGCAACACCTTATTAAAGTTGAAAAGGATATATAACAGCATTACCAGTGACGCTTTTCAACGCCAGTGCAGTCAGGTTTCATCACAACCCAAAGCAAGTACGTCCCGGCCACCTCTGAGAAGGCATTTCCAATGTCCTCATCCAGCCCTCCTGAGCTGGCCACCTCCACTCCACACCGCACCCAAAACATGCACCCCACCCCAACCACACGCCCCACCACAACTTCCCAACAGTGGAATCTAGTGATGAGATGCTCGCCGGAGGCACTGGCAGGTGACTGCACTGTGACGTCTACTGCTCAATCCCCAAATCATGGGACTGTGGTCTTCCCTGACCCGCCACCCCCACCACTTTCTTAGAGTGAAATTATGGTGGCCTAATTGCTGTGGCACCAGAGTTATGCCACACAAGTTTGCACCTCTTGGACGTTGCTGAGGCTGTGCTCCACTCCTGGCTTGCTCTCTTTGGTTTATTCTGCTTTCTAAATTCCTACACACCCTTGAAAATGAATGCAACCCACTCACAAAATAAAATCAACACACAGGCAGTAGCCTGTGGTGACTGGAGAGTGTCCTGGACTTAGAATGAAAAGATCTGTTCTTGAATCCTGCCTCTGCCATCTGCATTAGCTGGGTCTCTTTGGGCAAGTCTCTTGACTTCTTGTCTCTTCATTTTTTTATTGTTGTTTATCTACAAAATAAGAGTATAAGCTATGTTATTATAAGGATCTTTCCAGTCCCAAGACTCCTAAATGAACACCTCTTAAGAATTTCTGGAAAGTATTTATGTTATACCTACTAGGCACTTGGTGCCATAAGGAATGAAAAGATGAAAAAGATGCGGCTCCTGTCCTCAGGAACCTGCAGTTTCACTGTGGAGACAGGCATATGAAAACAAAAAGTGAAATTGCAGCAAATAATTCCAGCCCTAGTTCAAGAAACAATATATGAAAAGTCATGAGGCAGTACATGATTAGATGCCAAATGAATTGTGCAGACAATAATTGCTCTAGGCCAAAGAGTTCAGAGGAGGAGAGAGTGCTGAGGGGTGGGCTGGTCACAGAGCGCTGTATTTAAAAGATGGGAATCCCTGCTGGGCTTGAAGGATGCAGGCACGGATTTGCATCTGTGGTGACGGCCAGAGTGAGAGCCCAGGAAAGTGGACCCTCGAGAGCAAATGTTCACAGGTGGCCATCACAGGGCAGGGTCGGGGGACAGAGTATCAACCAATTAGAGTGGAAATGAGACTTCATGCTGAGAAACCAAAAGAGGGAGACCAAAGCAGAAGCTGGGCTCTAAAGGGTTTTAAGTGCCAGACTAAGATGTTTGATTTGTATCCCATAAATAAGGAACCAAGAGGGTGAGCAGCGGAGTACCGTATTTTGAGAGAATTAATCAGGCCATGATCGCAGAACGAATAGGAAGTAAGTGGCACAAGTATGGACATCAGAGAAAAGGCACTTTCAGTGAGCCAGCAAGAGGTGACAGCATCTCAGCTAGGCTAGTGGCACTGGGAAGGCGGTGACATGCTGGGCACGGATAGGAGGACAGCCTCAGCCTCTGATAGGTGATAGTTTGGTTCACCATTTAATTTATTGCCCAAATTGAGACACTTTTGAGAATGAAAAGAGAAGGCCAGGCGCAGTGGCTCATGCTTGTAATCCCAGCAGTTTGGGAAACCAAGGCGGGCCAATCACAAGGTCAAGAGATCGAGACCATCCTGGCCAACACGGTGAAACCCCATCTCTACTAAAAATAAAAAAATTAGCTGGGCATGGTGGCATGCACCTGTAGTCCCAGCTGCTTGGGAGGCTGATGCAGGAGAATCGCTTGAACCCAGGAGGCGGAGGTTGCAGCAAGCCAAGGTCGCACCACTGCACTCCAGCCTGGCGACGGAGCAAGACTCTGTCTCAAAAAAAAAAGAGAGAATGAAAAGAGAGCTATTAACAGTTATACTAGGACAACAGATTTAAACCAGAACCATCCAGGGAAAGCAGGGATGTATAGTTATTATATAGACCAGGGAAGGAAGGAGAGGGAGGGGAAAGAGGGACTGCAAGATCTCAAGCCTAGAAGACCGAAAAAATTTTGGAGTTGACAGGGACAGGTGGGAGGATGGTGGAAGAAAGTGGCATAGAGTGCAGAGAAAGAAGGATGAAAGTAGTTTGCTTCTGAAAGGAGTTTGCTCCAGTTGCATGGCCAAGCAGATGTTTATTTCATTAAAGAGAAGACCTGCATCTTATCTAAATTATTACACAGATATTTGTTAAATTGAATTGAGACAACAAAGACCTTCTGAGTTTAATCTAAAGACGACTGATTGTTAAGGTGATGGGGCAGGGCTACCCCTCTCTCCTTGCTTTTGTATATATATATATATATATATATATATATATATATATATATATACACACACACACACACACACACACACACACACACATATATATATACACACATATATATATACACACATATATATATATACATATATATATATAATTAGAATTTCAATAGAAGTATCTCTTGGTGGGCTTGTTCCTATCCCCTGGGCCATCTGCAGCCCAGAAAGTCTCATCATGAACCGATAACTCCAATGTGGGCTGAAAACATAAATGTGGCACCAAATGGCCAGACTGGCAGAGGAAACTCAGTGAACCCTGCTCCAAGCTGGATGGAAGAAGCAGGGAACTTAATTCACCTATACCCCTCTTCCTGACCATGGCGCAGCAGATGAGAACAAAAGAAAGAGGAAAGTCAACCCCAAAATACGAAGAGAGCAAAAACGCAGCCTTCTCTTGCCCTAAGTTGATTGGGACTTTTGTGCTTAGGTGTCTTCCATCAGACCATCAGCAGCAACTCCTGCGGTGTCCTGTCCACACTGGGAATTAGCACCAGCACGGGACTCAGAAAACCTCAGGACTTTTCTGCAGGGTGCCACGTCCTTTCACGGGGACTATGTTCCCGGCTCATGCTCACACTTTAAAAGAAAAAAAAAAGGCGGCGCATGAGGAGGAATGTACAGGCCACTAGCTGGGTCTCATATCACTGTCCAGAATAGGATCTTACACACCTCCAGCGACCCAGAAATTTGAGCAGAAACTAACCATTGGCTATGAATTATCCAAGTACCTGTGGCTGCAGTCACTTGATAAAGCTAATCTCCCTGAGAGTGTTGATTACCACCGAGTTAACAGCACGGGGGTTTGCAATAGGACAAAAGTTGCTGGGCCAGAAGCTCTCCTTGAGCTGCAAACAATTTGCTCCCAATCCTCAGAAAGAGTTACCTCTTGGAACCTTCTGATAGAATCAACTCTACTTGTCTCTCAGACTCATCTGTTAACACCAACATCACAAAAGAAAGAAGATGCTATAGTTTGCAGTGGCTCACAACCTTTTTACCATGGCACACTCGTGAAGGTTGCAGCAAGCTCTTGTCAGTCACAGTGAATCCTTGCAGCAATGAATTTCTAATGGGGTGAAAGACTCCAGAAGACATGATCTATCAGAACAGGCTGAGAGATGCAGTACCTTTGAGAAAGCCTTCCCCAGTCCTCCAACCCACCCCCAGGGAGGTTCTGATTCACTCCACAAAGGAGTGTAGTCCTTTCTCCCCTTGAGAATGACTGGATAGAAAACAAGTCCACTCACAAATCAGAAAACTTACCACATACACCTAACTTCCTATGAACACTTACCAGCTGTATGAATCACCTCACTCTCTTAGCATTCATTTCCTCCCCTCTAAAATGGGGGTGTTAATAATAAAAAGCTTGTCTCCAAGGGCTGTTTTAGAATCAAATGAGGTAATAAAAGTGCCTGCAACATAGTAGGAGCTTAACAAATGTTTGGGTTTCAGTTCAGCTGACATTTTAACAGTGTGATTAGTGCTCCCATGAAATTGGTATTTTCTGATTAGTGGGTATTTGCTCTGAGCAAGACTCCAAATATGATTCTCCATCAGGAGAAACCCATTTGTTGGGTAATAAATCAGATGGGTGCCCCCATTCCCACCTGGCCCAGGCCGCTAGGAGTGACCCATTATCAAAAGGGTGGTAGACAGCTAACATCACACTCAGTGGTGAGACAGAAAGCTTTCCTCCTAAGATCAGGAATAAGACAGGATGCCTCTTTCACCTGCTATTCAATATTGGCTGGAAGTTCTAGCCAGAGTAATTAGGAAAAAAAAAAAGAAATAAAAGGCATCCAAATTGAAAAGGAAAAAGTAAAACTGTTTCTACTCATAGATGACATGACCCTGTATATAGAAAATCCAAAAGAATCCACAAGAAAGTTACTAGAACTAATAAGCATTCAGCAAAGTATACAGTTTGTGTTTCTATATACCAGCAATGAACAAGCTGAAGAGAAAATTAAAAATACAATTCTGTTTAAAATAGTATATTTTTTAAAATCTAGAAATAAATTTAACCAAGGAGATGAAAGACTTGTATACTGAAAACTACAAAACATTGCTGAAATTAGATTTAAAGAAATGAAAAGATATACCATGTTCATGGATAGAAAGACTTAATATTGCTTAGATGTCAATACATCTAACAAACAATCTGCAGATTCAAAGAAATCCCTATCAGAATTCCACAGTCTCTTGAAAAAAAACGGAAAAGTTAATCTCAACTTCAAATGGAATTGCAAGGGGCCCTGAATAGCCAAAATAATCTTGAAAAAGAGGAACAAAGTTGGAAATCTCACACTTCCCAACTTTAAATTTTACTGTAAATCTACAGTAATCAAAACAACATGATACTGGTATGGGGATGGACATTTAGACTGGTGGAATTGAGTAAAGAGTCCAGAAATAAAGCCAAACAGCTATGGCCACGTTGATCTTCGGCAAGGGTGGCAAGTCCGTTCAATGGGGAAAGAACAATCTCTTCAATAAATGGTGCTGAGAAAACTGATTTCCATACGCAAAAGAATAAAGTTGGAGCCCTACCTCACACCCCATGCAAAAATAACTCAAAATGGATCAACAACCTAAATATAAGAGTTAAAGCTATGATACTCTTAGAAGAAAATAAAAGTGATAAATCTTCATGACCTTGGATTTGACAGTGATTCTTAGTTATGTCATCAAAAGCATAAGCAACAAAAGAAAAATATATAAATTAGACTTCATCAAAATTGAAAACTTTTGTGCATCAAAGGACAATTATCTATTTATTTTTGTTTGTTTGTTTTTTTGAGACCAGGTCTCTTTCTGCCACTCAGGCTGGAGTTCAGTGGTGCAATCACAGCTCATTGTAGCCATAAACTCCTGGGCTCAATCTATCCTCCCATCTCAACCTCCTGAGTAGCTGGGACTACAGGCACATGCCACTGTGCCCAGCTAATTTTTTATTTTTTGGTAGAGACAGAGTCTCACCATGTTGCCCAGACTGGTCTCAAACTCCTGGGCTCAAGTGATCTGCCTACCTCAGCCTCTCAAAGTTCTGGGATTACAGACATGAGCCACTGTGCCTGTCCCAAAGGACATTACCATGAAGTAAAAAAGAAACCTCCAGAATGGGAGAAAATACTTGCATATTTTCCCTGATAAGGGTTTAATATCCAGAATATATAACGAAGTCCTACAATTCAACAACAAAAACATAAACAACCCAATTTAAAAATGGGCATAGAATTCGACTAGCTGTTTCTCCAAAAAAGATATACAAATGTCCAATAATGAAAAGACATTCAACATCACTTGACATCAGGAAAATGAAAATCAAACCATAACGAGATACCACTTCACATTCTATCTTCACAATGAGATACTATAATGGCTACAATTAAAAAAAAAACAGAGAATAACAAATGTTGGTCAGCATGTGAAAAAAATTGAGATTCTTGTGCATTGCTGGTGGGAATGTAAAATAGTGCAGCTGTTGTGGAAAACAGTTTGGTGGTTCCTCAAAAAGTTAAACATAGAATTACCTAGAATATGACCCAGCAATTCCTCTACTAGGTATATGTCCAAAAGAACTGAAAACAGGGACTCAAATGATACTTGCATATCAATGTAAGTATTGATATGCAATACTTGCAGCATTACTCACAATAGCCAGAAAGTGGAAACAACCCACATGTCTATAAACAGGTGAATGGATGAACAAAATGTGGTATCTACATTCAATGAAATATTATTCATCTATAAAGAGGAATGAAATTCTGATACATGTTAATGGCACAGATGAATCTTAAAAACATTATGCTAAGTGAAACAACCATACACAAAAGGACAAATAAATTATGATTCTGCTTATATGAAGCATATATAATATAGTCAAATTCATAGAGATAGAAAGTGGATGAGAGGTTACCAGGGCAGAATGCAGAGTTATTGCTTAATAGGTACAGAGTTTCTGTCTGAAGTGAAAAAATGTTTTGGAAATATATATGGTGAAGTTTGCACAACTGTGTGAATGTAATGCCACTGAATTGCACACTTGAAAATGGTTAAAATGGCAAATTTTATGTTATGCATGTTTTACCACCAAGAAAAGGACAATAGAAAATATAGAGTGTAATTGTGTAATTTCTTATGTAAAATGAATTGAACTCAGAGAGCCCAACCAAACAAATGAAACCAGACTTCTTTCAAGCTCAAACTCAGTAACTGTAAATGTACACAGGTTTTGCAACAGCCTCGACTTGGGCTGAGGCATGGAGCCACTGGGCACAGAGCTGCAGGGCTGAGGACAAGGAAGAAATGCCAGGAGGCAATGGTCAGGGATGCTGCTTGCTTTCTGCAGAGGTGCTGGAATCAGGTACCTGCAAACAGGGTGGGACTCAATGCTTGTTTATTGAGCATCTATTATGTGCCAGGTACCATACACAAAATGGTAAACAGTGAGTAACCTGCCTGGGGCACTTGTCCTTGGCCTGTCCTCTGAGGGTTGAGCAGAAGTCCCTTGAGCCCTGGACGTTGCCTACCCATCATGATGTCTTTCTTCGTGGTTTGTTTCTGGTTTCAAGCATAAAGACCGTGTAGGTGGAAAAGTATTCTACAGATGCGGGATGGTGTTGCTGTCATTCCTATTACCACTAAGGATTTACTAGGTCTTCTTGGGAGACAGATGCCAGCCTAGCCAGCCTCCGACACAAGGCCAGGAAAGCAATCAGAGGCTCCTGGGTGTGAGAAGAGGTTCTGAGGAGAGGGCAGGGAATGGCAGTCAGCACAGGCAGGTTCCAGAGGCTCCAGCCTCTACCCAGCAAGGAGCCCAGCACTGCAGGCTATGCTCCCCTAGAGCATGCTGCTTTCTTCTTTCCACACTGGTGGGCTCAATGCCCCACCACACAGTAGGGTCTTTGCTCATTATCTTCCTTACACACACTCTTGTTTATGGCTCCCCTCTCTCTATCTATTCAATCCCACCCAACCTTCAAAGCCTGGCTCATGGGAGACAGGGTTTCTAATGGAAAAAGTTTGGATGCAGATGGGTCCAGATTCCAAATCTCAACTTACCAGCTGTGTGGCTTGGGCCTTTGCCATATGTGAAAATGGGGATAGTCATCCCCACATTCCAAGCCTGCTGAAGGGGAATGAGTGTCAAGGGTCTGCCACACCATCCACCTCTTCCAGAAGTCTCCCCTATCCTTGCAGTCCACTCAGTCTGTCCTTCCTCTGAGAGCATCACTCTTGTTAGTGTCGCTCATTTGGCAATGAGTCTTCTCTGTCCTGTAACATCTCTTGTGATGACCCGCCCTCAGGTATTGTGATGTAACTCCTTCAATATCATTAAACTTTCCATGGTTTCCATGCTTCTCTCCCCACTCAAACTGTCTGCTCCTTCATGTAGAGACCAAATCTTGTCATCTTTTATCTCCCTCCATGGTGGCTAGAACACAGTGGGTGCTAAATAAATTGAAAATGTATTTGAGGCAAATGGAGGGTCCACAGGCAACAGAAGAAACCCCCACAGGAAACATATCACATTTGCTCAGAGTAATAGCCCATTCATGTTCTCCACTCTGGGTGTAACCGTTCCCTGACCACACTGGCACTGAATGAACACTCCATTCATTGAGCACATGAAATCTGCTGATGCCCTCAGCTCAGTAAGGTCAACTGTAGTGGCTAATCCAGAAAAATATTCTCTCTGAAAAAAATCATCTCTTTTTGTGAATTTTAGAATGTCTTTAGAAATGGTGTTTATCTTCTTAGTTTAGTGTGACCATTTAAAAGAGTCAATGCAAAAAAAAAAAGTTAATAAAAAAAGAGTCAGTGTCTTATGAGCATAGTTTACCCTCCATTAGAGAGAGGTGGCTCAGAGAGTGTGCTACAGTGGCAGAGGGTAGCTGGCCAGGGATTTAATATGTGTCACCAACGATCCACAAAGCAGGCAAGCTACTGTCAGAAAAAGGATTCATCCTTTGGGAGGCCGAGGCGGGTGGATCATGAGGTCAGGAGATCGAGACCATCCTGGCTAACAAGGTGAAACCCCGTCTCTACTAAAAATACAAAAAATTAGCCGGGCGCGGTGGCGGGCGCCTGTAGTCCCAGCTACTCGGGAGGCTGAGGCAGGAGAATGGCGTGAACCCGGGAAGCGGAGCTTGCAGTGAGCCGAGATTGCACCACTGCAGTCCGCAGTCCGACCTGGGCGACAGAGTGAGACTCCGTCTCAAAAAAAAAAAAAAAAAAAAAAAAAAAAAGGATTCATCGCATGCTACAGCCACCATGTGCCTTGTCCCTTGGAGCTTAAAGGACTTCCCCAGCCTATTGAACCAGGATGTCCCCTGGGCTAGGAGCTGGGAAAGCCTGGGTGCTGATCAGCAGTGGAGCTTCGAATGAGTTACCACCTCCCTGGGCGTCAAGGTCCTCATTTCAGAGAAGGCCAAATTAAACCAGAGGCTCTCCACGGTCCCTCTTGCAAGTTTCATTGATTCCAAACAGTAATGAGCCTTCCTATTTTCCAGAAAGTCAAATAAGCCAGGGAAAGGGGAAAAAGACACACTTAAAGCCCCAGGATTCTGGCCCTCAGCCCAGCCTTGAAGGCAGGGACAGGAGCAGTTCTCCAATCTATACCTCTGTCTCCACAAAAAATCCAAGGGTCCTTCCCCAGGCCCTTCTCTGTAGCTGCTGGCAGGCCAGGACAGTGCTATGAAATGGGCCAGGAGCCATGAATTTGGAGGAGCTGGGGAGGCCAGTTTCACAACCCAGCTTTCCTAAGAGAAAGAGGCTATTTCTTCCCATCCAAACCCAACACTGGGAATAAATGTAATGGCTCAGATGGCTGAGCCTGTTGTATGTAACATCTGTAATATGCCAGGTACTTTATTTGCCTTGGACCATTGAAGTCCCAAAACAGCACCATGACATAGTTATTACAGTCCCCACATTTACAAATGAGGACACTGAGGCTCAAGTTAAGACATTTGGCCAAAGTTAAGGTGATAGTACACAGCCAATGGGAGATTTGAACCCTGGTCTGTCAAAAGCCAAAGCCCTTTACCTTTCAGCTAGATCTTCCATAGACATCTATCTGCCTATCTCTGGGGGATTCAGCCACGTAGAAGGAGCAATGGGACAGCCTTTAGTGGGTGCATGAGCCTTCAGTTCCATGACATTCTCTCCCTCTCTCCTGACTCACAGGGCAACCAACTGCCTGCCCAGGTTAGCTGGGACTGGGGGGACCACAGAAACAGACTTTCAGTGTGAAAGTCGTTACAATCCTGGGCAAACTGGGGTGGTTAGACAACCTCCAACTGAGACTTCTTTGTGCTTTATGGCTCCAAAAGAAAGCAAATGTATTTTTAGAATGCAAACATAATTGAGGGACATTATCAGTAACTCCGCTGAGGAGAGCAGCTTTAGGCCTGTCCCCTAAGTGCAGCCCCAAAGAGCCAGGTCACACAATCAACAAAACCTCTGTGTCCCAGCTCTAAGCTAAGACTGAGGGTAGCCAGTCTGGGTTGAACTGGGAATTTCGGGAGGTGGACAGAGAAAGGAAGTCATCTGTAACTGAAGCCAAATGGGCCAGATTCCTTAAAAACACTGAGCCATGAAATGCTGATTGCACCCCCATAGCATGGGGTTACTGGCCCATTTTACAGATAGAGCAGCCATCTTGGCATCTTGGAGACCATTTAGAGGATCTTCTCCGAATCTCCCAAACATTTAAGAAGGCTAGATCCTGAGGGGCTCACCAAGAGATTCCTCTCCCAAACTAGGCAAAGCCCCCATGACACAAGCACATGGGGAACTATTTCTATGGGAGACAGAGGCCAGGCCAGTGCCAAGTCCTCCTCCCAGCCCTCACTGGGCAGCTGGTAAACGACGTTGTTCAGGTCTGTTGCTCTCAAATGCGTGTATTAAGGGAGGAGACTCCTCCCTACCACAAGTCCCTCATTGGACACTCCTAACCACTGTTCCCTTCTACCTAAGGATGGAAAACCAAGAGGGCAAAGCCTCTCTCCTGCTATCCAAACATTCTGCTTCCTTCAGGCAGCACTTCCTCCAGGAAGCCATCCCAGACTACTCCAGCCTGCAGTGTAACCTCCTCCCTTGACCTCACTCTACTGTCTCGTAATGCATCTCACATTCTTGTCTTGTGCTATTATTTCACTTAATGTATAAGAGGATGAGTGCTGGTGAGAGAACACCTGGGTTTAAATCCTGGCTTCTCCTCTTACTAGCCGTGTGGCTTTGAACAAGTTGCTAAACCTCTCTGTGCCTCAGGTTACTTAAATGTGAAAGAGGTATGGCAACATCCCCATAGAGTCATAGTGAGAACTGAATAAGTTAATAGGCATAAAGTTTTCAGAACAGTGCCTGGTATGTGGTAAGCACCAGTTAATGTTTGCTAGCATTATTTTAATGTTAATATCGATGTCAGTAAGCATTGTCTCCCTAGCTAAACTAGAAGTTCCTGAAGTGCAGGACTAGAATCTGATACTTCTTGCATTCTCCACCTTAGGCAGACTCTACCAAGTCAGAGCTAAATAATCATTTCCTGTGGATTGACCTTGACAGAAAACATTCATTTTACCTCGTGGGAGAGAAGTATGTCTGCCTGTCAGTTGCCAATAGCTGCCTTTACCAACATCCCGCAAGGTGGCCCAAGGAGCAGCAGCAGAGATCTTGGAGTGAAATTACAGCCCCTCAGGCCATGTGGCCCCAGGAGCAGAACACCAGGAAGCTGGAGACCACAGAGCAAACCCCCTTTTTCCCCAGGAGCTGTGTCATGCAAAAAAAGCCAAAGCTTCGTGAAGAGTCCTGGAGTAAATCCCAGAGGCTTTGGTTCTCATTCTGGCTCCGAGCTCTGTGACCTTTCACAAGCCCCTGAAGTACCTCCCTGGGCCTCTGTTTACTCAGTTGTTAAATGAGAGAGTTGCTCAAAGACCAATGACTTAGTTCCTTCCAATTCTGACATTCCATGAGTCAATTTCAGAGTAAGGGAAAAAGCATCTTTGAATGAACCTGACACATCATTTCACCAACAAACAGCTCTCCCCATTCATTCACTCATTCATTCATTCCACAAACATTGCCTGGGCTTTTACTACAGCCAAGTACTATTCCGGATTAGAGCAGAGGGGGAAGAAAAGAGACAGAAATCCAACAATCGCTCTAAAGAAAAATAAAGACGGAAAGGGAGAGCCAGGGAGGGGACAAAAGGGATTTCATTTTAGATGGGAAATGAGGAAAGCCTCATTGAGATGATGATATTGGAGGGGAAATCTGAAAAAGCAAGCAAGCTAGCAAGCCACGCAGATATCCAGGGAACGATGTTCCGGGCAGAAGGACCAGTACACGCGGGGGCCCTCAGGCAGGAGCGTGCATGGCTGTTTCAGTTACAACAGGGGTGTCTAGAAGGCCCGTGTGCGTGTAGTGAGCAGGACAGTGACAGGACATGAATTGGGGAGGAGGAGATTCAGCCATGGGGAGGACTTTGGCCTTTATTCAATTACAAATCCAGATCATCTAAGCTTTAACGTCAATGAATTTGATGCCATTCACATATATGCTGAGGGCAAAATACCTAATGCATTTGTTCATTTTTACCTCCACCCCCACCATCATGGATCTGCAATCTATTTATAATTTTTATTGTCATTATGCTCATTTTGGGGCAGAAAAACTGAGGCTTAGAAACATCTGTCTCTCTGTCCAGGACTATAGCCAAATGTTGGCCTGGTCTCCATTTCAGAATCTCAGACTCAGTTTACCCACCTCTCCCCACAGGTGCAGCCCTGCTTCAGAGTCAGACTCCAGGGGTTCTCTCGCAAGCTCCTCTGAGGCACAGCTCAGTGACTCGCGCCTGACCCGCCACTCTGCCCCAGCACCCCAGCTGCCTGTCAGCTCTTGCAGGCACAGCCCTTCCTCCCTGCCGGGGGGCCTTCAACTCTATGCTCCCCCTGCCTGGGACGCGATTTTTCTCCCGTCTTTTCTCAGTTTTGCCGTGTCTCCCTTCAGGCTCACCTCAAACATCACTCCCCAGGGAGGCCCTGCCCTGCTCTCTCTGGATAAAATCTTCCTGTTGAAGAATGCTCCCACAGTGTTAGGCTCTTCTCCTCAAAGCTCGTATGTCATTCATATTCTCACATTTATTCGTGTGATTTTTAAAAGTAACGTCTCTGTTCGCCATCTAACTGTGAACCCTAACAGGATAGAAGCCACCTGAGTTTGCTCACCTATATATCCCTGGCACCAAGATAATGCTGGGCACATGCTCAGGATACCTAATAAATACTTGAGGAATAAGTGAATGAAAGAATGAATAAATCCTCAGGCCTTCTGTTCATTGAGCCCAGGGGACACACGGTGGGACAAACACAGGGTTCACTGGTTGGTTCTACGGGTGTGGCCAGAGCCATGAAACACACGGGAGAGGGCAAGGCTTGAAGGGGAAGGACCTGCGCCATCCGAGCCCGACACCACACCGTGCACTTTACACGGGCTATCTCCTTTCATTGTCCCGGCTGCCACCTGAGTTGAGAATTACTGTACCAACTTACAGATAAGAGAACTGAGGCTCAGGAGGTACGTTTTCCTGGGTCATATCACAAGTGTTTCTGTAGTTAAGCCCAGTCTTTGATTCTAAGGTCTATGCTCTTTCTGCTCTGACCCAACTGCCCTGCCCTGGGCAGTTTCTTCCTCTCTCTTTCTTCCTTTCTCTCTTCCTTCCTTTCTCTTTCTTTCTTTCTTTCTTTCTCTCTCTCTCTCTCTCTCTCTTTCTTTCCTTCCTTCCTTCCTTCCTTCCTTCTTTCTTTCTTTCTTTCTTTCTTTCTTTCTTTCTTTCCTTCCTTCCTTCCTTCCTTCCTTCCTTCCTTCCTTCCTTCCTTCGTTCCTTCCTTCCTTCTCTCTCTCTCCCTTTCTTTCTTTCTTCTTTTTTTTTTTTGAGACAGAGTTTCGCTCTGCTGCCCAGGCTGGAGTGTAATGGCACAATCTCGGCTCACCGCAACCTCCGCCTCCCGGGTTCAAGCGATTCTCCTGCCTCAGCCTCCCAAGTAGCTGGGATTACAGGCATGTGCCACAATGCCTGGCTAATTTTGTATTTTTAGTAGAGACGGGATTTCTCCTTGTTGGTCAGGCTGGTCTCGATCTCCCAACCTGAGATGATCTGCCTACCTCGGCTTCCCAAAGTGCTGGGATTAGAGGCATAAGCCACCACGTGCCCTGGGCAGTTTCTAACCCTCTGCCACTGATTTCCTGTGTGGCCTTAGGTAAGTTACTGTCCTTCTCTGAGCTTCAGTTTCCCCATATATAAAATACAGTGGTTGGGATGGATGGATGGAGGGATGGTTTCACGTGTCCTTTCTAGTTCTGAGATGTTCTGACTTGAAGATTCTATGCTTCTAAATTTATAAAATCAAAAAATGAGCATTAAAATACCTCGCTCAATGTCAAAACACAGTAGACAATTCATAAATGTTCATTTCCTCCCTCTCTCCCTCCCTTCCTTCCTACTCCCTATTACAAAGATTCTCTGCTTCACAGCCCTCCTTGATGCCACCTATGCTGTCTGGTTCTTCCAAGACACCCAGAGCACTGCTTCCCCTGCTTCTGCGAAGCCTCCCCAGGCTCTGACATTGCTGTCCCAGCCAGCTCAGGATCCTTAGTCAGCCATTCTAGCTGTGCTCCCCAGAGAGGCCCACAGCCCACAGCCTTCCCTGCTTGCACTCCTTCATGCCTCCTGCCTCTGAAGGGGTATCTGGGTCCCATGCAGCACTGTGGGGAGAGAGACGGAAGTGACGGGAAAGGAACTCATGAATATGAGAACCCTCTGAGGCCAGGACTGGAGCAGGATCTTTGCTGTTACCTCACTGAATCCCCTGCACAGGGACATTGCTACTCTCATTTCACAAAAGGGAAGAAACTAAGGCTCAGACAGGTTAAGAAGTTGCCCAGGATCACATAGCCAGCAAGCAGCAGAAGCTGGGCTTTAACCCCTGCCTGCCTGACCCCAAAGCAGGTACATTTTGCTAACTCTGAGGATGCCCAAACCCTAGGCAGGAGGCCACTGGCTTTCCTTTTCACATCCGTGTAATCGTGGATTTATAGCCCTTGTCACTTAAGCCCATCAGTCTCTCTCTAACCTCCCCCGCTGCCTCTCCTCGCTGCCCCCCTCCAAATTACAAGACTGCAAAATATTCACAAATTTTCCTCAGTGTTTCCAAAGGGAAGATACAGCCCTGGTCACTGCACCAAGTCCTCAAAAGACATTGTCAAGTTGACTCCCTCCCATGTAGGGGAAGAGGCCAGATCTGCCAAAGACTTTTTGTAATAAATATAGTCCCCCTGTGGCTGGTGCTGAGCAAAATGGGCTGAGTCATTTCTACCCCCGTCACAGCTGCTGCCCACGAGGGCTTTCCAGAAATCAGACTCAGGTAAGACGTGAACATGAACATCGCAAGGTTATCACCAGGACCCTAACTGGGGCTGTAGGAAGAATGCGGAAGGGATGCCTGCATTTTCTAAAGCTCCCCTGAAAACCTGTCCTCAAGGAGCATAGGATGGCAGAGGAGGGGGACAGGGGATGTGGGAATTGCATCCTGCTCTGTGATGCAGCTGACTGGGAAGCTCGGATGAGAGCACAATCCCTGGCAGCATTCTCCTGGTGCCCAGCTGTCTTCCTCTCACCTTGTTCAGTCCTTGCCTGGGATGGAAAAGAAGATGCTGGGGAAGAAGGGGTTGGTCAACTCTCTCCCCAGAAAGGGCCCCACAGGAGGGACAAAACTCAGCATGAGGTCAGGCCAGGCCAGCCCAAGGTGACTAGAGTTCATGCGCCTACTCTTACCTAGTTCACGGCAAGTCTCCCTTCATGCCTTAGCTTAAAGCTCACTTCCTCCAGGATGTCCTCCAAGATCCTCCCAGACCCCCACAGTAGGTCATGCTCCCTGTTGAGGCCCTCACGGCTTCCTGGACTTCTGGGTGGCTCTTGTGGTTTAACTAATTACCCACGGAACTTGAACGTCTTCCTCTCCCATGATCTGTGAGCCCTCCCGGCAGGAACCCATCTGTCTAGTTCACGGTCATATCCCTAGCGCCTCCGCAGGGTCTGACACAGAGAAGACACTCAGTAAAAATCTATCTAGTGAATGTGACTGGCAAGGAGGGAGTCAAGGCCTGCTTCAAGCCAACAGGACCTGGCAGAGGCCAACCCCCTCCTCACCCCAGGCCCCTGACAGCCTCCCACACTGGATTAGGTGGGAAAACCTACTTGAGAACAACCACGAGCACTTTGGAGGCCCCAATTCCGGTTGGTTGACTCTAAGCTTGAATTGGCAAAACCACCGGGCGCTCAGGAATCCCAGGGGAACTCACGCCTGCCCCAGCCACAAGGAAGTCATGGAAAGCCACCCTGCCAGCTTTGAATCACCCAAACATGGCTGTCATCACGCTGTGAGTGAGTATGAGAAGGCGTGTGAATTTGTGTGTATACTCTATTTTAAACTAATAAGAAATATATAGTCTGTGCCAACCAATTTTCTCCCCCACGTATTACATGCAAGTCACGGTGTAGGCGCTGTCATTTATGTTTATACAACATGTATAACACATCCACATACATCACCTCACTTAATCTTCCCATCTTCCCCACAGCCCCGACAGTAGGTGTTATTGCCACCAGTTGACTGATGGGGAAAGTGAGGCCAGCTCTGACGGTCCCACAGTGAGCACAGGGCTCTACCAAGGCCCACACCCATACCTGTTGCTTGTTCTACACTGGCCTGCCTCACTCATAGCTGGGTGACCTTGGGCAAATTCTCTTACCTTCTCTGAGCCTCACTTTTCTTCTTGGGTCTACAGCTATGACTCAACAAAATAGTGGTGACAGCCCCCAGCACAGGGCTCAGCACAGAGCCTACCACATAGCAAAGGAGCCTCCACTCGTCTGTGGCCTTCACGCTGGAGGTCCTGCACAGCTACCTAGAAATCACAGAGCTCAGGGAACATCCTTCTTCTGCCTTTACCTGCAAGCTAGCTGTGGCAGCCTGTCTCCCCAGAGCCCAGTTCCACCACGGCCAGGTCAGGGCCACCAGAACCAGGACTCTGTGCAGCAGAAATGCTGGGAAGTTCCCATTACCCCTGCCAGCAGCCAATGGTGCTCCGTGGAGGACTGCCTGGGATTGAAGCTCTCCCTCCTTCCTTCCTTCTTTCCTTCCTTCCTTCCTTCCTTCCTTCCTTCCTTCCTTCCTTCTCCTCAAACCCAGTGGAAATGACTTTGAAAAGTATTCCAGGAGACCAGACGTCCAGCTTGGAAAGAGGCTCCCCCTACAATCTAGAAGTCAGCAGGAGTTAGCAGTCCCCCATCTTGCTGCCATTAAGAGGCTCTCATGAATGGAGGTGACTTCTCAAGGGGTGCTATGCCAGTGCCGGAGACTAAGTCAGGTTCCTTGGAAACAGGCTTCAGGGAAGGCTGGAGGAATCCTTTCGAGCTCCTTGGCTTTCCTCCAGAATCTGTCTCACAAGTCAAGAGGGCCCCAGGGGACCGCTGCCCTACTATGAAACCAGTTGTCTCCTCCCAGAGCCGGTGGGTGGGGGGCAGAGTGGGAGAGGGGCCGGGAGAGGAGCTCCTTCCACCACCGCTATTTGGGCCACAGGGGAGCAGCGGTCTTGAGTTCCCACTCTGCCAGGCTCTCCTGCCTGATTTCTGTCCCCCTGACCCTCCTGGAAGCTGGGGGACTCTGCAGGGTCCCTCTCAACAAGCACTCTCCCGGCCCCTGCAGACAAATAAATGAGGCCAGCTACCTCTGCAATATATCTTCCCACCCACTCACCTGCCTACAGGTAGACAGCCTTCCCACTGCTGGGCTAGGTGTTCTCTGGTGTCCTATCACCTTCTACAAACTCATGGTGCCTGATGGACCTCGCATGTACAGCCCAGACAGTCGTAGGAGAATAGACTTGAAAGGGGCTTGAAGAGAGCCAAGGATAACCTGCTCATTGTATAAAATGAGGATTCTGAAATCCAGAGAAGTTAAGAGATGAGTCAAGGTCATATAGCTTGTTCTCAATTTCACATGCGTTTTGTTTGGTCTCCTCATCAAAAATATGTAGCTCCTAGAGGATGAGGCCACTGAGTGTTCCCCACAGCATGCTAATGGGCACTAATTAAATAGTGGGTTCAGGCCACACCTGTTGACAGGTGGATTCTTAGGGAGGAAATGAGAATGAGAACAAGCACCTGTCGCCCCTGGGCCCGGGGCATACACTTGACTCTCTGGGCGTCTGTCTCCCTGCCCTGGACCTGGAGATAGAACTGACAATCTCCACAGAGGAAGGTCTCCTGGGAGGAAGGCAGGACAGCTCCTCAGAAGGAGGGGTCACATCACATTTAGACCTAGCACAGGACTTGGTACAGAGGAGCATCCATTCCTTAACAATGCACTGTGGACTGAGGACCGTGAGGGGAAGCTCTGGGGTAGGGCTCACTTGCCACTACTCCAGCACAGACCCATTGTGCTACGCTGGAACCCAGAGAGCCTGTGCCCTCCCCTTACCTAATAGGAATTAGACAGATGCTACCACTAACGGGCTAAACTCCCCTTGGTGTTTGTCGGCTTGACATCTGTCTGGATTGTGAGCTGATGACCACGGGCACGAGCCCCCGAGGGAATTCTTTCCACCCAGGGGTCCAGCTTACACCTGGGCTGGCAGACCAAGGCCACACTGCAGCCTCGCTGCCCCCACTCATAGCCATGAGATATCCCCTGCTCCTAAATCTACCTCTGCCTCTTAGTGCGGGCCCTCCCAGCCCCACCTGAGACTGAAGACTTTGTGGAAGTAAAAAACAGATCTTCTAGACTTTGGTTTTCACAACAGTAGCTCTTCCCAGCATTTGCCAAAGATTCGAGTAATGGAGGAGATGAGTTTAGCTGGTTCTTTTATGAAAGATCTTGGGAGAGGACTAGGTAGAGCTCAGGAATGGCTTGTGTTGTCTCCAGAAGGCTAAAGGAAGAACCATCATCATAGAAGATAAGCCTGGGCTACCCTAAATAATGTGCTCCATTGCTACACACAGACACACCTGCACCCACTTCCTGGACCTGCCACTTTAGCCACTCTCTGAGCCCCAGTTTCTCTTACCTATAAAATGATACAATGCCCATTTTACCTGCTTCACAAGGCTAAGAGGATCACACAAGGGCATGTGAGAATGAGCTTTATTAGGACAGAAGACTAATATTTATTCAACATGAGCTTGCCATGTGCCAACCACTTACAGATGTTTTCTTCCAGAGTTTTCACAGCAGTCTTAAATATGCTTGGTAGTATTATTATCCTCACCTATAAAGCCAAGAAAACGGAGGCTCAGAGGGGTTAAGTGATGTGCACACTGCTTAGCTGTAGTAGAACCAGGGTCAGAACCCAGAATCTGACTCCAAAGCCTGTGTTCCTTCCCCTAGCCCCACGCTGTCTCAACAAGAAAAGTAAATGCTGCTTTTTATGAAGAAGCCAGTGAGTTTTCAGACTGAAATTGCTGCCTCATGGAGCCATCCCCTATCGCTAGGAACATCCATTTGTCCCAGGCAGGCCATCAGAAGGGTCAGAACCAACCCCTAGGCCCCCACTGTCCTTAAGACTCTATACCACAGGGGCCAAGCCCCTGCAGTCTGTTGAATGTCATCATGATTCTTTGCTCGGATTTGTGGCGGTGGCGGTGGTTTTAATGATTGCCTAGCCACAAAGCCACGAAGCAATCCAATTGGGAGGAAATATGGAATCATGGAACTTTGAGTAGAAGGGGACCTCTGAGAGCAAGTTCAAGCTCCTCATTGGATAAGTGAGGACACTGACATCCAGAGAAGGTAAGTCCCTTGTTGAAGGTCACACAGTCAGTCAGTGGCTGAGTCCACAGTGGAATCCACCATGCTCAGACTACCAGTCCCCCCTTTCTCTCCACCATCCCGATCACCCTGATATCAATCAGCTTCATGGTTCCTGAGATGGAAGAGGGCTGGATGTGGGCCTATAGTCTCTGCTCTCTCTGCTTAGGGAAAAAGGGGATCTTAGGTAAGAAAGCCATGTTGCAACCAGGAGTGAAGTGATTTGTTTGCCTCATGCACCAACTCATTGGTCTAAGTTCTACCCATTGAGAAGCCAACGTGGAAAGGTCTGCTCGGAAATCCCTCAGTGTGTAAGGGAAACTGGACCCAAACAACAAGGCCTTACCTGGTGCTCCTGGGGCAGGGACAGCCCACTTCTGGCCACCTGGGATAGGTAGAGGGGGCTAAGCTCCTCCTTCTAGTCCAGGCTGCTCCCTTGCAGTCCCCAGGACAGCGCAGAGCACCATGACCTAGGAGGCTCATGTTTCATGCCCCCACTGGCCAGCCGCTCAGCCAGTCCTCCTCTAACACTCTGCAGAGGCTCCCTTCCTCCCAGAAGTCTGCCCTGTGACTCCACTCTGTCCTGGTCACTCCACATCCTGCCCCACTGTTGTCTCCTGTGGTTAACACCTGGTTGGTGGCTTTTTCCACGTCACCTCTCTGTCCATCATCTCTCAGGTCTGTGTATTGTATGTGCCCTCTCTACTGTTAACCCCAGACACCCCTCATCCCCAAAGTGTCCTCAGGGTCTGTGTACCTGTTTTCTACTGCAGCCTCTGCCAGGGCTGTGCACAGCAGGCAGCACCAGGCCACAGCATTGACTGGCTATTTGTGCAACGCTGGTTGAAGACGCCAGTGACCTGGAAAAGGGCCCAAGCCAGGTTCTGGGGAAGCAAAAGGAAAGGGAAAGGGGTAATCCTCCAACTGGATCATCAGCTCCAACATAACATGACAGAGGAGAGTCAACCATGACTGAGCCTCTCCTCTGTGCCAGACACCGTGCTAGGGACTTAACAGATGCCCCTCAACAGTCCTGTGAGCTATGTGCTTTTACTTCCCAATTTACAAATGGGGTAACTGGATCGAAGATGTTAAGCAACTTGTCTAGATCCATATGACAGGTAAAGAGCAGGGCTAGGCTCTAAATGAAGTTTTGCCTGATGCTAAATAAAGCCCATACTCAACACCGCCCCCACCACAAGCAAGCTCCTTGAGGACAGGCTTCATGGCAATGTCTTGGCTTTGTTTTTGCTGCTGTCTCCTCAATGCCTAGGACTGTGCCGGGGACACAGAAGATGCTCTATAAATATTTGCTGAATGGAAGAACAAAGGGAATGGGTGAATGCCATGCTGCCCCTCCCCAGCAAGGCAGGACACCTGCCCATGATGCCCGATTACTGGGTTCTATTTCCAAGAATCCTCAACAACTATTTGTTCCCTCTCTACTAGATTTGGGATGGCGATGTGAGTAGAGATGTAAATTGAACACAAAAGACTACGTCCTAATGAGGTGGAGGATTTACAAGCCTCAGTGCCCTGTGACCTGCTGCTTCTGTGGCCGCTTTCTGGCCCATCTGGATCTGGCTCCTCCTCCACCCCAGCCTCCCCCCTCCCCCACTGGGCACCCCCACTGCCTTGACTGAGCCGTACTCAAATTGGCCACGTTCCTACTAAGCAGAAAACTAACAGTTACCCCACCCACCCCGGCCCTATCCGAACTCTCCAGAGTCTGCTCTGGGCCCCAGGGCCAGCTGCTTTTCTCCACATTCCAGCCAAAAATAATACAAGAACGAAGCTGTTTGGTGGAGACTTAATCTAATCTTCATTGCTTCAGTTTTAAAATATCCTGCCTGGTTTAGGGTTTCTTATTACACACAGGGATGTGTTTTTAGTGAGATAGGTCTTAGCAGAAACGTCCTTCTTGTAATTAGAAACCCAGGCAGGCCGGGCCTGCAGTGAGGCATCCAAGCCAAACAGCAGATCCCCTTGAAGACAACGCATTTGCAGCAAGCTCTTCTCAAGCTCTGCTTGACCGCGTGAGATGAACTGAGCTGTCCCGGGCTTGCTTCTCCCTCTCTCCTGGGGGTTCTGGACGGGAGGAAAACCTGGAGTTCAGGTAGAAAGACTGTGCCCTCCAACTGTTGCTCTCTCAACCCCCAGCCCTGTCTCCCACCCCCAATCAAAATGGAGACTAAGATGTTGCCTGTGATTGGCTGAGAAGGAAATGAGGAGGAAAAATTACCCCAAGGAATCCCCAAAGACTAGGGAGTATTAAAGACAAGCATTCCACCAGAGCCGCGTCTCCAGGATCAGAGCTAGCTTTTACAAATCAGACACCGGAACAGAAGGAGTCTACGAGCGCACACACAGTTTTGTGTAAGTGCCGGGTGTAACTTCTTGGGCTTTCTGGCCCAGAATCTGCTTTGATCTGCCAGCAGAGACTGCTAAGAGAGGTTCAGGCCGTGGCTAGCTGCAGACCAGCACCCAACCCCCTCAGCCGACCAGATGTCACACACACACCAGTCAGGGCTCAGGCCTTGCCTTCCCAGTGGAATAAAGAGAAGGGGCTGCATTTCTGATAAGTCAGATTCTGCATTCGTCTGATACAGGACAGCTATTCCAGGTAACACCATTTGGAAGAAGCGGGCTGGATCCCCCAACTCAGCCAAAATTGCCCCTCTTGGTAAAGTGTAGATGGTTTTTGGAGTCACAGCAGGCCTTTCAAATTCTAGGATGTAATGCAAGGCAGGAATTCAGCCCCTTTACTATAGCCTAAGAACTCCTGAGAGTTGTGGGGAAGGCCCTGGAGCCAGGCGAGGAAAGAAAACACACCGAAGAATGTGACTTTGCTGCTGAGAAGCCTCTATCTCCCATTTTTTTTACTCAGAGCGCAGCCTGTGCTTGATCCAAGCCCATCATCTCACCCTAGTGAGAACTGTGTGTGATACATTCCACTTTACAGATGAAGAAACCAAGGCCCAGAAGCTAGATGACCCACTGGAGTCATGCAGCCCTGGCAATAACAGAGTCAAAAGAGACCAGGCCACTAAATTTCAGCCTAAACACTAGCTCAGCATGCTGACCTGCCAACCTTGATTATCTGCCCACCACTTCCCTCCCTCCTTCCTCCCTTTCCCACCAGGTATTAGATTTAATTAAATTAGCAGATCCCCATCGCAACAATCCTGGCCATGCTGCCTGGATAGAACCCAGCCCGTGGAGCTCCTCCCTCTAAATTCTGCTTCTCAGTATAATTCAGTCTTCAATAAGTCACGGATCTCACGTGAAGTGTTTTATACAAAGCATGGTGTGTTGGCTAGACTCAGGCTAACGGTGGTTCATGATGATTTCATTTTCCATTAGAACTTCCTCAGTTTTTCCTCTGCAGCATCGTTTTCACCCTCTCCATGCTCGGATCTGCGTTTTGTTTGATCCAGACACTTGGCTTCACATGCCGTCACCTCCAGCAATTGCATCACACGTTTATATATATCTTACAGCATCGCAGTCCTTGTGCCACACAGCGTAGGAAAAAGGAAAACTCATAACAGCCTTTCTCACCCTCCTCGAACTAATTTAGAAAATGTGCTCCAGATTAAATAAATCGGGAACAAAAGCCTGAGATTAGAGATAGAATTTCAGAAAGTAGGGAGGGGGAAGCTAAATAAATAGCAAGGAAATCTTGCAACATGTTGGAAGCCTATAAATTTTATTGGTTGTTTCTTTAATAAAAACAAATTCAATTGCTAACAACGCAGTATTATTAAGCCTCTAACATTTAAACATCTAATTTTCCCCTGCTCTGCTGCTGTTTACGTTGCACGTTGGATTCACGGAAGGTAAAGAAGTCAGGTCAATTGGTTTGGTTTGATTCCTAAACCAAGCTAATAGAGACCCCTTTAAAATCCAGCCGTTTTGCTTTCTAGGCATGCCTTGGTCTCTAATGAGTTACAGCCCAGGTTGAAGATGGACATGGCAGAAAGAAATTTAACACACACTCTGGTGCACCCATAAACTTCAAGGCCAAGGGAGAGGAGGTATGTTTCCAGTTAAGCTAGAACTCCATGAATTCAGGATTCTCCACTCACAAGACAGTAATTCTACTTATTTCATCACTAACTTACTTCAAATGTGTTTATACAATTTATTGCTACTGAACTTCCAGGCAACTGGTGTAGAGTTAATGAAACCCAGCTTGGAGAAGCTTTGAGCTTTGAACAACTAACCACAGTTTAAATGGTTATGACATGCGGTCAAAGCCACAGCCTGAGCCCACTGCAGTTTCTGTGTTAGGACCTAGTCAAAAACCTTGTCATCTCACCTTTTGTGCCAAACAGATTGAAAAAGCAAAAAGCACTGAAAAACAGCCTGCCTTGTTCCTTCTCAAGGTTCCCAGGCATTTAAACACATTTATCTTACTAAACGCGAGGCAAAGCCCCTCCCCCAGTCCCAAGTAAATATTTTAGTTGCAGTTTGAATTGGCAGCTGGGCTGAAATCCTGAAATCCAGTTTGGGTTTAACTGAACAGGGGTCAGGCCTACCTAAAGCAATGCTGGGAGAGGCTGCTGGGGAGGCACCAAGCAACATTTAAAGGCAGACTCAGTGAAAGCCCAAAGGCAACACGAGAATGAACAGATGAAACCGGACTGGAAAAGAAGCAAACTCGTCTTTCAGAATCACTTGGACATTAACTTTTATTAATTCTCATTGTCACATGGCACCCTCCCCCAAGCTCTGCCATGTGGGATCCAGCAAGCTCCCTCTTTTTAAACAGGCCCATTTTGGAAGAGTAAAGGGGAGGTACTGGATTTGCCACTGCCACACAATAAAAGCCCCTTTTGAAAGCAGCACTTTCATTAACTTAAAGCAATCTATAGACTTAAAAGCAGAGAGCAGTAAACTCCCAGAGAGGATCATAAAACAGCCAGTCTCAAGTTGGGTATACTTCAGTGCAATTCGCACGAGGCATTTTACTGTGAGCGGTGGTCGGGCCCATCTCCCTCCGGTAACCCCCTGCCCCTTATTCTGAGCAGCCTCTCTTTCTCTTGGCTTTCAAGCCTTTCCCGCTCACAAAGGGGAGGCGGTGACCAGGGAGTCTCCGTGGGGTCACGGCTCCCTCCCCCCTCGGGCTCTCAGCGGGAGAGAGCTCTCACGAATTCCAAGCCTACAAAACAACAGCCTTGGAGCTCCGCGGCGGCAGTCGCCGCGCCCCGGGCCGCCGAGGCCACTCGTGGGTCGTGGGTCGTGCGTCTTCCGTGTCCTGTAAGGGCTGTCTGGCTCTCCCTGCCAGGGGTGCAGGGGGCTGGGATGGTGGGTTTAATATTAAGAGGAGGAAATCTCAAATCTTCCTCCCCTCAATGCCCTCCTCCCCCCCGCTCCCACCCCCCACACACACTCTTTCTCTAGATGCCCAGAGAATAACCTACCTCCCTGGTCGGGACCCCTTCCCACCCCACACCCCACAGCTAGGCCCAAGCTATGGGGATGCAGCCCGAGTGGGAGATTATGAGACCAGAAACGGGACCCTCCCTCCCCGCTTCCACCAAGGTCCTGGGGCCTCCGAAGGCCAGAACGGCAGAGAGAGCAGGAGGGCAAGGGCAGGGGCTTTGGGTAATACACCGTGTTATGTTTGAACACCATCATTCTCAGATTTGGGGCGGGGAGGATCGTCTAAACTGCCTAAAATGCGAAGCTTTTGGCTGCCACCGGTTATAGAGCATTTGAAACCCGAAAAGCTAATATCCTGAAGTCTCCGGACAGGAGAGATGACAGTAGGGCACTCCAAGCTTCCTCCTCCCCCGGGCGCACCAAAGGCCGGGTTTGTGGGCTTCTCAGTCCGGCGCGGGTAAGCACAGGAAGCGGCTCCAATCAGGGCACTGGAGTTTGAGCCGGTCCTACCCTGGGCCACAGCCCAGACTCCTCGGCCCACTGTGGCACCTCGCTGCTAGCGCTGCCCCCCGGCCTTCATCGCAGGCCGCGGCCCCTGCGGGCCACCGCTCCCGCCCCGCCGCGCTGCGCCCGCAGACCCAGGTGGCTCCTGGAGCACTCCGAGCCGCCTGGGTCGGGACCTCAGATCCACTCCCAGCCCCGCGAGGCTGCCCTGCCGCTTCGCCCAGAAGGTCTCTTCGATCTGTCCGCTTCCCGGAATCGCTCTCTTAGGACCGGGTCCTGTGTGGCCCAAGTCCTCTCCTCCTAAAGAAACACTTTCAGGGGGAAGCAGCAAAAATTCGGGGCTCGCCTGCCATGGCTCAGATCAACTACTTTCATCGCCTACCTAAACGCTTTTTCACACGCGGAGCTGCAGGACCCCTCGTGCTACCCTCCCCAAATTCCAATAGCTTCCACCACAAGAAAAAGCTGTGATCCTGTTACTGAATCCTAAAAACGCCACCCGTTCCTCCAGCCCCCAACTCCGACCTCCAGCCCTCTGCTCTGGCCGGCGTGTAAACTACTTATCGGCCCCTCGATCCCGATTCCGTAAACAGTCTGGATCCTATAAACCGAACTCTAGACTGGTCCTAAAACCCAGCCCTAATTCAGGCCGATCCACAAGCCCCTACCCCTCAATTCCCAACCCGAGTCTCCCCACCGCGCGGAAACCCCCGGCTCCCCCGTGAAGAGCCCCGGGAAAGGACGGCCCATTTCGCTCGTTTCTTCCTGGGGATCGGGAGCCAGGAAAGCCCGTCTCCTAACCCGAAAGAAATGCAAACTTTGAGCGGCAGATTCGGGATCCTGCGCCATCCCCCTCAGCTCTCCGCTCTCGATCGCTTTCAGTTCCCTCTTTTACGAACTCATCCCCTAGTTCTCGAGCCAGAAGGGCTCCCGATTCCCAAGCCTCGCGCGGGCCCCTACGCCCGCCTCACCAAAGATCCCCAGCAATCATGGAAAGCCGGTGACCCTACACATTCTCGCTCCTCCCTGGGTGAGGGTCCGTGCGTGTAGCCCCTCGGATCCTGGCTTCCCGGGCCCCGCCGGTGTTCCCCTGTCTCCACTGATCCGTCTGCAAACCCTCATTCGCCCTGCCTCCCCAGGCCGCGGCCGCGGCTCCTCGACTCCTCCGGTCACCTGGCCCCAGCCTGGGACCGCTCCCGCCTCCAGCCGCTGGAAAGCATCTCCAGGCTGGTGGCGCGGAGTAAGCGCCGGCCCCAAGGACGCCCGAAGCCGGGAGAAAGAGAACCTGGAGCCTGCCCGCGGTTCCCAGCCTCTCCCCGCGGAGCGCCCGGCCGGGAGCCTTCTGCACCCGGGCTCGGGCCGGCGTGCCTGTTCCTATTCTCGGGTCCCCTGGCGCTCCTGGCGCACAGCTCCCCGCCCGCCCGCTACGGGGTTGGGCCCGCGGCGATTCGAGTCCGCAGCCCGGCTCCTTGCACCCGAGGACAATGCGCGGCCGGCCACGGGCCCAAGCGCGGCGAGGCGGCGGCGGCGGCGGCGGCGGGGCTGAGCGCTGGCCGGGCAGGGGAGCGGGCGGCCCGCGGGGCTCTCGCAGCCTCCGTGCCCGGCCTCGCCGCCCCTCGCGCTGCTCCGCTCCGCGCTCTCCCGGCGCTTCCCCAGCTTCTCTCTGCACGCTCCCGCCGTCCCTCGCTGCTCCCTGCCTCCCTCCTCCCTGCTGCCTCCCTCTCTCTCCTCCCTGCTGCCTCCCTCTCTCCCTCTCTCCTCCTTGCCCTGTCGCAATGAATAATACTCTGGCTTGGGGACTGGAATAAAACACACGCGCTCTGAGGCAGCCGCCCGCAGCAGCAGCCGCCGCCGCGCCGCCGCCGCCGCCTGCAAAAGCGTCTCTGACATGGAAATGAATGACAGCTTACCTGATGCCAATCTTCATCAGACTGACACCGGCGTGACAACACAGCCTATACTTCCCAGCACTGCTCGGGACGTCAGCGGCACAGGGACCCGCCCCCCGGACCCCCCCTTCACACACCTCCCCTCTCCCCACTCCCCCTTTTCTCCCCACCCCCCATCACCCCCACCCACTCCCGGCCCGGCCGCTGCCAAGTCGGAGGAGCCGCTGGAGTGTCTCCCTCTACCGGAGGCTCTCGGGCGGCGGGCGCGGGCCTGCTCCTGCGGCAGGGAGGCGGGCGGCCTGGAGAAGCGGCTCCGCTCGCGAGGAGCCTCGGATGGGGAGTGCGGTGGACCCCCAGGAACTCTGGAGCACCCTCCCGCCCCCAAGCCAAGTCCTCCTTAGCGAACAACCGGGGCCGAGTTCCAAGATATCACCGGTGCTGAGGGGACCGAGATGAGGTGAGATTTTCTGTGGACCCCAAGAGAACTCCCCAGAAATGATGAAACTTAAAACGGGCAAGAAATCCTTCCTTCCACCAGCACTCCCCCTCCCCCTTTTCCTGCCTGGCTGGCCTCATTTTTATGATTGCATTTGAATAATTCTCATTACCCTGGCCCCAGAAAAGGTGTTCAGATGACACTCTGGTTAGTTATTCCTGGTCTCAAGAGCTTTTTCTGCTGTGGGCTTCCCGGGGTGTCTGGTTCAAGGTGGGGCAGAGGGAGAGAGGAAAGAGTGGATAGGCTTTGTCAGTAAAGCACTTCTTTGCAAATGTCAGGCAAGCCTGTTCTAAGCCACTGCTATTTTCATTCTAATAAAAAGTCCTCAAGAAACTCAGTGAGTTCCCAGAGTTCTGGGGGCTGGGGTGCAGTCATATAAAGGGAAAGACCAGCTGGGCTGTTTCAGCCTGGGCCTGCTGGGGTGGCTTCATCTACATCAGGGAGGAAATGGGCTCCTTACATGCCCTCTACAGTGGAAGACAAAAGCAGGCATGTGTAGACCCACAAGCGCCTCCATTCACTCAGCAGAGATCACAGTCCTACTAAGAGCCACACACAGGAGCACACTTGCTTGCTTCCTCAACTTAGCACATGGCCCTCCGCATAAAGGGACAAGAGAACCCCTTCTGCCTCTGGAAGTTTGCTTCTTGCTCCCCATAGAGGAGCCCTTTCAGCCAGTCAGGCAGCCATTGATCCTCTGACCCCAGGCCAGGCAGGGGGCCTGGAAGAAGCCCAGACAAAGACACCGACAAAAGCGGGAAAGCAGAAAGTGAAACCCAGCCTCTGGGTTTTCAGTAAAGAATCTGACCCAAGAAGTTGAAGGCTGCCCCTGAGCTCTTCTCAGGCCTCTGGGTCGCCACTCACCCGCCTCCGTCATGGGCAAGGATGAGAGCTGTTAGCATTGCCTGGCTCAGGGGAGGCAATTGAGACCCTTCTTATATCACATCCCAGATACACACACTACTGTTTGTCCAGATCCTCCCAATACCCTCAAATCCACCCACCAACGTTGCTTGTGGGAGAAACTCTTCAGTGGTAGCCCCCATTATAGACAGATTAGAATCCTCTCACCTTCACATAGAACCTTCAAAAACTTCACTAGGTGGATTTATGTCACCCTAGCCTCTGATCTGCAGTCAGAGTCTCTGGCTGCTGACAGCATAATCGCTATTATATATTATACATTGTATAATAATATAATAATAATGAATGCACTTGCCCTTTTTATGTGGTACAGAAGCGGCCAGATTCTCCAACCCAGAGGCTGGAGGTCAGGCTGCCATAAACTCTCAGAGGGAAGCCCTCTTCAGATAAGGGAGGGGGAGGGGAGATCCATTTGTCTCTGCCCAGG
The DNA here is from genome assembly GCF_000001405.40 of Homo sapiens. Taxonomy (NCBI): domain Eukaryota; kingdom Metazoa; phylum Chordata; class Mammalia; order Primates; family Hominidae; genus Homo; species Homo sapiens. The sequence goes on along the minus strand of NC_000011.10, from coordinate 125,162,950 downwards.
ACCCCTGGAGGGAGGAGTTTCTCTCTTTCCCATGGCTCCCAGTGAGTTGCTGCAGCCTGCAGAGTCAGAGGGGAAAATCAGGCTGAATTCACCCCATCAGAGAGGTGTCAGTGAGCCATAAATAGGACCGCAGGCAACAGCCTTGGATCACTGATTTACACCTGTCACACCCCTCGTTTTCTGAAATCTAGATCAATGCCCAACACTTTCCTGATATGGGAGATCCATTGCCATGAGCTATTAATTTTTGGAGTCTTCAAATACTATGATTTTCACTAATACCTTTTTGGTGCTTTAAACTGCACATCGTAGTTTTAAGTAAATATATCTTGCTTTGACTATTTTTGTCATTTGCAAGAGCTTAAAAAATGATTATCCAAAATATAACCATCGTTTTTATAATCACTGAAGGCAAATATTTTCCCTGCACCCACCAGAAGCTCTGCTGTGTGCTAGCACTAAGAATAAAGAGCAGAAGCAAAGAGGCTCAGGTTATGGCTCCTGTCCTCAAGAAGCATTCATTTGTTGAAGAAGACAAAGCGCCAATATGTAAAACATTAAGTAGCAATAATACAGGAATCAACAGAAGACACAAGCTAGTAAATACTTAATGAAGAAATGAGTTGTCAATATGTCAAATTCCATGAGTTCCACATCTCAGTTTTGGCTCTGTCAATGAGTAGAGAAAGGATAGAGTAGAAATTAAGAATTCACTACAGATACTCTACAATTTCTTCCCCATCATCCCTCTGAGGATGAAGAAGAGAATGGAGAGGAATGTACATGTTGTATTGCATAAGCCATCAACACACTGACATTATAACCAAATAGAAGTTTCTACAAATCCTAGTTATCACTCCTAAATTTTGGAGTTTCTGTTTGGTTCTGGGCCCTCTTCTCACTCTACCTGCACTTTGTCTGTGGTATAAGCAGCCCACACCAGCCCAGGCTGCCTCCTCCAATCTTCCAATGTGGGTGATCAATGGCCCAACTGAATTCTGCCAATGTCACAATATGAATAAAAATTTAAGACCTGTCTGTATTAGTTTGCTCAAGCTGCCACAACAAAATGCCACACACTGGATGGATTCAACATGAGACATTGATTTTCTTACAGTTGTGGAGGCTGGAAGTTCAAGATCAACGTGCCAGCAGAGTTGGTTTCTGGAGAGGCTTCTCCTCCTGGCTTGTAGATGGCACCTTCTCACTGTGCCCTCGCGTGGCCTCTCCTCTGTGTACACAGGCAGAGAGACAGCTCTGGTGGTCTCTCCCTCGTCTTATAAGGACAGTCCTGTTGGATTGCGGCCTAACCTTATGACCTCGCTTAACCCCCCTAAAGGCCCTGTCTTCATATACGGTCACATTGGGGGTTAGGGTGTCAACATATTAATTGGGGTGGCGGACACAATTTAGTCCATAATACCACCCAACTACAGTTCCCTTCACTCTCAACTTAATTATTTTTAATGAATATTGATAGATTGCGAGTTCCCTGAGGATGGGGACAATATCTTATTTCATCTTAGGATCCCTAAAACCTGGTCCAGTGCCCAATCCAGAAAACATATTAAAGAAATGCTTGTTGGATTGAACTGAATGAAACATCATTGTTCCAGTCCTAGTTGACAGACTTATCACTAGTCACCTGGAATATTTTGATAATTTTTTAACTGGTCTCAATGCCTCCAGTATCTCCAATCCCTCCTATACACTTGCACAAGGATGTTCTTCCTATAACAAAGGTTGGATCACACCTTGGTTTCTCCTGAAAATCATCAGTAGCTTTCCATTGCTTATAAGATTTAGCCTAAAAAGTTACTGGGCCTTATAATAAAAAGAAGGACCTTGAATGCCACACTCCTTACTTAGCAAGGTCTTCATGTTAGTCCTCATCTGGCCCTGATCCCCTTTCAGGCTAATCTGCTCCATTCCTGCCAACGCCTCCCCAACTCCACCTTCTAGTGATTTCCAGTGCTTCCTGCTGCATCAGAACCCCCACCCCAACCCCCGGGGAACTTCTTTATAATTCAGGGTTCCAGGTTCCACCCCTAGAGAAATCAGTCTGGAGAAAGGCCTTGGAGCCCGTATTTTAAAAGTCACTGCAGTTGTGAGGTTTGGGCACTTCCATTCTACCCAGCACTCCTGCTCCAGCTCATGGGCCCCAGAGTACATTCTGGATTCTGGGCCCTTCCTGTACTTGCTCACACTCTTCCTTCAGCCCCGGGTTTTCATTCCCCCTTTTCCTACCTTCTGAATCCTATCTGCTTATAAGCTTTCATGGAAACATCACCTCTCTTCAAAGGATCCTTGGATCCCCCAAAAGAGAACACCAGCTCTGGGATCGCCAGGCCCTGGCTCAGCTCTCCACCCTGTAATGAAATGGCCAGCTATCTGGGACATTACTGGTGAGTGCCAAGTCTCAGTTTCTGTGTTTGTGAAATGAGGATGATAATAGAATCCAACTCATGACACCATGGGGATTAAATAAAATCACAAATCTAACGAGCTTAGCACAGTCCCTGGCACATGGGAGGCTCTTCAATAAATGAATGGCAGCATTAGGTTTAATAGCCCTTTACACAGGGCTGCCCAGTGCTTTGCATTTGCCTTTGCCTTTATTATAGTGCTTATTTAATTGGCCTGAGGAAGGGAGATATTGTTTACAGAGAAAGCTGCCACAGGCCCTGAGGGCTGCAACACGGATAATGGGAGCAAGGAAATGAGGGCAGGGGGACGCTTCTCTCTACCTAAGGCCTCCTTCCTGACCCTGGATCCAGGTGGGGCTGTGGTGGGGGGAGCCAGGGCCAAGTGAGGAAGACTCCGTTCCTGATGAAATAACGCAGGAAGGGCACATCCTTTGGAGAAAGGGGTGGGCAGACAAGGGGAGACCTGAGAGGTATAAAAACTCAGATGCTAGAAATCCTCCAAAAGGGAGTGCGGGTCCAGGATTTTGCTCTGAGCTGAAAGCTGGGATGTCCAGGCCCCTTGCCCATGTCTGATTTTTTTTTTTTTTGACCCTGGGAAAGCCTCTCAGCTCCCTCATCCCACTCCCACCCTCTGAAGCAGGGGGATGAAGCCTGTCCTCTGGGCACACGATAGGCAATTAATTGGGTCATGCCTTTAACCAGCTCCTCTAATATAGGAGCAATATAATCCCCAAAGCTTTTTAAAAACCCATCTTCTTTATGGTACTGATGCACTTTAGGGAAGTTTCTTCAAGCACTGTCTCCTCCCCATCCCTTACTTATCCCAAGCATCTCCCCACCCCACCCCAAGTCCACACACACACACACACACACACACACACACACACACACACACAGAAGACACACAGATACCAGCTCTCAGGTGGGAGCTGTCCTGGCCTTAGCTCCAGATAAGAGGATCTGTGGGTGGCAGGAAAGGAAAAAGAAGATTTCTGAGTAATTTCAAAGTTCTTTCTAGGTTCTAGCAAGGGGTGGGAAGGATCACAGCCAGCTTGAAAGAACTGAGAAAGAGAGAGATTGGAAGAGAGAATATTTAGACTATATTTAGGAAGAGAAGAGAGAATGTTATGACGATTTCCAAAAAGAGCCATTTCTGGGAAATGCCATCCCAAAAGTTTGGCCAAAAAAATTTGAGAAAGAAGGATTTAAACCTGTGCTGTCCACTACAGCAGCCACTAGCCACATGCAGGCCCTGAGCGCTTGAAAGGTGGCTAGTCCTAACTGTGATGGGCTGTGTGTGTAATAAATTTAGAAGATTTCATCTATAAAAAAGAATGTGAAACATTTCATTAATAATTATTTTATATGTATTACATATTAAAATAGTAATATTGTGGATACATGGAGTTAAATAAAAATATAATAGGTCATTAAAAATATCTTCACCTGTTTCTTTTTACTTTTTCAGTGTGGCCACTAGCAAATTTAAAATTACTATGCGACTTGCATTCCATTTATTGAAGCCTCCCTTCCAGGCTTCATTTTTGTTCTGGTAGAAGCTATGTTTGGATGCTGAAACCTTTATTATTTATTATGTATCACTCCAGCTCTCCAGCTCTTCCATCTCTTCTGCTTCTGCCGACCCCACAGAGGACCAGCATGAAAGGAGATCATTAGGCTATTCAGGGCCTCCCTCAGACTGCAGAGGTGGCTAAGAACTCCCTGCCCACAACCCCTGCCCAGGGTTACATGGGGTTTTGAAAGCATTATTCTCCCCAAACAAAAACCACCTCTCCCATTTGGACTGAAGGATCCATCCCTGAGCCCCTTGTCTCCTATCTCCTTTTCAGTAGCCTCCTCGCCATCAGAACTGTCACTCCCGCTGCCATCATCCTCTCCTTCAGCACCATCTCCATTCTCATCACTCGCATCACCACCACCTCACACAGAACCATCTGCATCCTTCTGCTCACCCAGTGGACCCTCTTCTCCCTGTACCCAGGGAGGAACCCTATCAGCATTTGCTGCCTTTGATGCTGCATCCAAACTCTAAGCCCTCCTGAGCTAAGGATTTTGCATGGCTGGGCTCCCAACTGTATTCTGGCAGCTGGGCCCCATGGCAGCCAGACTGCAGGGCTCAGAGAAACAACCAACAACCCTGGGAAGGGGTGAAGGCCACATGCCCTGCAGAAGATGGTCCCGTCTTATTGCATTAGAAAGGGACAGTGAAGAAGAGTGACCAAATGAGGGAGCAAGAAACCCCCAGCTTACCTCGCATAGGGACCACGGTTTACTTAGCAAGGAAGAACAAAACGGAACAACAGCAATAATAATAGCTAATATGTATTGCTTATTGGCTGGGTGCCAGACTCCATGCTGAGTGCCGAACATGCATTGTTCATCAGATCTCCACAGCACCCCTATGTGGCTTAGGTAAGTGAAGGAACTTGTCGCCAGGTGTGAACTCAGACAGGCTGCCATCAGAACCCACACTCCAAACCACCATTCTGAATTGCTCCTTCATAAAGCATAAACGTTCACTCCCTTGCCCCCCTCATCCATTCATTTATTCACTGATTCACTCATTCAGCATGCATACACTGATAGCCTCTAAGAAACTTACCAGCTCATTGGTTCCCATTCAGCATCTAGGCTGTCCAGGCACATAGAAGGCACTCGGCTATGAAGACGAATAAATCAGAATCCCTGAACTCCCAGAAATCTTTAAGGTTTTCAGGGGCCATGAGAGATGTGGAAAAGCCTAATTCTGCCTTCAGATCACACCCATATTTTACAGCAGAGAAACTGAGGCCTAGTAGGAGGGACATGGAAAGGGTGTTCAAATCTCTCCCGATTTAACAGTCAAGTAAGAGTCCACTTGGATTCTCAACACAAATCAGGGTTTGTCTTCCAGCCTCACCCGTCTCCGGAGATTTTGCATATATGTTGTGTCACTGCTTGGCTGCGTGGTCCTTTTGACAGACTCAGTAAGTCTCTTTCTGCCTTTATTCCCATTGGCTACTTTCACAATACCCAGTAGTAATGTCCACACCCAAATCAAAACTCATCCACTCCAGAAACTACTTCATTCAGGACACCTATGTCTTGTATCCCCAGAGCTTATGTGTTCACATTCCCATCATAGTAGTATACATTTGTATGATCCTTTGTATGTGTTCTTAAATTTCGAGTACGTATACATTAGTTCAAGCAGCTTTTGAACTTCATGAAGGCAAGGATTTAGTGTTTCTTTTATATCCTACCTTCTCCTTCCCAATCTCTCAGTCTCTCAGCATCTGGTAACAATCTCAGCCTATTCAAATTACTAATAAATGCAAATTTCTTGACCTTCTATGCAGACATAATCTGTGTGTGCATGAGTGTGTGTGTGTCTGCCTGGGTAGTAACTTGAACCAGTACGGATAGCAGGGGTGTTTGTGTATACAAAGTGTCAGTGTAAGCATATGTACGTGTGTGTGTGTGTGTGTGTGTGTGTGTGGATAAATTCTCCAGCTATTAGAGTTAGGGAAGCTTAGACACACATCAGCACAATCCATCAATTTCCAGACATTATCTCTCATGATAATTTCCTGCCAAATCTTTGAGTTGCAATTAAGAAAGTAGATAATTTGAAACATTTTCCTCTGCATGTTGAGATGGATTATAATCCTAATTTGATAAAGACTCTTAATGACTCATTAGCCACCCTTGGCTTCTCCTCAGGTCAGCCAACTTCCCAGGCGCTGGAGGCAGCTGGCAGCAGAAAGGCAGTGACGCTCAGGTCATTACATGTTATTGCTTCAGCAGCACTAAAAGAAAAAGACACAACAAAGACACAACCGCACCACAGCCCTGGAATTCTCTTTTCTTCAGCTCCTGGATTTGGGCATCAATTTTTTTTTTCTTGGCTTTGAACAAAGCCTCTAATTTCCCGACAACCAAAATGCTGTCTCCAGGGTATGTGCACCCTGCCAGAGTGGCAGACAATGCATCGCAGCCTTCCCTCTGCACAGGTGGGGGTACAGGGACTCGCTGTTCTCACAGCTCTGGGCCCCATCCCCACCACAATTTTTTTTCCTGGGAGGGGCTCCCCAACCCAAAGGGTGGGGACTCCTAGAAAGAATGGCAATTTCAAGTTGTTTACAATCTCCACATATCAACCTCCTCTCTGCCTTGTGTGAGCAAGGTCAGAAAGCACAGAAGACCATGTACAGGGTCCCAGTTCCTTTCCTCCTGGCTGCGTGGCATCTCTTCAGCCCCAGGCTTAGAGCATTGAATTATTCACAGAAGCCAAAGTCATGGCTTCCCTTGGGTCACCCACTCAAGAATGTAAACCCCCTGACTCTCAGAAAGGTCTTACTTATTGCTTGGACTCCTGTGGACCTGTGTGCAGCTGCAAACACACGCATGGCATGCACTCATCACATACGGACAGGTAGGACAGAGACACACAGTCACACTGACACGTGTTCACACAGAAACAGTCACAAGTTCACATGGAAACACTGACACATGGTCACACAGTCACACAATCACACAGACACACAGTCACAATGACACATGGTCATGCAGAAACAGACACATAGTCACACAAACAGTCACACAGAAACAGTCACAGTCACGAGGTCACTTGGAGACACTGACACATGGTCACACAGTCATACAATCACATAGAAATACAGTCACACTGACTGTTCACACTGACACACAGACACAGTCACACACACAATCACACAGAAACATAGCCACAAGTTCACATGGAAACACTGACATGATCACACAGTCACAAAATCACATAGACCTACAGTCACACGGACACATGGTCACATAGAAACACAGATACATAGTCTCACAAACACCCTGTCACACAGAAACATTACACAGTGACAAGGTGACATGGAGACGTTGATACATGGTCACATAGATACACAGCCACATTGGCATGCAGTCACACAATCATACTAACACAGTCACACAGAAACACAGACACAGTCACACTGACACAGTCACACAGAAACAGTCACAAGTTCATATGGAAACACTGATACATGATCACATGGTCACACAATCACATAGACACACAGTCACACTGACACATGGTCACATAGAAACAGACACATAGTCACACAAACACACAGCCATACAGAAGCACTACACAATCACGAGGTCACGTGGAGACGCTGATACATGGTCACACGGTCACACAGACACACAGTCACACTGACACACATTCACACAGAACACAGACACAGTCACACAGTCACAAGGTTACACGAAAACACTGACACGTCATCACACACACAGTCATAAGGTCACACAGAAACACTAACATACAGTCACATAGTAACAAAGTCACACAGACACACAGTCACAAAGTCACATGGAAACACTGACACATTATCATACAACCACACAGTCACAGAGTCACACAGGTACACAGTCACAGGGACACACAAGCACACAGTCACACAGTGTGTAAGGACTTCTCTGAATGGCTTTGATCCCGAGGCCAGGTGAGAGATTAAGGGGGAAAGGGGATGTAGTCAGTGAGTGAACACCTATCTGTGTGGCATGCCTGCTGACACTGGGGACTGTGCTGCACAGGGAGGGTGGGGAAGCTGGTCTTGACCCATGCAGTTGCTGCATTCTGAGCTGGAGCAGGCGTGAGGGCAGCATCCTTAGTCAGGATCAGCCTTTGAGCTCTAATTCTCTTCCTGCACCAACCCCCACCCCCAGGTGTATTCTCACCCCTGTCCCAGGCTCACTCCATCCTGGCTGTCACAGGGCAGGCTTAGGGTGAAATAAAAAGCCTCCACTGTCCCCACCACACCCCCGCCCCGTGCATTCCATCAATGTGACAAATGCTCTCTGGGCAGGACCCCTGAGGCTGTCTTCTCTGCCACCAACCCCTCCTTGCTTCCCAATGAGTCCAGAGAGACATGAGCAGAGGGGTGATGGATAGCCCTGTCTTATTGTTCCAGACTCCGAATCCAACAGGGGCCTGGGAGAGCTGTATAAATCATAGCCTGGGCTGGGCTTTCACCAGCGCAGCTCGACAAGAGGAATGGAGGGCAAGGGACCATAAAACTGTCTATGGGCTAAGTTGTTTCATTTCAAGCCAGGGCCAGGGAGAAAAAATGTTTGGTTCTTGGGAGACAGACTCATTTGAATAGGATAGATAAGCTGGTGGAGGTCTGCATGTCTGGGTGCTCAGAGAGACCGAGAAAGGCTGGTCTCACAAGAGGACAGTGGATGAATCGAGTCACCCCTCATCTCTGGTACCTCATTCCCACAATACAAGAGGTGTGGGGCAGTGCTCATGTCCCAGACTGTGAGAATGTTTGGAAAAATTTGCCTCTAGTGAGGAGTGAAGATTCTCATCTCAGCTGGCTGATAAATTATACTTTTCCCTTCTCTGAAGTAGGAACAGCTGGGCAGGCTCTGGCCATCAGACTGTGATCAGGTAAAACAGGAGCCATTCCCATTTCATTTTCTCAGACATTTAGTGAGCAGCTACTATGTGCCAGAGGCTGCGCCAGGTGCTAGGGGCACAGGGCTGAAAAGAACAGAATCATGTGGCCCTGCTCTTGAGGCTCTCATGGTCTAGTGCAGCAGACTCATAAATCCATGCTTGTAATTCAGGATTGCTTATTTCACGTTTCTTTATCACCTTTAGCATCTATGACAAATGCTTGTATTTATTGGCTTGTTTACTTTTCTCCCCTCATCAGACTGGGAACTCCTTAAAGGGAGAAAAGAAAGGGAACCAACATTCGAGTGCCAATTATGTGCTGTCACTGGGCGCTTTGCAGTCACTTCACCGCCAAAGCAGTTCATAGGTTCCACTATTCTTATTCCACAGATGAGAAGATTGAGGCTCAGAGAGATTAATTCATTTGCTTGTGGCCAAAGCTAGCATGTAGTGGAGCTGGGACTCAACCTGAACGGGTGTGGCCCCAAAGTTCTGGCTTGTTCTCCACATACTGCTCAAGGGGTACCTTCAGCACCTGAAGCAGGGCCTACCTCAGGGAGCAGTTGATTATACAAAGTAAGGAAGGAGTACAGAAGAGCGTGGGGTTAATGCTGAGAGGGAAGGGGGTTAGGGAAGACTGCACAGGAAGGGATTATGGAAGTTTCGAGGAATAAATGGAATTTGCCAAAATGACAAGGAACAAAACGTCCAGTCTACAGCCATCCCACTCTGAACGCACCCGATCTCGTCTGGAATGTCCGTCTAGGTGGAAATGGCATGGAGGCATGAAACAGTGTTGTGTGTTCTGATCACCTACTCAAAAGCTCCCTGCTTCCTCCATGACTTCCCCTAATCCTCCCATTCCTGTCTTAGGAAATAGGAGCTCAAGAATCGGATAAGAACCACATGGGGCCAGGAGCAGTGGTTTATGCCTATAATCCCAGGACTTTAGGATTGCTTGAGGCCAGGAGTTCAAGAGCAGCCTGGGCAACTTAGCAAGGCCCCATCTCTACCAAAAAAAATTTTTTTTTAATTAACGAAACATGTTGGTGTGCACCTGTAGTCCCAGCTACTTGAGAGGCTGAGACAGGAGGAACACTTGAGCTTGTGAGGCTGAGGCTGCAGTGAACTATGATCACACTACTGTACTCCAGCCTGGGAGATAAGACAACACCCTGTCTCAAAAATAAATAAATAAATAAAAATAAAAAACACCTGGACACACAGATGGCAGAGTGACCCCAATGGGGCCACTGTACAATGGAGTAGAGTGTTTTTGTTTTATTGTTATTGTTATCTTTTCTGAAACTAGATTATAACTTCCATGAAGGTAAGATCCAGTCTGCTTTGCTCACAAGTATGATTTCAACACCAAGAGCAGTGTCTGATTAATTTTGGAATCAGTGAACAGAACTGGACCAGGAAAAGGGGCATTCTCTACCTCTCTGCCCTCTCAGGAGGCTGGTGTAACTGGGGCAAACTGGAAGCGCCTCCTGTTTGGGGTCATGGAAACCAAAAGCCAGACAAGCACCAGGTGGGGCCCGAAGGAGGTGAGGCCCCGAGTCCTTGAGCAGTTGGTGCCATCCAGCTTTGCCTTCTCTGTCTTCTCTGCCTCCTCCTGTCTAATTCAGGAGCCAACAACAGGACATGTGCTCAGAGAAAGGGGCCAGGGAGCAGACCTTGGGCCTGCCCCAGGCTTCAGCTCATACAAAAGGTGCAAGGGTCCATATGGGGCAGGAGCCTGAGGAACACCAATACCGAAGGGACAACTCAAAGAAGAGGAGCCTGCCAGGGGGACTGAGGAGTGCCCAGAGTGCTGTGACACGCAGAATGGCGCTGGTCACCCCCCACCTTCTTCTCCGGCATTGTGGCTATCATCCCAGAGAAGCCTGTGAATTACCAGCTCAGCCTCTGGAAACAGCAAAGGTAATAACCAAGGGCAACAGGAATGGGAGAGGAAAGAATAAACATAAAAACAGTGGACGAGAGAGTTCCACCATTGTTTTTCTGAAAAAAACAAAGAAGGAAGAATGGTAACTGGCTCCACAGAGAGAAGTCACAAGCCCAGAGCCTGTGATGGGGCTGAGCGACTCTGCAGAACCCTGAGTAGTGGAGCCCTCTGAGGCACCAAGCTCAGTGGCCTGGGGTCAGGCTCCTGGCTGGACAGCAGACGATGGTGGGAAGCCGGTTTTTAAAAAAGGGCTCCACGCACCCCACACAGACACTCAGCCAGTCTCCTCTGTCTCCAGAAAATGAACTTTTTTCTTTGAAAAAACTGAATAAGAACAATACTGGATTTGGGAACACCAAGTATGGTGGAAAGTGAAAAGAATTAGGGAGCGGTCTGCATGCTCAACTGTGTGCCCTTCTGTCCTTTTCCCGGCCTTGCTAGCAACTCCCCAATACCACCAACCTTAGCCAGTAGATTGCAAGGGTTGAAGAGCCCCAGAGGGAACTGCAGTTACTGGTATCGAAGGCACCTCAATAAAAAGGTTGGCTTGTGACCCAATAACCTGTAGGAAGCCCACTGGTCAACAAACTGCCCAGTTACATCCCAAGCTCCCCAAATCAACTTTTAGTGCCTCTTTCTCAAATATGAACAAACAGAGGATCACCAGATATTTAAAGAAATTTGCAAACATGGAAAAGGGAAACTAAAACAGAAAAAAAAAAAAAAGGAGGAGGAATGGAGCAATAGAGCTCTTGCAAGGAATAAAAGAAAATTTCAAAAGAGCAGTAATGCTTCAAAAACACTCTCAAAAAGAGGAAAAAATGTACTCATAAAACAATAAGAGATTACAATGAAAAGATAAATTTTTAATTTTAAAAGCCTCTTTGAAATTAAAAATATAACTAAAAGTTTTTCAAAAATTGAATATAAAGTTTAGAAGATAAAGTTGAAGAAATCTTTCAAAGAGTGAAGCAAAATGGTAGAGATGGATAATAGGAGAGAAAAAAAGACATTAGTCTCCTAATGAGCCCAGCACAAAGAATAGAAAAGACATATACCAATGCCCACCACCTTCATTATCATGACATTTTAGAACATAAAACATTTTAAAAGTCCTAAAACACAGGTAAAAGAAACGAGCATAAAAACATCAAACTTTTGGCCGGGCGCTGTGGCTTACGCCTGTAATCCCAGCACTTTGGGAGGCCGAGGCAGGCGGATTATGAGGTCAGGAGATCGAGACCATCCTGGCTAACATGGTGAAACTCCGTCTCTACTAAAAAATACAAAAAATTAGCCGGGCGTGGTGGCGGGCGCCTGTAGTCCCAGCTATTCGGGAGGCTGAGGCAAAAGAATGGTGTGAACCCGGAGGCAAAGCTTGCAGTGAGCCGAGATCGCGCCACTGCACTCCAGCCTGGGCAACAGAGCGAGACTCCGTCTCAAAAAAAAAAAAAAATTAAACTTTTAAAAAGAGCAACCTCAGATGTTAAAAGATATCACAGAAATGCCTTTTACATTCTGAAAGAAACTGTTCTTTAATCTAAAATTCGATACCCAAATAAATTATCAGTCACATATCACAGTAGTCTAGAGATATTTTCAGATATTTAATGACTCAAGAAAATGACCTCCTAGGCACCCTATCTTAGGAAGTTATTGGAGGATGGGGTTTAATAAAGTTAGACTATAGGGCAACATAGAATACATGGAATTCAGGAAATAGGGTATTTACCACAGGAAGACAATAAAGGAAAAATTCAAAATTATGGTAAATTGAAGCCTCTGGATGACAGTTAAACAGCATTCCTATAAAGCAGCTAATCCAGGTTGAAACAGAAAAACACAAGATTCTTGGAGGGATTACTATATGGGGAAAAAGTAAAACAGATGAGCCTGAATGCATAGAAAGTAAATTCCAGGAAAAACAATGGATTGTATGAAAAAGGACACAAGGTCACATTGTACTACTTGACTTGGTAGCAAATTATATTTGCATAGTCATTAGCATAGAAACATCAAATAGTGATTGAACTAAAGAGTAAGTTTATGTTGAAGAGATAGGAGGAGGGGAAGAACAAGGATGGAGTTGGGAGACAACACCATGAGAGAATTAAGCTCTCTACATGGCAGTAAATCAATACATAATTCCTAAAATTGGTCAATTAAGTAGTAACAATATAAGCATATTATTTAGAAACACAGCGATATACACAAAAAAGAAATGAGATGTAGGAGTTGATGGTAACTGCCTTGGGGCAGGACTTGGGAGCGTGGAGAGGTGAGGCGAGGCCACTGTTGATTTCCAAACTATCTATATATATTCTTTGATAAATAAAAATTAAACTTTTATAAGAGAGTCCACATGACATGCACACATCCCAGCTCAGCTTTTCAGGCTGTGGGATCAGATGAGGATTTGTGGTCAAAGCTCTGATCGAAATAAACGATGCGTCTTTATCCGCGTTTCTGCAGATACCCCTTGGGGACCTGACACAGTGGTTGGAGACCAGTAGGCTACAAAGATAAAGAATGCTGACCCTGGCCTACAGCTGTGGAGGGTACAGGCAATTCTCAAATATGCTGTGATATTTCATGTCTGTGCATGCTGGTCTCTCTGATTAGAGTGCTTCAATAAATAAAGCTCTAATCACCTAATGTGGTGGACATCTCCTCAACCTTTAAACACCTCCAATCTATCTCCTCTCCTAGAAAGCCTTTCCTGAACCCTCCTTCCCAAAGAGAGAGTTATTCCCTCTTTTCACCTATTTTTGAATCTTCTGTGGATGCATCTAGCAAAGCATCCATCACCCTGTGTTTCGGTTGTAAATAAACCATCTCTCCAACTGATTTGTGATTCTCTCTGTGGCCATCAGCTTATGCTGGTTATGCTGCGGGATAAACAACCATAAAATCACAGCAGCTCACCATGCAAAGGTTTATCTCTCATTATGTTACACATCGGCTGTGGCACTGGCATTCCACGTCTTCTCTTCATTGTGGGACCCAGCTAGAGAGGCCTGGCCCTATTCTGGACATGCCACTCTTCTAGAAGATAAAAAAGAGAAAACGCAGTGGAACCGCAAAATGTCCCTGAAACCTCCTGCTCAGGCTTTGAGGAGAAAGCTTCTGCTCAAATTTCACTGGCCAAAGCAAGCCACATGACCAGGTCTGACATCAGTATAAGCCTTTCACAGGGCAAGGCAGCAAACAATTGGGCACACTAATACCGTCTGTCACAGTCTCCTTGGTAGGTTTCATATCTTATTTTGATATCCTGGCCCTAACACAATGCTTGGCACCAAGTCAAGTACTCAGAGCATCTTCATGGACTTGAACTGATTATCAGATAATAACTTAGCCTGATACAGGAACCTAAGATCAGCAGGCGATTTGAAGAAGGCAAAGGGCCTGCTGCAGAGCTGGGAGGGCATCAACAACAGGCTCACAGCACGGGAAATAGCACCATGCTCGGAATCAAGAGGCCCGGGTTCCAATTCAGCTGTGAAAAGCCATACCCACCACCAAGGGCTCAGCCTTCAAATGAAAGGGATGACCTCAATAATCCCTGGGGCTCCTTCCAGTTCTCACTTCTTAGGAGCCTGTCATGGAACCCCTCAACCTGGGTCCCTTGGTACTCACTTGCCAATCTGCCAGCTGCCGTTAGTCACGGCATCCAGCTCTATGATTAGAAAGAAAATAAGCCCCAAAGTCACTTCATGTGCTAAAATGAATTTCTAAAAACCAAACATTCACCCATGTCAATAGAAGAAAATACAACTATACTTCAAAAATGAATATGTTTTCAACAAAAATGTTATGTGGCAAATGCTCCTTAAACCATTTTCTATTTTGAGCATGTTGCTCTGACAGAGGGATCTCCAGTTACATGAAAACTACTTATGACATTGCAGAGGGTTGTGATTACACATCTGAGTGTATCTGCACTAAGTTCAGGTTCATGGATGGAAACCATCACATCAGTTGAAACTGTCTTGCACTTAGTAGGAGTTTGGTGTTTGTTAAATGAATGAATATCTGTCTTAATTGTACCTCTTGGACACTGAAACTATCATTCCCAATCCAAATTATTCCTATTTTTCTGCTATTTTTAAAAGCTTTGAGGAAAAAGTATTAATCTAAAAGGGTTGAGAAATCCTGTAGCTAATAGGCTGATGCACTAAGAGAATTATTTAGCAGATGCCAAGTCCTGAGCCTTGTGTTCTCAGCACCAGAAGACAAAAGCTGTGATGACCCTGTTTGATTAGAGAAACTTGTGCCTTTAAGTTTCCACCCATAAATCATGGATGCCAGCCTGGGTGTTCACCACCATCAGATAATAATAGCAACATATATTAATACATAGCATTTCCTTTATGCCAGAGCCCTTCCAAGTCCTTTGCATGCATTAACTCTCATCACTATCACAGCAACCCTAGGAAATAGGTACTGTTGTCATCTCCATTTTACTGATGGGAGAATCAAGGTACAAGGAAGGTGAGTTAACCCATCTAAGGTCGCACAGTAAGTGGAGGGCCGGCTTTGAATGCAGGCAAGCTGGCTCCAGAGTCTGTGCTGAAGTCACCTCTACATTATACGGTCTGAGCAGCAGCATGCTGCCAAGGGAGTTGGAGTCATTCCTGGATATAGATGTAACCTGGAACCCGTAAGCATTTCATCACCTCTTCACCCTTAAAGACTCTTCCCACCCTGTCCTGCAGCAGCCCAGGAGACTATGATTTCTGCGCTCGAACTGAGGGTGCAAGGGGAGAGGTGAGTGTGACTTTGGCTCTCCCAAACACCAGCATGGCTCATTTTTTTAGGTGGATGCCAGTGTATCCTTATCCATCTCCAAGTTTCTGCACGCCATGCCATCCTGCCTGGCAGGGGAGGGAGGGGGTATAAGGAAAGTCACCTTTCCCTGGGACCACAAGGTCCTGTTTCTTGTGCCATAGCACTGCAATCACCAGGCAAGGCTGTTTCCCGTAAAGATCAATCAATGCTGCCCCCATCCCACGTTCCCACCCTTTCCTGCTCCTCGGCCTACAACTGCTATCGATTACAGCAGAGCAGGGAAGCAAATGCCAAAATATATCAATCAATCACCAAAGTGGTCAAGAGACTTTATTAAAACCACTATGCCTTCTTCTATTTTCCTGCCCCCCGCCCCAGCTTCCTCGGCCCAGTGGCCATTTCTTTTGGAAGGTTTCCAAGAACTTTGCAGACATGATCTGATGGCTGGTGGAATTTCCTCTATTTGGGGAAAATTTAGACCCAGAGAAGGAGCAAGAACAAGTCCCATAGTGAGAAGATGGAAACCAGGTGTGTGAAAATACGTGCAAGTGTCTGTGCAGTACATATATGAAAATGTGCAAGTATGTGTGTTTGTTTAAAGAAAAACCTAGAACTTAGTCACATTTCAGAAACATTTGGTAATTATCGCTGAAGTTTTTACAAATCAATTCCTTCTGGTCGCTTAATGTCCTTCACTAAGTGGTTTAGTTGTGAAATTTCACTTTATAATTGGGTTCATTTTAATGCAGAAAGAGGTAGATTTGCATAAGCAAATGACAAACAGTTAACAAAACCCATTAGCAGAGAGGCAGGACTCTAAAGAGCCACACACCTGGGTAGTCAGCTCAGAATCAAAGCCTGTGGCAAGGAAATCCCTGACCTCACCCAGACCAAATTCCAGGCCTCTAATGAGAGGGGAAGGAGGACACACATTTCAAGTGCCTTAACAGATTGCTTAGTCCTAGCAGACTAAGTTGCTAGGATGAGAGGAGACCCTCAGAGAGACAGTTTCATTTGCTTGTCAATGAAAAACCAAAGACTTTTCTTTCTTTTTTCTTTTTCTTTTTCTTTTCTTTTTTTTTTTTTTTTTTTTTTTTTTTTTTTTGAGATGGAGTCTCACTCTGTCACCCAGGCTGGAGTGCAATGGCGCGATCTTGGCTCACTGCAACCTCTGCCTCCCGGGTTCAAGTGATTCTTCTGCCTCAGCCTCCCCAGTAGCTGGAATTACAGGTGCCCGCCACCACGCCCAGCAAATTTTTGTGTTTTTAGTAGAGACGGGGTTTCACCATGTTGGCCAGGCTGGTCTCGAACTCCTGACCTCAGTGATCCTCCCACCTCGGCCTCCCAAAGTGCTGGGATTACAGGCATGAGCCACTACCCCCAGCCCAAAGACTTTTTTGTCTAAGGAAAGTCTGGACAAGGATTTTTTTTTAACCGGCAGTTTTATACAGCTATCTGACAACTCTTGGTCCAGATGAAAAAAGCATGGACTCAGAGTAGCGGGGGAGACAGAGAATCTGACTGCCAACTCTCATTCTGCCACGAACTAGCAAGGATCCTCATGCCTCAGTTTCCTCTTCTGTAAAAAGACAACCTAAAACTAGATTATGAGTTCTTATGTTTCCCAAACTCCTGCTGTCATCACAAGTAATTGACTCATTCATTCATTCACCCAACAGATATTTATTGCACCCTTGCTATGAGCAGGTTCTGTAGAAATTAGAGAATCATGAGGAGACAGGGTGAGGCCTCAGTGCTGGGGAACACATAGCCATAGACAAGGCCCTACCCTCGTGGAATTTATCTTCTAATGGGGTGTTATGGATTGAATTGCACCCCCCACCAAATTCATATGTTGAAACCTTAACCACTAATGTGACTGTATTTAGAGATAAGTCTTCTTTTTTTTTTTTTTTTTTTTTAAGATGGAGTTTCACTCTTGTTGCCCAGGCTGGAGTGCAATGGCGTGATCTCGGCCCACTGCAACCTCCACCTCCCTGGTTCAAGTGACTCTCCTGTCTCAGCCTCCCGAGTAGTTGGGATTACAGGCACCCGCCACCACACCCGGCTAATTTTGTGTTTTTAGTAGAGACGGGGTTTCACCAGGTTGGCCAGCCTGGTCTCAAACTCCTGACCTCAAGTGATCTGCCTGCCTCAGCCTCCCAAAGTGCTAGGATTACAGGTGTGAGCCACCGTGTCCTGCAGAGATAGGGTCTTTAAGGAAGTAATTAAGGTTAAAGTTACAAGGGTGGGGGTCTAATCCAATAGGACTGGTGTCCTTATAAAAAGAGAAAAAAACAGAGATTCCCTCCTCCTCATTCTGCCAACCTGTGCACAAAGAGGTCATGGGAGGGCATAGGGAGAAGGCAGCCACCTACAAGCCAAACAGAGAGGCTTCCCCGGAAACCAACCTTGCTAACACGTTGATCTTGAACATCCAGCCTCCAGAACTGTAAGAAAATAAATGTCTGTTGTTTAAGCCCCGCAGTCTGTGGCATTTTGCTACATAGCTGGAGCTGACAGATACAAGGGTAAGCAGGGAAGGGCACAGTGTTATGGGAGCGCAGATTAGGGCCGCCCCACCCAGGCTACAGGGGGATGGAAGGTTTTCCAGAGAACCTGCCATCCAAATATAGACCTGAAGGGAGGATTAACAGGTGCAAACAGGAGAGAGTACTCAGGGCAGGACGCCCACATGTGTGAAGACCCTGAGGGAAGAGGAGCAAGTTCTGTCAGAGGACCTGAACACGTTTCTTTATGGATGGAGCCTGGAGGGTGAGATGAAGAGGGGGTGGAATGAGGCTGAGGAGGTCGGGGGAGCCAGCGTGGCTGACATTTCATAAGCAAACACGCTGAAGATCCCAGAGAACAAGCTGCTCCACTTTTCGACACTTCGGACTCACCCCATTGATGCTTCTGATTCTGCTGGAAAAAATGCCAACTTGGGCTCTGCAGGTTCCAAGAAGTCGTGAGCTTTTCCCTGCCACCTGATTGGCTGCATCATTCCTCAGCATCACTGCGTGTGTTCCTTGTGGAAATGCTTCGCTTGTTCATCCATAAGCTCCCTCCTTACCTTTCAAAGCCTCTTCTGGGACTGCCTCTTCTGGTGCTTGCCTTCAGTTCTATAAAATTCCTTTGCTTTTCATTAATAATTGCTAGTGTTTATTGCGTTAGTTAATACTAACCATGTCCCAGGTGTTGTTTTAGGGGCTTTATGTGTATTAGCTCTTTTAATCCTCACGACAACACTATGAAGTAGATTCTATTAATTCTAGTTTATGGATGAGGAAACTGAAGCACAGAGAGATTAAATAGTCACTTGTCCAGGGCCGCTTGGCTAACAAATGGAGGAGGCAGGATTAAAACCCAGGCAGTTGGCTGGGGGCAGTGGTGCACGCCTGTGATCCCAGCACTTTGGGAGGCCGAGACTGCCTGATCTCAGAAGTTCGAGACCATCCTGGGCAACGTGGTGAAACCTCATCTCTACCAAAATACAAAAAATTAGCCAGGCGTGGTGGTGGGTGCCTGTAGTCTCAGCTACTTGGGAGGCTGAGGCAGGAGAATCGCTTGAACCTAGAAGGTGGAGGTTACAGTGAGCCAAGATTTCACCACAGCACTCCAGCCTAGGTGACAGAGGGAGGCCCTGTCTCAAAAAAAAAAAAAAAAAAAAAAACCCGGGCAGTCTAGCTTGGGTGTCTATGCTCTTAACCACTACGCTGTGCTGTCCAAAAAAAAAAAAAAAAAGATGGAAACTGAGGCTTGGCTAGGTTCTCCTGGCTAGGTGAAGCATGGGTGCCAGGACTAGAACTGAGGTCTTCCTGATCCCATGTTCTCTGCTGTTCACACTTAGCGGGGCTGCCTCTTGAGGGAAAGGAGGAGAAGCAGATGAGTTTGAGGACCACTCAGGAGGTAGACAAGCTAGGACTATCATGAGGGTAATCAAAGAATAAGGGATACAATAGGAAGCCAAGGGCAAAGCCAGGTTTCTAGGTCAACTGTGCAGCCAAACCTTCATCATCTTCTGCCACTTTATTTTATTTATTTATTTATTTATTTTGAGATGGAGTCTCGCTCTGTCACCCAGGCTGGAGTGCAGTGGTGCAATCTCGGCTTACTGCAACCTCAGCCTCCCAGGTTCAAGCAATTCTCCTGCCTCAGCCTCCTGAGTAGCTGGGACTACAGGTGCGTGCCACCACGCCCAGCTAATTTTTATGTTTTTAGTAGAGACGAGGTTTCACCATGTTAGCCAGGATGTTCTCGAGCTCCTGACCTCGTGATCCACCCGCCTCGGCCTCCCAACGTGCTGGGATTACAGGCGTGAGCCACCGCGCCCGGCCTGCCACTTTATTCTTTATTCATTCATTCTTTCGTTCATTTGACACATACTGTGTTTCAGGTGCTGGCTGGGAAAAGCAGGAATTGGGGAGCGGGTAGACACTGAGACTGGCCATGACACTCACCAGGCCTTACTCCTTCCCCTTGTCCATGGAGCTCAAGGACTTTGCATTCTAGGGGATGGGGTTGATAAATAAATTATTACAACGTGATTATAAGTATATCAATATATCTACATCTATCTGTCTACCTATCTACCTACCATCTACCTACCTATAAAAGGAGTACAAGGAAGACAGCCCATCTCTGACTAAAGAAGTCAGGGGGAGCCTCAATCTAGAGAGGGTACCACTGGAGCCAGTGCTGAAGGTTATGATGGGAATATCCTAGGAGAGTATCGGGGATCCTGGGAGCTTCCCTGGAAAGTCTGTGACTGATGCCTGAGCTCTTCAACCAGAGTCATCAAATTCAGATATTCACTCTGAAAGGAGCCTCAGAGGCCCTCTCTATCCACAGGTGAGCCGACTGAGCAGTGCCAGGCCTGGGGTGAAGCGGAATTTCAGGAAGCACCCCGTCTCCAGCCACACAGGCGCCAACCCGCCAGCACCACCCTGCAAGCAAGGCCTCACCCTGGTCTCAGGCACAGCTCTCTCCAAGGGTCACACAGCAAAGCCAACAGTGCCATGCAAGGACCCCTGCCGCCTGCACTCCAGTCTTCTGCGTTTTGTGATTATGGAGAGCAAGGGAAAGGGAGAAGGAAAAGAAGGGGAAGAGGAGTCAAGAAATGCACCGCAGTCTCCTGTTCCTACAACAGAAAAGACAGCTCTGAAACTCTATATCCACCCACTTCAAGTTCCCGCCTTCCTCAAGCTTTATGTTCAGAAATGAGGATCTCTTCCCCACAGAGCCCTTCCCTCCCCTCTTTCTACTACGTGCTCTTCCAATTCCACACCTTTTCAACATTTATTTCAGCTGCAGATTGTCTTTCAAAAGCTGGCGGGGCGAGCCCTGCAGAGCCCACCACCGCGGCCAGAGGGTTGTAGTTCTACAGTCAGCCAGCAGGGGGCAGGCCTGCTCCGAGTCTCCGTCCTGCCCCGACCATCCCAGCCCCCCAGCCCAGTCACAACTCCTTAGAGATGCAAATTGAGAGGCAGCCTTCCTAACCCGAGAGGGCTGCTAATTCTCTGACAGTATGCAGATTTCCATCTTGCCTTTGCCTGGGTTTATTTGTTTTACTTTGCAATAAATTTAATACAGACTCCCTGAAGCAGAGAGGCAGATGGACTATAAAGTGCATTTTGAGCAGCCTTAGTTACTAGGTTAGTGTGGGTTTTGATCCCTGCTTAAATTATATCTATGAAATTTGACATGGATTTGGGTCTGGGGTTTGCTGGCTCCTTGGTGCTCTGGAGCGGCTTTTAGAGCATTTACAAGGGTTGATTTGATTATTGGGGCTTTAATTTTTCACAGAGGCTAACGAGGAGGCTGGGAAGCCCGGCCGGGGCCTGGCAGGAAGATGGAAAAGCTGGGATAAGTTGGGTTTCTACCTGCCCCAGTGTTCACGGTATCGAAATCGTTTTCTCATGTCCCTCGAGGGGCCCTAAGTCACTCTCACCAAAGAGCTGCATGCGGAAACCTGTTCTGATTCCCGGGGTAGTAGTGCAGCAAGGAGCTAGCTCAGATTCTACGAAAAAAGTCAGACGCACATATGGGACAGACATAACTAAAACATCTATAAAGAAACATTAACAAGAATGGTACAGATCAGCATTGTATAACAATGTAAATTGGATGTGAGGGGACTTGGCAGAAGGACAAAAGTCAACACACTCCTGTTAACCCCTTTGCCTTGTGCCAGAGTGTGCGGCCTCCCACTTCCCTACTTCCTTCCAGCAGATCCCTGAAGAAAGGAGGCAGAAGGAACTAGGAATGGGATGAGTTGGGTTCTTGCCCTGGCTCCACCGATTACTTCTTTGTTCAGATATTTGGTGAATATATTTAATTTCTGCAAGCTTCAGTTTCCCTCTGCACAGCTGGAATTTCATTATCATGAGGACCCAGTAAGAGATCTTCAGGAAGAATGTGTGTAGGCTGTAAAGGACCGGACCATAAAAAGTGAGTACATGGACAGATGTCATTCCCCGGTTGTGAAATGGTCATTGATGGATTAGGGTAGCAAGGCTTCAAGGCCAGAGAGGAGCTATTAATGGAATTTCCAAAGCCAGTCCATGAGGCAACATTGGTGGAATGAGTTGGGTTTCACAAACTAGCCAAGGTGTGAGACGGCCAGCTTTCTCACTGGTGGTGAGTTCTGTTCACCTGTGTGCGAAGCCTGCCTGCCAGCAGAGGACACCCTGAGAAGGTTCCAGCAGCAGCAGCAGCAGCAGCAGACGCCGAGGATTGTCCTGCAGAGCCCTGAGGGCTTGGCCACCCTGGCTGTGGGAGACTGGCAGGGGCTGGTGCTGCAGATTCATCTTCTCCCGCGTGAACCCGAGTGCAGGCAGAGCTCGGAGACAGAGGAGGGAGGGGAGGGAGGGCCCCTTGGCAAGAACCCAACTCATCCCATTCCTAGTTCCTTCCGCCTCTTTTCTTCAGGGGTCTGCTGAAAGGAAGTAGGGAAGTGGGAGGCCCGTCCCTCCTGCCTCCCTCCTCTGCATCTTCACATCTCTTAGGCCAGAGACTGGAGCAGGAAAGGGAGTTTGAGGGGGAACTAAGAGGAATGTGTTTGAAGAGCCAAGAAGAGCAAAGATTTGGGAGCCACCAGAGAAAAGGGGTAGAGAGTAGAAAGAGGCAGGTCGGGGAGAAAGGAAGGAACCATCACACATTGATATTTACTCCTGAAACTTTGAAGAGGATTGTGAACTGCTGGGGGAAGGGGAGAGAAATGAGAGAAGAGAAAGGAAATAACCAGCTCCACATGAAGGAGGGGGTGGGGTACAGGGGAGGTGGAGGCTGAGATTAAATGGAAATGAGGGGCTTGGTCACCATGGAGAAAGAAGCTGGAAGCTTTGGCAGCAGTTTGTCTATTAGGAGGAAAGGCAGGGATCAAAGAAGCTGTGGTGTGTCTATACACACAACCGGATTGGAAAATAACTAGCTGAATTCTGCCCAAAGCAGGGGGGGAGGGGGAAGGGAGTGAAAACTGGTTGAATTCTTTCCCAAATAACAATGGTTCTCCCCACGCTCGTTTCTCCCTTCTATCTGTTCCTCTGTCGCCTTAGGAACACACTACACTGAAACTGTTGGGTTGTGAAGATTTTGTTAAATTAAATTTGGTGACTTCCCCTCCGCCCCAGTGACCTGTGTGTTCAAGGGAATGGAAACCCTACATCCTGTCCCGGACAGAGGAAGGGAGATGGTAGCTGTGGTGGGGAAGGAGGGCGAAAGGAGGGACGCAGCAGTGAGGGTAAACCAGCCGATGCCTTGGTCTTCACGGGACCCTCTGAAGGAGAATGAAGAAATCCAGAAGCAGTGGCCACCGGCCAAAAGAATGGCCACACAGCCTCTCCAGAACCACAGCGGGGCTGCACTGGGACCCATGCTGGGTCTCTGCCTGACCCTGGGCTTTTCAGAGAGCCCACAAAGGCTTTTCTCCAGGAACACCCTCCCTGTTCCAGACCACATGGCAGGTGAGCAGGCGGGCCAAGGGACAGCTGTCTGGGTAAAGGTGGGGTGGAGTGTGGAAAGATCTGAGACCAAGGCCCACAGGCTCCTCAAACACAGAACAGCGCTGGGGCCAAGAACTGGAGTGGGGCGGGGGGCCTGAGGCCAGGGCCTCCACGTGGACCCTTCCCCTAACCTGTAAGTATCAGCAGCGGGGTGCAGCGGGGGGCCTGAGGCCAGGGCCTCCACGTGGACCCTTCCCCTAACCTGTAAGCATCAGCAGCAGTGCTGAGCAGGGGGGAGTCTGGCTTCCCGGCTGGAGGCAAGGAGACTGAAGGAAGAAGGAATCAAGGTTGCTGAAGGTTAGAGGCTTCAAGGGAAAATGGAGCAGGGGGCAAGCCTCTGACTCTGAGTGTGTGTGAAGAGCAGGGTGGAGAGGAACAGAGCCATACATCTGTCTCTTGCGATCTTCGGGATACACTACGCTAACATTTTGAAAATCATTCATCATTTATCTGAAATTCAAGTTTGACTGGCTAGCATGTATTTTGTCTGGCATCCCTATCCCTGGGTCCAAGGGATTGGGGTGATAACCACAAGGCTTATGTCACAAATTGGGTGAGGCCAGGGAACCCTTATAGACCTCAGAGGTTGGTGACTTACAACATACCATGGAGCTTTACCCATGCCCAGGTCCGATCAGTGTGTCCCAACTGTAGCTGGGGTTAGGAGAGCAGTGTCGTTTGCAGGCACGCTGGGCCATGGGGGAGCTTGGCCAAAACTTCATCTCTGCCAGTGCCTTTAGGAGTGAACCAGAATCCGGCAAGATCAGAGCGACTCCCCCAGAGGAAAAACTGCCTTTTTTCTACATCCACGCGAGTCTTGGAGGCTAGCGAGGCCTAAACTAAACCAATAAGAATGTTCTCCCTGGGGAGAGCAGCTTGCCTCAGTCCTTCTGAGGAGTGTAACTAACACTGTTCTCCAGTCCTTCCCCATTCAGACAACTCTGAACAATACTTCCCTAACCTAAAACTCTCCTCCTGCAGCGGATGCTCTTTCAAATTCTATTCAGAATCCAGCCTCTAAGATGCTACATTCCAAGAGGAAAGAAAATAAATACATACATAAATCAATAATAATCCTACATTAATTTCAAACTCAGTTATGAACACAGAAGCAAAAAAAATCAATGGTGGCCGAATGAAAAAGGGCAGACTGAAAGGGTTTCTTAATCCAGAAAACTTTTATAATGATATGACACATAATAGAGAACAAAATAAAATTAAAACAATAAAAAAAAGGTACACCCAGCAAGCAGTGTCCTGTTAAATAATTGGATGAGATTCATCAGAGTAGCAACTGGCGCTGAGCGTTTTTTAATTTTCTCCCTGCTGGAGCCTCTCCTCTCACAGTATCAACAAATAGATTAACTACTTGTCAGAGACGAGGCCTTCACACAGCAAAATTGAATTCTTCAGTATTTATCTTCCCCCTTTACACCCCCTGCCCAAAGAGGAATATCTGATCACTTTTTAAAAAAAGATCCCAAATCTAGAAATGATTAATTCTGTCCCATGATGCAAAGGGTTAATTCCACCATGGTTCATGAAGGAAAGCCAGGTTTAATAAGAATTGCTAATTGCCTTTTCCTTAGGAAGGAATGAACTTTGAAAGGGCAAAAGACAGAGGCAGCTTCACCCCTTCAATGATGTATCTGTGGCAAGGGCAGGCCCACCGGTGTCACGGTGTTTTAGAGAAACGAAGGTTCTGCAGGAGTTGGACTAGGGAGGAATGGCGAGCCCACGGAGGCACAGCCTGCCACAGAGCAGCCATGGCCACAGGCCCATCCACAGCAATGCTTTCATTTCAGGAAAACAACGTAATGGTTCAAATTGGACTAATATGGTTACCTTAAAAATTTTTTGCTTTAGAATTTTGTTAGTATTCAATTAATTCTTAGTTATAATGGAGCTACAAACATTGGGAAGTTATACCTATTTTTGGTTTGTACTTTTTGGGTTACACTATGATATAAATAATGTAGGTCAATATTAGATGTCTGGGGAAATATTCTTCCTTTTTTAAAAACGATGTGAACGTTAATCAAATATGAGAAACAATCGGAGGCTGGAAGAACTCAGCCAGAAGGTCCGAATGCCCAGGGGACTAATCCTCACATAATTCACTAGGTAACATGGGCAAGGCTGTGACTTATTCAGTGTCAATTTGAAAACAGGGATTATAGCCCTGTCATAGTGGCTCACATTTGTCATCCCAGCACTTTGGGAGGCTGAGGCAGGTGGATCATTTGAGGCCAGGTGTTTGGGACAAGCTTGGCCAACACGACAAAACCCCATCTCTACTAAAAATACAAAAATTAGCCAAGCATGGTGGCCAGTGCCTATAGTCCCAGCTATTCAAGAGGCTGAGGCAGGAGAATCACTTGAACCCCGAAGGTGGAGGTTACAGTGAGCCGAGGTCACGCCATTGCACTCCAGCCTGGGCGACAGAGCAAGACCCTGTCTTAAAAAAAAAAAAAAATTAGTTTTGAACTAGTTATTCCACACCCATTATCTCCAGATCAAACAAGATAATGGTGTGGAATAACTATTTCAAAAAGTTTAACCATTTAGAAACCATTAAGAAAAGTGTTTTTCCATCACATCATAATAAAGGGTAAGCAGTCTACTTTGAGGCAGATTGTTCTTGGATTTGCATGCTTGAACTCACTGAGATGAAAGAGCTGTCAGCTCCATCATGGTTAACCTAAGAAGACGTCAGGGAGGAGAAGGAGGAAGAGGATAGAGGAAGGAACCTGTATTTAGCCCATTGGTACCTGGCTTAGCTCAGAGACCCTGCTGGGCAGTCTGTCCATCCGTGCTCCATGAAGGTGTTAGTCATAGGCCTTTCTGTTCTGTCCAGTCCCCCTCTCTGCTTCCTCTGTTCTCTTGCCTCCCAGGACCCCCTTCTGAGTTAGTTTGAGAAATGAAACAGAAATGATATCACTTAATGGGGAAGACACTTGTCAGTTTTTCCTGCTCTGGCCTGGCCCAACTTTCTAATCACCAGTTTTGCATCCAAGGTTGGACCCACTTAAGTAAAACTCAGGCAGGCACAATTCAATCAGATGTTTCAGGGGCTGAGTTCTCTGAAGGAGCAGAAGCAGAAGTGGAGAGGACTGGGGTGTGCATTGGTGCCAAGTAAGCATGTTTTGAAAAAATAGCATGGAAACATAAATTAGTGACATCTTAGGAGGCAGTTCAGACACTTGTTATTCCCAGACTGCAGCAGCAATTTCAGAGTAGTTGGTTTTTTGACATCAAAAGGTAAGAGGCTGCTCAACTATTGGGTTATTTTGGTATTCTACAGCCTAGTGCATGAAATATCAAACTATCTTACCAATAGAGAATGAAATACAATCCTTTTTTACAAGTAAAGACAAATTAAAGATTCAATCTAAAATAGCATATCATTTACAATAGCAACAAAATTGTAAAGCATATGAGAAGTAGTCTAAGAAATAATATATATAACTTTTTATGGAGAAAGATTTTAAACCCTATTAGCAGACATAAAAGAAAACCTGAATAAATGAAAGAATCTTTCATAATTATGAAAGGGATGGCTTTATACAATGCCAATTCCCCCAAAATAGCATGTAAATTTAATTCATTCCAATAAGAATCCCAGTAGACTGGGTAGAGGGGGATGAATTTGACAATCATTTAAAAATTGGTGATGAAGAATACAAGTCAACTAATGCTAAGTTTTTTTTTAAGAAAAAAAAAAAAGAAGAGCAAAAGAAAGGATCAGACTATACCAGACACTAAGAAATATCACAAGAACAGAGTTATTGAAAGAGTGTGGTAGGCACAGAACAGATAAACGGGCTGGTACAATGTGCAAGTCCAGATAGACTTAGGTGTGCATGAAAACCTGGCATATGGTGAATCTGGCATCATAAATCAAAGGGTGAAAAGATGAAGTATTTTATAAGTGATGAAATAAGTTCAAATATCTATCTTATTACTGGATATGAAAATAAACCTTATATGGATTCAATACCTAAATATGAAAGGCAAAGCCATAAACTAACAGAAGAAAATATATGATAGTATATTGTGACCTTGAAGCAGGAAAAGATATTTTAAACAAGATCCAAAAGCAAAACCATAAAGAGAAAAATGGATGAATTTTACACCCAAATTAAGGATTTCTGTTCAGTGAAGTACACCATCGACAGAGTTAACAGATGGGTAATGCCTGGAAGAAGACATTTGCAACTAGCAATTGTTCAGGGAATCCCAACAAATTAGGAAAAAAAAAAAAAAAAAACGGACAGGAAACAATAGAAAAACGGGCAAAGTAAATGAGTAGGTAGTTCACAGAAAGGGAAGTCTTAAAGCCTAATAAGTATTTGAAGTGATGCTTAATTTCATGAGTAATATGAAAAACACAAAACAAAAATAAGATCCCACTTTACATCTAACAAATTAGTAAACATTAGAACGCCTGATAATGCCGAGTGCTAGCAAAGATGTTCACCAGGAACAGCTGATGAAGGTGGACGCCGGAGCAGTTATTTAGGAGCACCGTGTAGTAGAACGTAGTGGAAGGAGAAATGCAGATAGCCTATGACCCAGCATTGTCTCTTGGTGGGTTTATATGCCCTAGAGAAACTGGCACATAAGCACAAAAAAGTTCATCCCTTGCCAATAGTGGTAGCAAAGTATTGGTGGCAACGTGGGTGCTCTTCACCAGGGGAATGGAAGGGTGAATTGCAGTTAACAGAAATGATGAAACACTGTGCAGTGGTATGAAGGAATGTGATAGATCCATGTACAGCAACGTGGCTAGGGCTCCAAATCAGAGTTGGGAGGAAGGGGAAGTGAGAATAAATTTATAGCATGATACCAATTACGGAATTTTTTTAAAGACACAAAGCAGCAGTATACGTATCTCAAGAATAAACTTAAAGAAGGTGGATCAGAAGGACATTACAGTGGATGAGGTGGTGCTGACCCGCAGCCCTGCTTCAGGCCCATCCACCTGAGTCCTTGGCTGCTGAGAATATTTGTACTGAGGTGCACGGCAGTGTCCCTAAGGGGAATTGCTCGGCCATAAGGAACTGCTTCGCCTAAGGTTATGCTTCTCCTAGGGAAAGGCCAGTGGTCACTGGCTGATTCCAAGATATAAAACACTGATCCCCTTTGCTTCAGTGTGCAAAAGCAATGAAGGGCCCAGCTCAGCTGCAACCACAGGGGGATCCCCTTCCCCTCCAGTGCAATCTGACCTTCCTTATTTCCGTACAAGTGTATCTCCTGAGGGCACTCACAAATAAATCTGCATGTCACTCCCATCTCAGAACTTGATTCCAGAGAGCCCCATCTAAAAGACACATTAAATCATCAAGAGTGAGAGCCTTTAGTGGGGAAAGGAGAACAGAAATGGGATGGGGAAAATAAGAACTCGGGAAAACAAGAATTCAGAAAATTATCAACAATGATGACAACACACCATCAAATGAGGAGTATGATCAACTTCATTACGTGCCCCCAGAGTCTAAAATGTAAAATAAAAAGATGGGAAACATAACATCTGCCTGTGACCATATGCAAGGTGTCCCTCCCTTGTTCAATTTGTAGCTCAACGTTAGTTAATCTTCTGCCCACACGCCAGTGGTGATGAAGTAACAAACTTGGAAACAAGTGATGATCAAGGACTCATGCTTTTTGTCCTTGTAACTGGGGACATCTTCAAGAATCAGGGGATCGAGGGGGTGGTTCTCCTTTGGCCCTAGTCTATTCTTGCTGCAAGGAGCTGTGAGAGATGGTTCCATCCTGCCCAGCCAGGGAAGGAGGAAGCAAAAGGGTGTGGGGTATGTGTGGTGGGGTAGAGTGGTGTGTGTGTTGGGATGTGTGTGTGCAAGAAAGAGAGACAGAGACAGAGAACGTGTTTCCACCTCAGGCAGGGAACAGCCCAAGATTCAGCAGACAGAGATCCTGGTCTTGCTATTGGCTGCAGCGCCATAGGAGCAGGACTGGCACTTTCCGACACTTGTGGGGACCAGCTCCTCACATCTGGGGTGCAGCTTGTTCTGCCTCACAGAGCTGGACATCAGGCCCTGCCTTCCACACCCCCTGCATCCCGCCTCTCCCCTCTGCTCACTCTCAGGTGTCATGGGTTCCATATTCTTCTGTGATGGAGACATGTTCACTTTCTTGGGCCCTGACTCAGCCCATCTCCGCTCCACTGCCCCAACCCTACTTCCAGAGTCCTTCACCCTCTTCAGGGTTTCTGAGAGTCTCGGTGAACTCACACACCCAGGCACTGAAGAAGACGAGGCTGCGGAGAGAAGTCTAGTCCCTCCGGAGAGGCCGAGTGATCTATGGGAATGGCTCATCACAGGCTGGAGTGCCCACAATTCTCTCTCTCCTTAATTTAAAGAAATATAGAGGAGCATGTTTGAAGGAGCATAAAAAAATTATAATGCGAACTCACTGACTCACTCTTTCAACAAAAATGTATGGAGCTCCTGCTATGCAGCACATAAGGCAGGGGCTTCCGCAATACGTAAGACGATCTCTGGTCTCCAGGAGCTTGCAGCCTGCTAGAAAGGGAAGGCTTGCACACAATACCTACGATGAAAGTGTAGCGTGATGACAGCAATAAGAAGGTCACTCCCCAGATGCTTTGGGTGTCAGAGTAAGGAAATTCACTCCAGAGGGAAGAATCAAAGAAGGCTTCCAGGGCCCTACAGCTTTTGAAATGAATTGCAACTGAGAGCTAGTATTTGTTGTTGATTTTTAAGTTAATTTTATTATATTTGGGAAATACATTGACCAGCATAAAAAATAAGAGCATCAACAATTGTACTGCCTTTTAAAAAATATATAAAGTAAGATATCAGTATTCCCCTTCACCCATCCCATTCCATCCCTCAAAGTAACTACTGTAACAGTTTGGTATGTATCATCAGCCCTTGTCTTTTGATGGAAATGATTTTAGCAGGAAGAGATGAGAGGGGTATCCCAGGAGGAGAACAGGATGTAAACAAAGACAAGAAAAGGCAAGTTTTTGTCTGGAGTGCATGGCAAAAGTAGAAGATGAGAGATGATGTCATAATAGGAGGTTGGAGTCATATCACAGAAGGTCCTAAATGTAGGAGTGTGGTTATTTTGGACATTATCCAATTTGCAATGCCAGATAAAAAATGACTGAAGGAATTTGGGATTTTTTGCTAGAAGAAGAGAATATCCAGGGAGCACACAGTAGCATTAATTCAATTGTAAAACGTGCTATCATAAGGAAGAGAGATTCAAATTTTAATTTGAAGATCACAGGTCAAAATTTGGGTCAATAGTTGGAAGTTTCAAGAGTGGTATTTCAGTGCCATATAGGAAAGGACCTTCTAACAAACAGACCCGTGCAATAATAGAATGGGTGAGCCGGTGAGGAAGTAAGCTCTTCACTGGAATTGTCCAAACAGATTTACAAGAAAAAAACAACCCCATCAAAAAGTGGGTGAAGGATATGAACAGACACTTCTCAAAAGAAGACATTTATGCAGCCAACAGACACATGAAAAAATGCTCATCATCACTGGCCATCAGAGAAATGCAAATCAAAACCACAATGAGATACCATCTCACACCAGCTAGAATGGCGATCATTAAAAAGTCAGGAAACAACAGGTGCTGGAGAGGATGTGGAGAAATAGGAACATTTTTACACTGTTGGTGGGACTGTAAACTAGTTCAACCATTGTGGAAGACAGTGTGGCAATTTCCTCAAGGAACTAGAACTAGAAATACCATTTGACCCAGCCATCCCATTACTGGGTATATACCCAAAGGATTATAAATCATGCTGCTATAAAGACACATGTACATGTATGTTTACTGTGGCACTATTCACAATAGCAAAGACTTGGAACCAACCCAAATGTCCATCAGTGATAGACTGGATTAAGAAAATGTGGCACATATACACCATGAAATACTATGCAGCCATAAAAAAGGATGCATTCATGTCCTTTGTAGGGACATGGATGAAGCTGGAAACCATCATTCTCAGCAAACCATTGCAAGGACAAAAAACCAAACACCGCATGTTCTCACTCATAGGTGGGAATTGAACAATGAGAACACTTGGACACAGGAAGGGGAACATCACACACCGGGGCCTGTCGTGGGGTGGGGAGAGCGGGGAGGGATAGCATTAGGAGATATACCTAATGTAAATGACGAGTTAATGGGTGCAGCACACCAACATGGCACATGTATACATATGTAAGAAACCTGTGCATTGTGCACATGTACCCTAGAACTTAAAGTATAATAAAAATAAAAAAACTAAGCAAATGAACAAAGAACCAACTAAAAAAAAAAAAAGAAAACATACAAGAAAGGAAATGTAATCACGGTATACCACATGACTTAGTTATAGGCAGTATTTCCATAGTCACAATACTATGAATACTGAATACCAATTTGACCAAAAATTATAGAGTAACTAAATTAGGAGGATTGAGGGAGAAGCATATATATATATATATATATATATATATATATGTCTGTGTGTGTTATATGTTTATATATGTATGTATTTTATGTGTATATATGTATGTGTTATATGTGTATATATGTATTATAAGTGTATATATGTATGTATTATGTGTATATATTTATGTATATTTGTATATATGCATGTATTATATGTGTATATATGTATTACATGTGTATACATGTATGTTTTATAAGTATATATGTATTTATTATGTGTGTATATGTATGTGTTATATGCATATATGTATGTATTATGTGTTAATATAAGTATGTTATGTGTATTTATGTATTATATGAGTATGTATTATATGTGTATGTATTGCATGTGTATGTATGTATGTGTTATATGTGTATATATGTGTATGTGTTGTGTAGGTATATGTGCCTATATACGTGTTATATGCATATATGTGTATGTGTTGTATGTGTATAAATGTGTTACATGTTATATGCATATATGTGTTTCTTATATGTGCATATATATGTGTGTGTTGTGTGTGTTATGCGTGTATATATATGTGTTATGTGTGTATATATATATGTGTGTGTGTGTCATATGTGTTAGAGAGTTAAATTATCATCTTCCAGAGGAAGAAGGTAACAATAATGTCAAAGTTGGGGGGTGGAAATCAACAATTAGAAGCAGAATTTTCTTTTAGAAAATATGGAGTTAAATGCTGTAAGTAAAAATTAATTTTAAAAGGGTGATAAGGAGCCCTGGGTTAGGATAATGGCTGCCGGAGATGAAAATCAGGAGATGGAGTTCAGACATGCTCAGGAAGCTGGATTTGGGGGCTGATTACGTGGACAGCAAGGGAAAGGGAAGCATAAAACACACATAAACAAAAGAAATCACTCTATCGTTTTCAGCCTGTGTTTGAATAATGACAGTGGTTGGGGAAAAAAGCAAAGCTTGAGAATGTTAGAGGCTTGCACGGAAGATCTAGATAAAGGTCACCTCAGCAGTGCCCGGTGGCGGGGGCGCCCCTCTGCCCGCCCCTCTCCTGGGCCTCTGGGGTTCTGAAGTAGGGTATTCTGAGCGCAGCTGTCTGGCAAACAGAAACCAAGAGGCTTTTAAATGTATAGGATTCAGGCACCAAAGGAGGTCTTAGAAATCACTTACTTAAATTAAATCCTCCAACTTTCAGCTAACTAAATTGAATCCCAGAGAAATTAAAATCCTAGGGAAGAAACAGTTTCAACCAAAGGGTGCTCAACAGTGTTAAGAGCTTTAGAGACGGTGAAGAAGCGAAGACCAAGAAACGGCCGTCGGATTGCGCGGTTCGGTGATCATTGAGAAAGTAACCGTGCTGGGCAAGGGTGGAAAGCCAGTTAACGCAGAAGTCAAGATACCACGGGGGCTGAGGCGCCTGCACCTCCCTGACGACGCCTGCACATTGTAAGTGCTCCACAAAGACTAGCTGTTGTTGATGTCTAGTTTTCAGATAAACATGATGATTAAACGGAGGGAAAAAAAGGCTAGTAGCTTAATGAAGATAACTAAAGGTCTTAAAGGTGTTTGGGAAAAAAAAGTGGAAATGGTGTCTAAGCCAGATGACTAAGAAGCAGAGAAGCGCTGTAACTGACAGCGGGCGGCCAGCATGGCTGGGATGGACTTTAAGGAAAGATGTACGTGCGGTGATTCGTCTTGAAAAAGAGGGCAATTCTAGACTAAAGGAGAAGAGGAAGGGTTGGGTGACTATCTGGAAGAATTTTGAATGGTAAGAAAGGGATATTTTTAAAACCTAGATCAGATGACGTCTTTTTAAGGAAAACAGGAGACATAATTATCAACCGAAAGTGGGTTTCTGAAGGTGAGATTGCAAACTTGAAGAAGAAAGAAAATAGTGCATCTCAACCAGGGGTGATTTTGCCGCCTGCCCCCAAGAGATGTTTGGCAATGTCTGGAGACATGTCTGGTTGTCAGGAAGGGACATGGTATCTCGTAAGCAGAGGCCGGGGAGTCTACTAAACACCCTACAATTCAAAATACAGTAGAGCCTTCCCTTCCCCAGTTTTACTTTCCACAGTTTCCATTACCCACGGTCAACTGTGGTCCAGAAATATTAAGAGAAAAATTCCAAAAATAAACAATTCAAAAGTTTTAAATTGCCAGCTGTTCTGAGTAGCACGATGAAATCTTGCACCAACTCACTCCATCCTGCCAGGGATGTGAATCATCCTTTTTTTCAGTGTATCTAGCTGTATCTGCTGCTGCCCCATTACTCACTTAGTAGCCGTCTTAGTTAACAGATTGAAAAAACATAGTATATATAGGGGTTGGTACTGTCTGTGGCTTCAGGAATCCATTGGGGGTCTTGGACCATATCCTCTGCAACTAAGGGAGAGATCACCTGTACACAGAAAAACCCCCACAGCAAAGAAGTATTCTGCCCAACATGTTAATAGTGCCAAGGTTGAGAAACCATGCTTTAGATGAACAATTATTAAGGGAATTTCACTAAAAGTCAACAAGAAATAGGTACAATTTTCCAGCAGCTGTATAGCCTGTCCCTCAAGCTTAAATAGCGTAAATGTGTAGTCAATCTAATTGGGTTTTTTTTTTTAAGTTTTCTAGTTACACTAAGCAGAGAGAGCCTATATAAATAGAATGGTTCATTTTGAGGAGCTTTGCAAACATTTGCTATGGGTCAATCACTAAAGGTGTTAATATCTAACATTTACTTTCTTAAACTAACCTTTGAGGTAGGTAACTTTTTTCTAGTTTTCCAGATGAAGAAACAGAAACACAGAGAGGTAAAGTAAAATCACACAGCCAGTAAGGGGTAGAGCCAGGATTCCAACCGAAGCAGTTGGACAAGAGTACCTGTATTATTATTAGGATGCCTTGCTGCCTTTAAGGGACCTCTAAAAGTTGCTTCTATTTCTCATTTTGACACTCTTCAAATGACCTTCCCATTCTTGAGTGTTGTGTCCCAGCAGAGGCTTTTTTTGTTTTTTTTTTTTTTTGACAGTCTCGTACTGCACATATCTCCTCCCCTTCATACACAATATCCAGTCTTGATTTCAATAATCCATATCCTTGATGCTAAGGAGCAGGGAGGTGATCAAACTTGCCTTAAAGAAAAACTACAGTACTTGATCTATGACCTCTGAGACAACTAGTTTTAATGAAGATCATCAATCTAACCACTTAGAAATTCTGCAAATGCCCAGCCTGTTTTATGAACCAACGCATTACCCGTGTCCCTTTCTGAGATGGCAGAATAAGTGAATGCCCCTGAGCACTATTCATTCTATCCATAAAGGCCTTTTTGACTACTGATCCCTGATCATGTGCTCTGCTCAGCCTAGGTTTGGAATTACCAACCTCCTAGGATTGAGTTTATCAGGACTTTGCGGAGGTGCTGCTAAGGCACTACCTTTCATGTGCATCCGTCAAGGAGAACTCTGGGAATCCTGATGACTGGCCCATGATTCATGCTGTCAAGAGAAATGACTGAGAAACATACATGAATTAGACACCTTAATTCATCCACAGAATCTGCATGACTTTTGACCCAACTCTGGCACCCGACAGCAAGAGGGCTGTAGGCTTGTGATCTCTTGCCTGTGTGGTAGCTGGCTAAGGTAAAGCTGCTGGAATGGGAAATGGAGAAGCAAACCACTGACCTAAAGGACGTTAAGATGAGAAGCAACTGGGAGACTGCCAACGGACCAGGCTGCCCTGCAGAAAGAGCTTGCACCCTTGCTCTGGTCTCCTCGTTCCTCTCTTCAGCCTCTGGCAGCTCTGCCTCTAGGGTCAAGGGACTCACAGAAGTCCCCAGGGCTTTCATCTGCCAGCTCCCTCCTTTCTCTCCAATTCTTCTCATAGCTCCTTTATCTGCTGCTTATGTTCCCTGCTCCCCAGTGGACTTCTGCTCTGCTCCATCCTAGATGCCTTAGGTTCAATCTGCATCCACCAAGTTACCTGTTTCCTTGGATATTCACTCTTGGAAAGCCTTTCTTGATTACATATGGACATGTGAGAAAGACAGGACCAGGACTGGAGAACATTTTTATTCTAATTATGAACGTATTTGGTTTTATTTATTTTTTTTTTCCTGATCTTGAGTCTGGTTCTTGCTTAAGTACATAATTGATAGAGCTTACCCCTCAAATCATCTTTTATATTTCCCCAGTAATTTAAAGCTAATGATTTCCATCACTTTAACTACAGTAAAATCAAAGTTTTTGACATTAGCAGCTTTGGGAGATCCTCACCAATATTTGGGATTTTGAGGCTAGAGCACTATGAGGGAATTACATATCATCCAGGGCACGTGATCCAATTTACTGGTCTTACATCTCTTACCATTAGAAGAGTCTTGCTTTGTCTTACTTAAATGTACCATCCTCCTGGGCTGTCCATTCCATGAGGAATACAGATGTTCATCACAGCCCTCTCTGGAGACTCTCTCACAGCCCTTTAAAATAGTCCCTATCTCACCCTTCTCATACTGCAGTAAGGGGACCTGGGATGGGGAGTAAAATTCATTACCCCTTCTTATAGATGAGAAAACTAATGCCAAAGGGGAGAAGGGGCTGTATTAGAGTCATGAACTTGAGAGAAAAGGCCAAGAATAGAGCCCAGATGCTCTGATCCCCAAACCATTGTAGCTCCAACAAGAGAGCCTCCATTTTGGAGGCTCCAATGAGAACCTCCATGTTGGTCTCTTGACCATTGTCAAATGTCATTACCTCTCTGCAACCTACCTGCTCTGGTATCTCCATCAGTGAAGCTGGTGTTAGCTAGCAGGTTTAGTTTGAGTCTTTGATTCTAACTACTTGTTACCAGCCCTGCCTACATCCGTCTCTTAACCAAGAGACCAGCTTTCACTCAGCATCTCATGTTGGTTGATTTCTGAGAAGGATGTGGTACTCCTGTCTGAAGCTGCCCTGTATCCTGATTTCCTGCCAGGATGATCAAAATTGATTTCTACCAGGAGGATAATCCAGCCAGGGCTGTTCTGGGGCAGAAGACAGAGTTACCATGGGGCCACTATACTCTTTTTTAAGATTATTGGGGGCCAGGCATGGTGGCTCATGCCTGTAATCCCAGCACTTTGGGAGACAGAGGCAAGTGGATTGCTTGAGGCCAGGAGTTCAATAACAGCCTGGCCAACATGGCAAAATCCCCTCGCTACTAAAAATAGAAAAATTAGCTGGGTGTGGTGGTGCACATCTGTCATCCCAGCTACTCCAGAGGCTGAGGCATGAGAAACACCTGAATCTGGGAGGGGAATGTTGCAGTGAGCCAAGATTGTGCCATTGCACTCCAGCCTGGGCGACAGAGGGAGAATCAATCTCAAAAAAAAAAAAAGAAAGAAAGATTATTTGGTCTTTGGAACTAGTGATCTGCTCAAACAGAGACCCTTAGACTAATAAACTGATGAAGGGTAGAATGTCCGATGCACTTTGTTCCTTCTATGAGCTCCTTAAGGAGAAGAAAAATACATAGAAGTCTATCTGACCCACTGTTCCAGCAACCTGGAGAAGAGGTGTCATCTGCCATGTCAGTTTCTCATCTGGCTGTCATGCTGGGCTTCTTGGAACACTTCTGACCCCAAACAGGACCTAGAACAATGGATGCACATGGAAAGTGCCCAATAAATACTCGTCGACTTTAATGAAAAAGTAGTTTTAGCATTCTACAATATCTCTGTGGGATTCAGAGAACTCTTGCTCTGGTGTAGAGGCTAAAAGACACAGAAAAGGAACTAAAATGAGTTTGGCACTGAGACAGAGTAAAGAAGTGTCTATAGCCTGGCGTGGTGGCACATGCCTGTAGTCCCAGCTACCTGGGAGGCTGAGGCAGGAGAATCGCTTGAACCTGGGAGGCGGAGGTTGCAGTGAGCCGAGATCACGCCACTGCACTCTAGCCTGGGTGACAGTGCAAGACCCTGTCTCAAAAAAAAAAAAAAAAAAAAAGGAAGTGTCTAAACATGAGCTAGAGATCATGTCTTCCTGTAACATCCCAGATTATCCACATGCAGTGACTCAGGAGCTAATGTTGGCAGACAGAAGAGAATGAAAGCTTATTTCTAAGACTCTGAAATCAGTGGAAGTGCTCCATCTCTATGATCCAAGGAACACCCAGGCCTATTTCTGACAAAGAGAAAAAAGGAAATAAAAATTCTTGCTCAGGAAACTAAAAAATTTTTGCAGAACTGAAGAACTTGCTGTTTCATAGCTTTAGCTAAACACGTCTAGCTTGATTATCAAATATTAGAATTGGGAGAAACAAGCACTGATGCAAGTAAAAGAATATTCTGCTGCTGATTTAAAGACAAGTGAATCGCTAAATATTTTTATTAGCAGCAAATTTGCTGCTTGCTGGAACTAATTTCACGCCCTGTAGATATGGTGCTTAAGTTGGAAATGGCGTTAAATTGCTCTCTCCTTGAGGCGGGTAGGATTTCTGGTGGCAGCAGCCACTAGGTGGCACCGACAAGGTAGCTCCTCAAAGATAGGCAGCTTTGGAACCAATGATAGGAAAGTCCAGAGGAAGTCCTGCCTTACATTTCCCTTTCTCCTTCCAAAGAAAAGCCCGTGCTCCAGATAGCAAAATCTTTCAGAAAGGAAGTTGCCTAGAAAGGAACATTACTCCTAAGGGTCTTGAATTTCCCAGTTCAGTCTTTTCTCTAAGTTCGTATAACACTTTCAGTTAGCACGTCCAATTTGGCAATCAGTTAGAATTTATAATTTCTTGCATGTTAGCACTATCTCTTCAACCACACCACAGCTTCTAGAAAGGACAGGTTACATTTTATTGCCAGTACTGGAGCCCAGGTGAGCAAACAGTGTGTATAACTTGCGGGCTGGGGAGCTAGACTAGAAGAACTGAGGCAGAGACAGCAACACAAAGGATGAGACCAGGTTAGATCCAAGGCAGGACAGAATGCAGAGGTCACAGCACAATTGGGCAACTGAAATCAGGTGGGAATTCCAAAGCAGAAGCAAATCCAGGACTGAGGTCAAGGAATTGCCGTGGCTCAGAATCCAGTAAGTGAGCCAAAGTCAGAGGACACGTTAAATAATAAAGGTCAGAGCAAGCTGTGGGTGGACAAATAAATCAAGGGAATGCAGAACCCAGATGCCTAAGGGAAAAATAAAGCCAAGAGGCCAACAGGTCAAAGTGAAAGTCAGGAAAAACATAATAGCAGGGCAAAACACACACAAAAAGTTTGACGTACTCGTTAATCAGATGTTTAGTGGTCAATTCATGCTAGAACCAAAGTGGATTCATTAAGAATAAGTTTTGCTAAATTGAACTTATTTCCTTGTGCAATAGAGTTATGAAGTTGATCAATCTGATTGTGTTATTTACTCTCCTGCTTAAATACTTCTGACTTAGCTAAACCCTTCACCTACAGAATAAAGCCAAAATTCCTTATCATAGCATTCAAGACCCTTCACACACTTTTCAGCTCTTGACACTCATTTCCCTGAACCTGGTCCTTAACTCACACTAGAATATTTGCTATTTCTGAATCATGCCAAAGACATTCACTTTTCTATGCTTTGCTTCTCCTATTTCTCCACTCTGGAATTTCTTCCTATCTCCATTCTCTACTTATCTCACAAAAACCCTATGTATTTTCTTTTCTTTCCCTTTCTTTTTTTTTTTTTTTTTGAGACAGGGTCTCATCCTGTCACCCAGGCTGGAGTGCAGTGGTGTGATCTCAGCTCACTGCAACCTCTGCCTCCTGGGTTCAAGCGATTATCATACTTCAGCCTCTGAGTAGCTGGGATTATAGGCACATGCCACCATACCTGGCTCATTGTTTTGTGTTTTTAGTAGAGACAGGGTTTCACTATGTTTGCCAGGCTGGTCTTGAACTCTTGACCTCAAATGATCCACCTGCCTCCCAAAGTGCTGGGATTACAGTCATGAGCCACCATGCCCGGCCTAAAAAAAACTCTGTATTTTCAAGGCTCAGTCAAATGTCACTTTTTTGTGTGAAGCCCTCCTTTCTCTTTCTGCACAATGAAGAATTAATCTCCTTTTTCTCTAGGTTTTCAATATACTTTGTTTATACTGCTACTGTATAATATAATACATATGAGATGATACATTATCTATTATATTGTATATTTCTATCTATCATCTATATCTATCCCTTTAATGCAAATTAGAGGTAACACATACATTAACTATACCTGTATTAATTTGGATCTGGTGTTTATATGTCTGTCGCCTCTGCTAGATGTCATCTCTTTAAGACAAAACTAATATCTTGGTCATTTTTGTTTCCACAACACCTAACAAAGAACCTAGAAGATAGGAGACCAACCAATATATGTTTATTGATGTGAATGAGAGGAAATACCAAATATGATGTAACTTCATTTAAACAGAATATTTAATAAATCTCTCAGGATTTCAACAGAATGTTTAATAAATCTTCAACATTGTGAATAATGTTGTACAGTGCGTCATTAGGAAAACTGAAGCTGCCTGAACACATACTGGGAGGAGGTCTCCAATGCTACCAAGTTCTATCCAAGGCAGCATTTTTATTAGTGACTTGGATTAAAACATACAAAGAATTTTTATCAGATGTGAAATGAGACATACTGATATCATAGGAAAGAAAAATAAGACTTTAAAGATGAGTCTAACTGCCTCAAATGTTGGGCTCCAACTGACAAGGTAAAATTTAAATAAGTGTAAAGGCCTACATGTAAATTTAAAAAATAAATTGCACATACCAAGTATGGTGGAGATTTGACATGGCAGCAACTAATGTGCAGAAGAGTTAGATGCTTTGGTTAATCAAAAGCTTTAAAAGCAGTGAGATGTGACCAGTAACAATCTAAGGACATTGGAATCACTAATGGTCATAGGCGTCCAGCTCAGAAGAAGCATCGTAGT
Organism: Homo sapiens; assembly: GCF_000001405.40. Taxonomy (NCBI): domain Eukaryota; kingdom Metazoa; phylum Chordata; class Mammalia; order Primates; family Hominidae; genus Homo; species Homo sapiens. Next base: position 125,121,927 of record NC_000011.10, on the reverse strand, counting down.
AGCATCACTGCACTTCCTGCCTTTCAGGGCCGATTTAAAGTATTATGAGCAATTCTACCACAAGATTCTAGAAGATACATTAATAAAGCACAGTTCATCCAGAAAACTGTGACTAGAATGGTAAAGGAGTCTAGAAACCATGAAATAGACAAAGAATGAGGGAGCTCTGTGGAAACCTGGACACTTGAAAAACTGAAAACTAAGGGAAGGTTTGAGAGGCGTCTTCATGTATTTTTAAATGGCCTTTTATGTGTTGCTACAAATGGTAAAACTAGACAGGAAGAGTAGGAATTGTGAGGAGACAGAGTTTGGCTCAGTGTAAGAAAGAACTTTCTAAAATTTCTGGTCATCCAACAGTGAAGTGGGCAGCTTTGGGGGGTTGGGAGCTCCCCAGCCTTGAACATGCTCAAGCAGAGGTCAAAGACTAGATAAGCGATTCAAGGAAAAAGAGGTTTTTTGTTGTTTTGTTTTGTTTTATGAAGCATAAATACCCTCCTTTGTAAAATCTTTCAGTGGCTCAACAGAATCTGCAGGATAGTGTCTAAATTCCTTATCATGTCATTTAAGCTGTTGTGATCCAGATCCCAACGACCTCCTGCCTGATCATCTGCCTCTACTGCCTCCCCTGCTTTCAGCCCCAGTACACCCCATACCAAACACATTCCACGCTGCTTGCCCAGCACCTGTTCTGCCATGCTCTCTCACACCACTCAGTGTTGGCACATGCTATTTCTTGTGCCTGGAACCTTTTCCCACTTGCTCACTTTGGCTAATATGCATTCATCCAGAGAGGCTGTGTCACCTTGGAAATGTCACCTTGGAAGCCATCCCCAAGCCCTCTAGTTTCCTCCTTGTACCTAGGAAGCACCCTCAATTTGCTACCTCTTGGTTTTTCTTGTTTGCGTCACACAGTGGAATGTGAACAATGTGAAGAAAGGGGCTGTGTCTTATCTCCCTATCCCCCATTTCTAGATTCTGCCTGATGGATGGGAGAATGCTCAGCTTTTGAAGTGAATTGCATCAGGCCTTTATTCCTTAGGTCAAAACATGACCAAGGGATCAGGCAGAATCTGGAGTCTACCCAGTGGGCAATGACCTTCAGAAATAGAGGGTGTGGGAAATTTTGACCAGTTGAAGGCATGGCGATCCCTCTCAACCATGTACCACCTAAAGTACTGCACACTGGGCTTCCTTTTTTCTTTAGGGGGTTTGGCTTCATTCTCTTCATTGCTCAAGTCTCCTGCCCTTTGTCACTCCCCTCCTTTCTTCTCCCTGTCCCCTGCTTACATGCTGGCTAATGCCCCTTGACTGTCTCAACCTGGGGGCCTCACTGGCTATGTAATCAAAGCAGTGAGTCCATGTATCATCATTTATTAATTTAAATCACATCTACTGCCTTCAGGGTCTCTGAGTTTTTGTAGCAAACTCATAATGTCAATATTTTCCATTGAGAATTGTTTGGCATGATGCCACAGAGGTTAGCAAAACAGGGTTCTGGGGCAGAAAGTCCCAGAACTGAAATCTTCAAGGCTTCTTCTCTTCCTTATGGACAGTGCCACTCACCAAAAAAAAAAAGAAAAGAAAGAAAAAGTGGAATATTTGTGAGACTACACTCCCAAGCTGGGCCACACCTAGGTATTTGTGAGCTTCTGCAAATATTCTATTCCTAATCCGGATTTAGCTCTTAGATCTCCATCCCAATTATTTGGCCTTTCAGTCCTAGAATACAGCACTGATCTGTAAAAAAGCTTTTCAATTTGAGCAGCTGAGAGCTCAAATAAGATTTGTCCCCATATTTTAAAATCTCTCAGTTCTGAGTCTGGCCATGTCCTCTTACTCACAACTCAAGAACAGTGGTCACACTACTCACAGCTTCAGCTTGACCTTGTTCTGAAATACCTTTCTGTGGGATAGAACAGATAGACAGTGGTCATTGGTGTGAACCCACCTGAATGGGAATACTTTCCAGCTGCACAGTGAACTTCAAATTTCATAAGGAAGTGCGGGCTCAGCCTTGTCACGGGCTGTAACGATGCCTCAAGACATCTGCTGATACAGGAACCCTGTGGTTCTTCTAATACTCTTACACTTTCCCATAAAGTATCATGAGTTTCCTAACCCCCACCACCAAATGTTTCTCTACAGGCTCCAGCCGAGTTTGCAATATAGATCCCCCTAACTGTTGCCTGGTATTTTGCCTCTGAGGCATAGGTCCTCTCCTTTGCAAGAGCCAAAGGGATCAGAACCCACAGAATCTTCCTCTGGCCAGCCAGTTGATATCTGCTCCCTAGAAAAGATGCTCAGATGGTAAACCCAGCGGCTGGGCAGGGCCAATGGGGACAGATTCTCTCTTTTGATGTTTGATGGCTTTATATCCTCCTCCTATTGTATATAACAAAGGGACATTAACCCCAGATTATCATCACCCTTGGCACTCTCCAGGAAAGGATGTCATTTTACAGATAACAGAGAAATCCTGCCTGCCCTCCAGAGAACTGAAATGAGCCTTCCCATTCCACATGGTGGGGAGGAATCATCCAAGGGCTTGGTATTGTGGGAATTAGGCCCCCCTGACCATAGACTGCATTAACTGTTATTGGGCTTTACATTTTCTTTTTGGTTTTTGGTAAGTCTGATCTTGTCACACCATTGCTCAAAACTCCTTCAACTTCCCATCTTACTCAGAAGAAAGTTCAAGCTCCCTCAGTGGCCCACAGGGCCCTCTATGGAGATCCTCCCCCAACTTTGCAGTTCTTGGAGTACACCCAGTGCCTGCCTGTCTCAGGGCCTCTTATGCCTGCTCAACCCTTAGGTCTTCCCCCAATAGCTACGAGCTCACTCACTTCCTTCAGGTCACTGCTAAGATGTCACCTTATCAGAGAGGTCTGCCTTGACCACCTTATGTAAAATGGTGCCCTCTCACCCTACATGCCCCTTCATCACTCTTTGTTCTTTTTCCTCACTTTACTTCTTCATAGCACTGAAAACCAGCAGATAGCTGACACATTTATTTGTTGATTATCTGGCTTCTCCCACTAGAATGTGAGTTCCATGAGAGCAGGACTTGGTTTTGTTCATTCTTTATCCCCATTTTCCAGAACAATTCAAAGCACACAGTAACACTTAATAAATATTTGTCAAATGAATGGACACACAATGAATGAAGGGCCTTCCTCTTATGCATCCATACTAATGCACATACTGTTACTTGCCTGGTGCCTGGCCAAGAAATATGGCCCACTGACCTCCATTATGCTGTCAGGAAAACAGAGGACTAAAAATTGAACCTAAAATTCACATAAAGTAGCTACTCTCCCATTTACCAGAACTCCAGCTTTTCAAATGATGCCAAGCTTAAAGTTCAGCTCCCTCTCTGTCCATCAGTCTTTTCCTACTCTTTAGCTTAAGAAACAGACCTTAGGGCCGGGTGCATTGGCTTGCGCCTGTAATCCCAGCACTTTGGGAGGCCGAGGTGGGTGGAACACCTGAGGTCAGGAGTTCGAGAACAGCCTGGCCAACATGGTAAAACCCCGTCTCTACTAAAAATACAAAAATTAGCCAGGCATGGTGGTGCGTGCCTGTAATCCCAGCTACTTGGGAGGCTGAGGCAGGAGAATGTCTTAAACCCAGGAGGCACAGGTTGCAGTGAGCTGAGATCATGCCACTGCACTCCAGCCTGGGTCACAGAGCAAGACTCCATCTCAAAATAAATAAATAAATAAATAAATAAATAAATAAATAAATAAAAGAAAAAAAGAAATAGACCTTAGAACTCTTTCCCACAGTGAGACACCTTCTCAGCTACACAATAAGCCAAATGAACCCAATCCTCTGGCCGCTGAGCACCCTAAAACATGTAATTCGGCACTTCATAATGTTAAGGCAAACCAAGCTCCTCGTCTGAAACAGCCCTTTCAGAGAATAGACAAAATATCTGGCACTCAGATGTTGAGCCAAAAGGTTGAATTTTCTCTGAAAACCATTCTGATTTCTCTGAAAACCATTCAAGAACTGGCAAGTAATTCAGAAATTAAAAGTCTGTTACTTGTCTTATCCATCTCTGAGTCCCACCAAAGAGAGAATCCTCCCCCTTCTCCAACACCAGAGGGGGGCAAAGGCTTTTCAGAAAGTACAATACTGCATTAAAACTGAAGGAAGCTTTCCAGGTTTGCTTTCCGTTCTATTGTCTTATTCTGTCAGCTCCCACATCTCCCAAAATCCAGGCTTAATAATTTACAGCGGAAAGACATTTAATAAATAAGCGGCAAGATTGGAGCTGTCAGCTCCACACAATGGGGTTGTTTGCATCTTCCTGCTTGGCATCAGCTCCTGCTCTCCCGCTTGCTTCAATGAAACAATCCCATTTGCTATTTTCATAAAATTAGTTCCTCTACAGTTTCTATTAATCAGAACCTTCTTTGGAAAGAATTATACTGAGATTTCATCACCATCTGAGTTCAATCATTCTGTGAATCTGATGAATTTTTATCATCTCTATATGTGGCAGAAAAGGTAAGGCTTGGAAGGGCTGATGTAAGTGGGTGGAGAGCTCTCCCCTCATATTGGGTGAGGTCCAACAGTCCTGGGAACCTGGATCGATCTCCACCACCACACATCTGGGCGGTTTTCTCCTCAAAATATATCTCCTTTACATCTATAGTTTCAAATCTTATTTGGGTCATGGACTCTTTTACAGATCTTATGTAAGCTATGAATACTCTCCCTGGAAAAGCCCATATATGCTCATGTACACTACACACACAATTTAGGACACTCCCTCTCCTCTCCACATATATGGCCCATTGTGGATTCCAGCGTCAAAACTAGGTGCTCTCTGTTTTTGTAACCATCCTCACTTCCTTTAAGAACTTTAGGCTGGAATAGAAATTCAGTCACCTCCAAAATCCTTTATAGAAGGAGAAAGAGAAAAAATTTTTGAAAGAGAGAAAGAGCATAAAAGTGAGAAAGTTTCTTTATGATGGCCATATACTTTCTGAGAAGTAAGAAAAATGGAAAACAGAAGGCAGTTCAAATGGGCTGAAATAAATAATGAAAGCCCAAGGATTCATAAATTGATGCATGCCGCACTGCAGTTGTGGAATGAGACATGAGATCAAAACTTGGAAAAATTTTGATGAATTCTCCTTGCTTCCAGCCTATGTAACACCTATCCCATCATAAGATAAACTCTACATGAGGAAAAACGCAGTCTGGAGGAAAAAAAACTGGGACCAGGGTAACTGGGGTTCTAGTATTAATACCACCTCCGTCTACTGACTACGTGGTTTTAGGCAAGAGGTAACATAGCTCTATCAGTGTGAGATCTTTAAATTAACACTAAATGATTTCCAAAGTTTGTTTCAATTCCAACAGTTTATCAGACATGATTCATTAGGAATCTCTAAGGTAGTAAGAATTAAAACCTTTACTTAAAGGGCCTAATAGTAAATATTTTAGGCTATGGGCCATATAGTCTTTGTGGTAACTACTCAATTCTGCTGTTATAAAGCAAAAGGAGACATAAACAACACATAAACAAATGAGCATGCCTGGGTTCCAGTCAAATTTTACTTATGGAAATCAAAATTTAAATTTGATATCATTTTCATATGTCACAAAGTGTTTTTCTTCTTTTGTTTTTTTTCAGGCATTTAAAAAGGTAAATATCATTCTTAGCTTGCAGAATGTACAAGCTAAGATTAAGCCCACAGGCCATATAGTTTGGCAACCATTGGTCTATAACATCAGATGAATATTATGATCCAGAAAATCATGGTGATAATTCTGGGTGGCCTTGGAAGGTCAGTAATTTGGCTTCAACTACTGACAACAGTCGTTGAAGATATTTTTGTTTACTTGGTTTCTGAATTAGCAAAATTGAGAATTAGCAAAATTAGTAGTTTTTGAGCCTCAGCCAATGACCAACAATTACTTCAGTTTTTGCTATATTTTCAGACCTGTAGAAATGCTAATGTAATCACACAAGAGATTGTGTACAAAAAATTCAGGGCTCACTGGCAGAAAAAGTTTTGATAACTATAAAATGAGCAAGAAAACTTTATATCTTCTCTTGAAATCACTCCATGCCCTTGCTAACCTAGTGGCCTCTTCGTACTCTTCCCCTCTACTAGGCAGCATAACGAGTGATTTTACACATTTGAGGAGGAAATGAAACACTGGTTTTTGTCATTATTGCTTTGAATTTTGTTTGTCTATGACAGAAGAAAATAAGTTAACAAAATGGCATGCATTCATATATGGCACCTATGTGCATTATACAAGTATAGTATGAGGAATACATACACAGTAGAGATGTGGAGCAATGCGTAGAGGTGCTGTATAACATGGCATGGGGAAGACTTTTTTTTTTTTTTTTTTCAGATGGAGTTTCACTCTGTTGCCCAGGCTAGAGTGCAGTGGCGCCATCGTGGCTCACTGCAACCTCCGCTTCCTGGGTTCAAGAGATTCTCCTGCCTCGGCCTCCCCAGTAGCTGGGAATACAGGTGTGCACCACCACATCTGGCTAATTTTTGTATTTTTAGTAGAGACGGGGTTTCACCATGTTGGCCAGGCTGGTCTCAAACTCCTGACCTCAGGTGATCCCGCCTCGGCCTCCCAAAGTGCTGGGATTACAGGCGTGAGCCACCATGCCCGGCCAGGGAAGGCAATTTTTTAAAAGAGAAAAATTAGATGATCAAATAATCAGTCTTTTTTAGAGTGAGGGACACAGTTTTGATTCTGAGACAGCAAAGATGAAGCACTATGATGACGGCACTTCTCTCAATCTCATTGAGAGGATATGATATCATTTAATCAGAAAACTATTAATAACACCCTGCTCCTAGTTAAGGGGTGCATTTGGGGAGTACTTGGGAGGTGGATCCCCTCTTAAGAGAGAGAAAACCTAATAATGTTATATCCATTCAGGAAGACGTAAAAAACTTTGGAGTACTTCCTCATTCATGTCCGTTCTTTTACTTACCAATTTATTTTTGACATCCAATGACTTCTGAACTTTTTATTGGCTTCCTGCTCCCCAAAGTGTACCCTGCTTCTGCTGGCTCAGCGCCTCAGAACTTTGGTGTTGTTGATCTCAGACACCACTTTGTCATCCGCTATCCTGGACAGTCTTTTGGATGGTTTGCATAGAGTTGCTGTTGTCCAGGGCATCGCCACAATTGAAGTCCTCCCCATCTTCCAGCAGGCGGCAGTAGTAGTAGTAGCGGCAATCTCAGCCTCCCGCTTGACCTTGATGTTCAGCAGGGCCTCATACTTCTGGGCCTGGTGCTGCCCTTCTGCCTGGGCCTGTGCCAGCTCTGAATCTAGGTGCAGCACGGCCCCACTGAGCTGCTCCATTTGCATGGCATAGCGGGCCTCCACCCACCTCAGGCTGTTCTCCAGGCTGGCCTTCAGATTTCTCATTGAGTCTAGGTTGATCTCTTAGGACTGAACTATACATCTCAGCTCCATGAATGTTGTCTCAGCAGCTCCTATTTTGGTGGACTGCGTGGTGACCACTGTGGTGTGTTCCTCAGTCTTCTGGGACCAGTACTTGTCCAGCTCTTCTCAGTTCTTCTGGGCCAGCTCATCATACTGGGCCGGGAGGTCTGCCATGATGTTGCTGAGGTCCTGAGATTTGGGGGCATTTACCTCCATGGTCAACTCAGAGCTGGCAATCAGGGCTTGTAGACCTTTTACTTCCTTCTCTTGGTTCTTCTTCATGAAGAGCAGCTCCTCCTTGAGAGCCTCCATCTCTGTCTCCAGCTGTAGCCGAGTGACATTGGTGTCATCAGTGACCTTGTGGAGCCCACGGACGTTGCTCTCCACAGACAGGCACATGACCAGCTCCGTCTTATACTTGACTCTAAAGTCATCAGCAGCAAGACGGGCATTGTCAATCTGTAGAACAACACAAGCATTGTCCACAGAATTTGCAAAGATATGAGCCCTCAAGTCCTTGATGGTCATGAAGTAATGCCCCCAGGCTCTGACCTGGGGTCTCTTCTTCTCCAAGTGCTCTCAGATTTTGCTCACCAGCCTCTGACTCTTGGTCACCAGAGTCCTCACTCTGTCCAGGTAGGAAATCCAGGCAATCATTCAGGCCTTGCATGGTATCCTTCTCATTCTGGATGTACCCCATTCCTTCCAGACCCCTGGCATCCCTGCAGCCAGGCCTCCAGACCCCCAGCCACTCCAGAAGCTGGTGGAGAAGGACACTGAGGTCCGGGAGCCCAAGCCCCTGAGGACTGCATAGACTTTGGCTGTGCTGCTGATGAACTGGACGCTGTGGCTGTGTGGCTGGATGGAATGCAGGGACTGGTAGTTGGTGGAGGTGGTAAAGCAAATGGTGAAGCTCATGCTGCCTAAGGAGAAAAGCGAGAGGACAGGACTCAAGTTCTGTTGAGCCATGCCCATTTTTAATTTATAGCTTAACTGAAGCCAGTATGATCATTAGAAGTGTAAGGAAGTTAACTTTTCCAATCTCAAACTTTGAACTTTTGACCACTTTCCTCCAAAATATTAAGGTCTCAGAGCCAGTTCTGACCAGCTTGTCTACACATTACTTTCCATCATTTGTCTCCATATTATTCTCCAGATACTCAGTGCTCATTCTTGCCTTGGCCTCTTTGCTCAAACTACTTTCTCCTCCTGGATTCTGTTCCACCTTTCCTGTTCCTACTCATATGCTAGGACCCAGCATTAGTTCTAGCTCTATGATAAAGACACACACATTAATTCCAGCCATAACAAAATATCCCCCAAATAATACAAGGGAAGAAGTGCTCTGGAAACTACGAAATGTTCTGCAAATATGAAGTATTATTATATTTTGGAGAAATTAATTGTACAATAGGGTTGGCCCATTGTTATATCTTGCTTTAAAGTGTTTCCTACTTGTTTCATGTGTTGTTGACCTAACATTACAAAACCACGGGCTATTAAGATGGGAGTCACATCTCATTTCTTGTATATCTTCGCAGTTCCTAACAGAACATAGCTGCAGTCAACACTCAGTTCCAGTGAAATGAATTCATCAAAATAAAGGATTTCTTAGCCACAGAGCTTCTCACTGGGCCAAGTAATGTTAAGTTGCTAAACGCACAACAAATCATTGGTTACTTTATGTGATTGTAAATGAAGCCTCGAAAGTTGAATAAATTTGAGACGTGCAGTTGATGAAATTCAAGCATCTTCTTCTTTTTGGTTCATAAAGCTGTGATTCAGGAGAATTCCTTAAATCAGAGATTCAGTGCTCTAAGATTGAATAGGTTGCTTCATGATATTTCTTAAAATTTTGTTTAAGGTCAAAGGTTCAAACGGTGCAGCTCTCCAATTTGGTATTGATTATTGTTTGTTTCCCCTTCTTGATTCAGTGGTGGAGCACGCAGCCTCTGTCCTACTTCCTTTGGTTGTCCTGATTGATGCATCTTTTGGTCTAACAGGCCATAGCCTCAAAGCAAAGTCATGGCAAGCTTTAGTTGGCAGTTAGGTAACAGCAGTCTGCCAATAGCGTGGGCCAGCTCCAGTTCCAGCAGCCTGGCGGCAGAGGGTTTACTTGATGGACCCTGGGCCTCTTCCCCAGTCTGTCCCGTGGGTAGAATGATCTTTGCCTTTGTCTGTTTCGCAAGGCTAATGGAAGAATTAAATACCAAATAAAACAAGTCGAGATAAAGATAAATGAAGCGTGCCGTTATTACAACTGGTGCTTCGTCCTCAGTTCCCTCCAGGAGGGTTGTTGGGGACACTTAATGACCGGGCCTGAGCTGACTTGTCCACCACATCTTGCGCCCCACTCGAGCTAGTGGGTTGGGGATTGAGATGTTCATCAGGCCCCGGAAAAGGCATTGATGTCTAGATGACTGTGCAGTTCTCTGGAGTTCGAGATCTGAGCTGCCTGGCCCTGCTGCTTCGCTGCCTGGATGGGCAATCTCTATGGTGACAGCGAGTGAGGCCGGAAGAAGTCTCTCTCTTCCGCCCAACAACCCGCCCTCAGGCTAGACTGACCAATGGCCCAATGAGTTACGGAGAGATGGTGTGATTGACAGTGGAGTGGCGGGGGGGCGGGGAGTGCAGCTCGGACCGCTGCTACCCAACCGAACTGAGGTCGGTCCAAAGGCTGACAGGCACCGACCAATCGGAGGGCGTAACGAAGGGTGACGAGCCAACCCACCGCGCTCGGCGTTGCCGGGAGCCGCGCTAGGCGTAAGCTAATGAGGAAGAAGTTGGCCGTTGAAAGAGCAACGCTGATTAGTGAATCTTAAATCACCTAAATGAAAGCCCACTTGTGATTCGCCCTAAGTAAACCAGAGCCCCGTGGGCTGGAACGCGCCGGAATCTGAGGTGTGAGTAGAGCCTGGGGGAGAGTGGATCCAGGTGAAGGGGGCAGAGGTGAGGAAAGCGGGGCGGCTGCGGGGAAGGGAGAAAAGTGGAGGGTCGGGCTGAGGTGGTTGGAAGAAGGCGTGGGCGGACGGCGGTGCACGGACCTCGCAGACCACCCTTACCGCTGATCTGGACCCAAGGCCCGGCTAATAAATACTTAATTGGAGGCAGAGAAGGAAGGACTGTTTTGTTTCATGCTCTTAAGAAAAGGAAGTGTCAGTGCCTGATTCAGATCTCTTATGACCGAGACCTTAATCCCTCTCTAGCTCCTGGGAGGTGGCCAGGTGCACATTCTGAAGACGAGACATGGGGGGCATTGTTTTCCTGTCGCCAGTTTGAATCTGCAACAGGGTTGGGGAGAAGCTTAGAGTTCAAGTGGGGTGTTCCCAGGCTGCAGTGCTGTGAGATCCAGAGAGCGGATAGACCGAGGCTCTGCAGCGCTTCCAACCCACAACACCGTCCAGGAGAGGGATGCAAGGAAGAGACCTAGGTTTACTGATCCTCCTTTTTCTATCAACGTGTTAAGAGCAGATGCTACATCGGTGGCATTTTGGGAGCTTGGCAACTGATTTTTTCCCCAGGCTTGCATTTTATCTAATTACAAAGGTAGAGGCGTTATTCTAATATTTTAAAATTCAAAAGATAGTGAAGTGTTTAAAGTAGAAACATAAAAGTGTGAAAGTAACCCCCCCCCCCCGTTATTTTTGAAGGTTTGGAAAACAGCTATAAAGCAAAGTGAAAAGGACTCTTCCAGAGGAGCACTTCACTCCTTGTAACCCACTGTTTTCTGTTGCTTTCAAGGGCTTGAGTCAGTGTGAAAATCGGGGGATGGGTGAGATATCTCCCTCCAGCAGCAGCACTTAGGCCACATTACCCTCTGAGGAATCCACATTTGTCTTAGATAGTAAGTCATCTTATAAGTCATCTTATAATGGCAGTTAGTATTCTCGCTCATGATGATCAACCTGGTGATGAGTACCGTATTTTTAATCCATTAGGTTACCTGTGCAGGGATCAGTCCATTTATTCCTATTTTCTCTGACAGCTGGATGAAAGGGTATGTAGAAACAACCATTAAATGAACACACACATCTAAAAGGTTTTGAACAAACTCTCTCAGAGAAAAACCTCACAGCATTGAGCACAGAAGGAAAACATTAGCCCTGTAGTTGCTTTTGTTGTCAGCTGCTGAACTGTTCAAATTTAAATTATTTTTTTTCACTCCAGTCTACCTGCTTTAAATGCCACAGATATTAAGTAAATGGACTTACCCTTGAAATCGGGTTGGCCAAGCCATCACTTCTCAAAGAAGGTTTAATGATGGCATGAACCCGTTTTTATATTTTATTGTATTGTACTCAATAACAATAATTTAGCTATTCTAATATGGGAAATTATCACAGATATTATTCTCACATTTAAATAAGATAAAAATGACTAGATGTTCTCTCTTCCTCTATAGCAGCACTCTATACTATACCCAGCCCTTCTTTTCTATGCTTAGTAAGAAAATGTATAGTTTGCTTATAAAATTATGAGCTCCATTCTTAAAAGAGCTTGGGAATATTTATCTTATTACTTTAAAGCCATACCATATATAAATCCAATGTCTCACGAACTCTTAAGCTACTAAGGGGGATTGAAGGGCAACATTTCTAATGGCGCCAGCCAGCTTCAACTACCATTTGCCCTCTATTCTAACTGTTAGAGTTGGTCCAAGTCTTCTGGGTTATTTGTGTAATATCCAGAATAGCACAAATTAAATTTAAATAGTTGTTTTCTTAAGAGCAGTACCATCAGCTCAGTCAACTAAGCTAGAAACTTGTGTCATTTCTAACACCTTCTCCCTTGACACAGCTAAGACTGGAGGTCAGACCCTCATCATCTCTTATCTGGAGAATTGCAATAGTTTCCTAACTGGTCACCCAATTCATATGCATCCTGCTGCCCATTACCTTTTTAAAAATTAAAAATTATCACGAAAAATTTAAAAACAGAAAATAGTACATTGGGTAGTATAATATCTATGTTCCACCAATCAGATTAATAAATATTAACATTTTGGCACACCAGCTCAAGTTTTTTATTTTAAAGAAATAAAACATCACAGATTTAGTTCAGATCCCTTTTATTTCCACTCCTAACCCCATTCCCTTTCCTTCCTCCCTCTGCAGAGGCAAATAGTCTTTTGAAATTGTCATGTATTGTTTATGCCCATGTTTTTATACTTTTGCTGTATATACGTTCGTCAGAAACAATATATATTACTGTTTAGATTGTATTTAATTTTAAAAATACAAGTAGTATCATACTGTGGGTTCCATTTTGCAACTTGTTTTTGTCACTCAACATTGTTTTTGAGATATATTCACATCAATACATATAGATCAATTTCATTCATTTTAAGTATTCATTATGAATATATAATATTGTATCTGTTCCCTGATTGATGGACATTTAGGTTTTTTCCTGATGTTTTGCTATTGTAAACAAAGCTGCAATAAACACCTTGTACATGTCTCTTTATGCAAGACTGTGTCTAGAACAGTGGTTCCCCAAGAAGATGTTGCTGCCCGTTTTAGGGTGTTTTGGAATTTGTGAAGATGTATTTTGTTATTCTTTGATTGGAGGCACTACTGGGGTTTACAGATCAGGACTGCGGATACTGGATGTTCTGTAATGTATGGGACAGTCCTCACAACGAAGAATTGTCCTGCATCCTGTGCAAATTTTGAGTATCCCACAGGATACTCATTTATAATTATCTGAGTGTAGAGCCTAACTCCGGTTTTTGTATAAACATAATGTATTTTTTGGCACAGTTTAATATAGTAAAATTTCCAGGAATGCAACTCTAATGTAAATCAGAGGAAAATTATACTTATTTGTGGTTTGGAACTTTAACAAGAGTTGTTCATCACTCTAGCAAATCACATAACTGAAGGCAGCACAGCTCGTGGTATTTGAGTTGCCAGAACAACACACCTGCATAGTCTGCATTTGAAGCTTTTGCATTCATGGTGATTCTAAGTTTAGGTGCAAGCATCTGACTACTGTACTTCATTATGTATTCTAGTGTAGTCAGCCTGAACATTTGTATATTTAAACATATGCTATTTCATTACGAATTACTTTCCATTTAAAATCAACTTCTGTATATCATATAGAGATCTAGTTTTATTCTTTTCCTATTGGAGAATCATTTGTCCCAACACTATCTATGAAGTTCTTTACCCATTGAATCATAAAGCCAACTCTGTGCTGTAGGAAGTTCTCACAAATGCATGGATCTGTTTCTGGGTTCTTGATTTTATACCACTGGGCCATGTGTCTTTGTGCCACTATCACACTGTTTTAATTACTTTGGTTTTTCAATGTGTCTTGCGGCAGTTGGTAACAAGAAAGGCAAGTTGCCATCCTAGTTCTCAAAATTGTTTTGGCTATTCTTGGGTTTTTGCTCTTCCATATGAATTTAGGATCCGTTTTCAAGTTCCACAAAAAATTGTTTTTAGACTTTGGTTAGGATTGCATTGAATTTATAGGTTAAGGAAAATTGAGATTTTTTTAATTGAACCATCCCATCCGGGAACACAGGTTATTTCTCTGTTCAGGTCTGCTTTATTTCTTTATTCAGGTCCTCTCTCTCTCTTTTTTTTTTTTTTGTCTTTGATAAAGTTTTATAATTTTAGCTATACAAATCTTACTCATCTTTTATATTCATATTTATGCAGATATATATATATATATACACACATATCCACATCTTTTTATTATGAAAGTTTAAAATATATTCAGAAATATAGAAAATAGGCTAGCAAACATCTACACACTCATCACCCAGCTTCAACAACTAGCTCATGACCAGTCTTGTTTCATGTCAGCCCCTTCACCTCCTCTCACTGAGGTAATAGAAAGCTCCTAGAAACCCTTTTCTGTTATCTGTAATGTGCTACGTGTGTATGCATATATCTTTATCATAAATAATCTTTTAACAATATAATAATATCATCTTTTTAATAGTGTTTTTTCACTGAAAATACAAACAGTAATTTCATAATATTATCAAATATCTGAATATTCTTCAGATTTCCCCAATCATTTCATAAAAGGTTTTTGCAATGCTTCGTTCGAATCAGGACCAAATAAGGGTCCATATACTACACATGGCTGATACATCTCTTAATATTCTTTCTGTAAACATTTTAGTGAAGGGTAATACACATACAGAAAAGTATATAAATCCTAAGTGCATGGTTAGATACAACATCACCGTATGAACAAACCCAGGTGAACAAAACCCAGATCAAGAAACAGAATTTTATCAGCATCTCCCTGAACCTCCTACAGTCACTATGTTTCACAAGCCAACCATACGCCTGACCTCCAGCCCCTAAAATTAGTTTGACCTGTTTTGAACATTATATAAATGGACTCATATACTATGAACTCTTTAGCCTCTAGCTTTTTTCATTTAATATTTGTGAAATTCATCCACATTGTTGAGTATAGTTGTAGTGTGTTCTTTCTCATTGCTTTATACTATTCTCATTGCTTTATACTACATAATGCTTTATATACTGTATGAATGAATAGATTGTAGAGTACTATATCCACTCTATTGGCAGATATTTGGATTGTTTAAGGTTTTAGCTATTTCAGGTAGGGCTGCAATGTCTTTTTTTTGAATTTAGGTGTGCGTTTCTGTTGGGAATACACCTAAGAATAGAAGAGCTGGATGTAGGATGCATTTATATTTAGCTTTATTAGATACTGCCAATAGTCTCCAAAGCAGTGGTTAACAAATTATGGCCCTTGCCAGCCGTATATGAGGGTTCCAGTTACTCCACATCTTTGTCAACACTTGCTGTTGTCTGTTGTTTTCATGTTAGCCATTCTGGTGGGTATATGAAGGCACTGAATTTGGTTTTAATTTGCAATTTCCGGATGACTAATGAAGTTGAGCACCTTTTTACATATTTATTCTCATTCAGGTATCCTCTTTCTCAAGTGTTTATTCTTTTTTTATCTGCTTGATCTATCAGTTTCTGAGACATATATTAAAATCTCCTGCTAAATTAGTGGTTTTATACATTTATTGTAGTACTTCTGTCAGTTTTGGCTTTATATATTTGGAGGTTTTGTTGTTAGGTTCACATTTGTTTCAGGTTGTATCTTTTTACTGAATGGTTCCTTTTGTCACTGTTCTTAATATTTTTCAGAGCTTTACATCTGTTTTGCGTGGTACTAATATTGCTTCATAGCTTATATTTTATTTTGTTTCACTTGGTTTTTTTTCAACTGTGGCTTATAAAAAAACAAAAACAAAAACAAAAAAACAGAATTTCCTGTCTTAACCATTTTTAAGAGTGCAGATCAGCAGTGTTAAGTATATTCACAGTGTTGTGAAACAGAGCTCCAAGATGCTTTCATCTTGCAAAACTGAAACTCTATACTCATTCACCATCTCCCTATTCCCTCCTTCCCTGGTTTTTGTCTTGTTAATATTTGCTTTGCATGTCTTTCTCAATCTCTTTATTTTCAGCCTCTCATTATACTTTCTGTAGAGCTTTTGTACACAGCTATTTTTAAAAAGAAAAATCTAAGAGAATTTCTTTTAGTAGTCAAATATAATGTTTCCATGTACTATGATTACTGTTGTATTTGGGTTTATTTTTACAATCTTATTTTGTATTTTCCATTTTCCTTGCGTATTCTTTGTTCTGCCACCCACCTCACACCCACTGACCCTTGCCCCACTTTCTGTTTTCTTTATTTTTTTTTCACTTTACTAGTATAGAAGCTATTTTTTCTATTTCTGTTGCTTGCTGTTTACCTGTATGTTTTTTTAACTTGTGTACTTAGCTTAAAAAACATATACCTCCTCCAAAACAAAATCACTGTAGAATGCTTTAACTTTGAACTATCCTTTTCCATCTACCATATAACTGTTGAGTAATATTTAGTCCTTTCTGATTTTTAACCCCTCAAAAATTGTCATTATTACAGAAATCTTTACTGTCAATATTTCTTAATAATTTTCTCACCATGCTTCCTGTATCTCATACCTCCTTTCTTGGTTCATTTTCCTTCTTGCTGAAGTATGTCTCTGAGTAGCCCTTTCACTGAGGATCCTTGAGAGGTGTACTACATTTCACCCTTTGTATGTCTGAAAACATCTTTGTTTTACACTTACTCTTGAGGGAGTCTTGCATGCCAGCCTGTGGGTTTAGTTTTGTCTCTGCTGGGATCCAATGGGTTCTCACTTTTAGTCTAGTTTTCATGTTAATCTTTCTATTTGGGATTCCCATATCACATCGGTAGTATTGAATCTCACACATGGATATGATGTGAGGTGGGGATTCAGATTTCTCTTGGGCTGTTGTTTTTTGACCTGTGGCCTGAAGCACTCAGCCAGCTTCCTTCCAACTAAGTCAGTAGCAAATTATTTAGACCCTATTTCAAAAACTGGTCAATCCTGTGAGGGCCCAGCTTTCTGCATTGTTCTCATTGCTAGTTCTTTGCCATCGTGGGCTTGAGACCTTATCTGCCCTGAAGAGAATCACCCTGAAGGTCTGTATCAGGCACCAGGACCCTCGTAGACTTTTAGGCTCAGCTCAGGCCTTGAGTTACATTTTTTTATAGCACTTAATGATTTTTCTTTATTGCTTTCGAGCTCTGCTGTGTACTAAATTCTTCTTGTTCTATTTTATTGAACATTTATGTGTTTGCTGTTGTATGAGGCACTTCCCTTGTTAACTTCCATCCAGCATATTGACCAGAGGTTACAGTCATCTTTCTAAAACTCCATATGATCCTTTCACTCCCTCACCTGATGTTTGTGGACTTGTTAGCACTGTGTCATTTATTCCTCCCACAGATACTTGTTGTGCATAATCTCTGTGCTAAGAACTGGGGTTACCACAGTGAGAAAGATATCAGGTCTCTGCCTTCGTGGAGTTTACTATTCTAGTTGGACAGACAGAAAATAAACTTGTAAACAAATAAATGAAAATATTAACTAGTTTTGTGAAAAATGCTCTGAAGGAAATAGAGTGATGGAGAGTCAGTGTTTGAGGGGTTACTTTAGAGAAGACACTCGGGGAAGACCTCACTGAAGAGTGACATTTAAGCAGAAATCAGAAGGCTGAGGAAAGCCAGTCCTACAAATAGTAGCAGGAGTGCTTGGGGTTGAGGGCTAGTTCCAGGCAGTGGAAACAGCAAGTACAAAGACCCAGAGATGGGGAAACCCCGGGCGTGTTAGAGTGACCGAGATGGCGCCCATGTGGCCCTAATGAGGGCAGACTGCTCCCCAGAGAAGTTAGGCATGCAGGTGGGCCCCAGGTCCCATCTCCCCTCACTCTGTCATCTTTTCACTCTGATTCTTTCCTAAATGTGCCTGTGCAGAGTATTTCCTTTGTAAAGCCCCTCTCACTATTGCAGTTCCCACTGCACTTCGCTTTTACCATTAATCAGAATGTAATATGGACACTTGTTTTCAGGACAATGTTCTCCAATAGACCTTGAGCTTCTGTCAGAAGATATCTTATTCACCTTTGGCATCCCCAGCTTGTAGCGCAGTGCTTTACATGGTGGGAACATCATAAATGTTGATTCAATAAACGTATTTTTTTTACCAGTTCATGCTTAGACCCTCCTTTCCAATAACTTTATAACTTCTCATAGCTAATATTTTCGTGGTATTTAAACCATAAGGGTAAAGAAAACCAGCAACCTAGAGGAATGTGTTTGCTTAAGACTTGTCTCCAATGCTGAAAAGGAAAACCAGGAGAGGTAGTGTGGTGTGCTGTTCCTCTGCTGTGAGTTGAATGGTGGTCCCCAAAAATATATGTCCGCATCCTCACCCCTGGAATCTGTGACCATGACCTTGTTTGACAAAAGGGTCTTTGCAGATTTAATTAAGTTAAGCATCTCAAGATAATACTAGATTATTTGTACAGACCCTAAATCCAATGACAAGTACCGTTATAAGAGACAGAAAATGTGAAGACAGACACAGGAGAATGCCATGGGAAGATGGAGGCAGAGACTGGAGTTGTGAGTTAAAAGCCAGTGAATGGTGCCTGGAGCTACCAGAAGATGGAAGAGGCAGGGAAAGATTCTCCCCTAGAGCACTGATCCCCAATCTTTTTGGTACCAGGGACTGGTTTCATGGAAGACAGTTTTTCCACAGGGGGATGCAGGGGGGTGGTTTCCGGATGAAACTGTTCCACCTCAGATCTTCAGGCATTAGATTCTCATAAGGAGCCTGCAACCTAGATGCTTCGCACGTGCAGTCCACACTAGGGTTCGTGCTCCTGTGAGAACCTAATGCCGCTGCCACTGATAGGACAGGAGGCGAAGCTCAGGTGGTAAGGCTGGCTTGCCTGCTGCTCACCTCCTCCTGTGCGGCCCAGTTCCTAAAAGGCCATGGACCAGTACCAGTCCATGGCCCAGGGGTTGGGGACCCCTGCCCTAGAGCCTTTGGAGGGAGCACAGCCCTGCTGACACCTTTATTTTGGATTGCTGGCCTGTGAGAAAATAAATTTCTATTTTGAGCTGCTAATTAGGAAACTAATAGATACCCCATCGCGCTTATATCTCACTTACCCATCCTGTAACATGGCTATAGTAATACCTTTCTCAGAAGCTTCGCTCCGGGATTCAATGAGATATGTTTGTACGGCACTTAGCACACAGTGAATGTTCAAAAATAGTGATGGCTGTTCCTCTTCTTTAAGGACTGGGAGTTTTCATCCTCTTGAATAAGAACTCGACAACAGAGTGGGAACTTTCTGTCTTGTGATCCATTGCCTGGTGAGTCACAGCTCACACCATGGATTTAACCTGAGAGCTTCAACTTCTGCTTTGGCCCTGGAGTTCCCATGCCCTGGTGTCTTCTACCAGTTCTTAGGTAGGGTTTTATATTCAGAGAGGGTTCAGCTTTCTCCCGTGGGCTGGGGGAAGAGGTCAAAGTAGAACTCAGGTACCAAATTTGAAAGGAAACACTCAGAAAAAACTTCTGAGCGCAGAGCGGAAAACACCCTCTCAGTCCCCACCAAAGAGAAAGGCTTTGGGTTCTAAATTTCCAGTTTCCATTAAGGGACTCTGGGACTGGACATTTCTGAAAATTAATGACCTGTACTGAGTAATCCTCCTAACACACTGATCATCAAAAAATAACCTGTAATGAGTTTAGGCTTTCTGTATTTGTCTGAATGCTTTCACGGGAGTGTGTTGCACTGGAGCACAGAGGACACTCGATCGTGCGGCGCGCAGGGCGGGGGGCCGCCGCTGCCTCCCCGCGGGATGGCTGGCACTGTGCTCGGAGTCGGTGCGGGCGTGTTCATCTTAGCCCTGCTCTGGGTGGCAGTGCTGCTGCTGTGTGTGCTGCTGTCCAGAGCCTCCGGGGCGGCGAGGTAAGGCATTCTGTCCAACTGGGAGTCCTAGGTAAAGCAATTAGAGGCAAAATCGCTGATGCTCACTAAACATTTAGAATTTAAGAGATCAGTTTTGTAATTACTGGCAGTTTGAATGAGTTGCATTTTAACCTCTTTTTATAAACACTAACTGTGTTATTTATGCTCTGGAGCAGAGATGGGAGGAGAAGGAAGTAGTGTTCTTGAGTTCTAACTGTGGCAAGAAACTCTGCTTTCACTGCTTATTGAGTTTCTTGAGGCTGTATGTGTATGTGTTTATGAATTGTTCAGATTTATGGCAGAGGCTTGGTCCAGTACCCGAGGCTCTAGCCCTGGACCCAGGAAAACGAAAGCAACATTTGATGAGTTGGGCCTGCTTTCTATATCAGGCATTGCCTTCAGAACAGGGTTAGGCCATAAACCGACTCTGAAAACACTAGAGTTGCACTCTGGCAAGACAGTGTTAGTATGAAGCAGAGAGTTGTAGAATTTTCTAAAGTATTCTGTTCTAAAAACAACAGAAGTGGAGGTGGAGAGGGGATGCTTTGGTTTTTCTTGATTATGACTTTGGGCAGAAGTAAAAATAAAAACTACACATTTCCATTCTTAGGAATTGGGAATTACCAAGAATAAATGGGAATGCACCCAGCTGGTACCTGTCTAGGAAGAAGGACTTTGGGATGAAGAGGTTGTTGACAGCAGGCCTCTGGACATTGTTAAGGGACTGAAACATAGAATATTGGCTCCAAGGAAGAGACTGTCCAGACCTAACTGATCAAAGAAGAAATTATAGACAGTGCTTTTAATAATTTGTCTTTTTAACCCCAGGTTCTCTGTCATTTTTTTATTCTTCGGTGCTGTGATCATCACATCAGTTCTGTTGCTTTTCCCGCGAGCTGGTGAATTCCCAGCCCCAGAAGTGGAAGTTAAGGTAAAGCTGTTGCTTTCGTTTTGCCTCCTGAGCTGTGATTCTTATTTCTCTTGGTCTGCACATCCGTCCTGCCCTTGATGTTCCCTGACATCGGGTTGCCTGAGATGTCAGAATTGTAAAGTTCAACCAATGACGGGGAAAGTTCAGAGGGAGTTTTAAGTTCCCCTGCCCCTTCACTCAGGAAAAGAATCTTACTCTGAATTCCATCTACAACCCCACCAGGCAGTTATTTGCCTGATTTGGTCTCATCTTCAGTTTGCATCAAGTTGAAAACAGCCTGTTGGAAAGCCACCTCGTACCATGGGGACAGAAAAAAAAGAAAATGAAATAGGGATAGTCACAGGCCTGCACCCGAGATGAAGTGTTCCCATTCCTGGCAGCCTGGGCTCCTAACTGCAGATCCTGGGCTGAAATTGATGTGGTGCCCTGAGGGTGCTGAGGACATGCTTCTCCAACTGCATGTGCTAGAATTTTCCCAACAGTCTTCTGGGAGTTCTTTGGTCCTCATACCTGGGACCATACCTGCCAGCACCCATGTCTTTAAATGGATTTTTATCATCTCTCTCAGAATCCTTCTCTGGAGTTCTTTACCATGGCTTTACCATGCATGGCTGGTCTCAGACCCATGGGATCTTGACAATGACATTGACCTTTTCTGTCCCATTACTCCTTCTCACAGCTTTCCTCTCAACCTTCATTTTGATGTTTTAAGTGATAGTCATGAAAATAGCTAACATTCTTTAAGGGATTTCCGTGTGCCAGGTCCTGTGCCAAACACTTTGTTTGCACTGTCTCATTTAAACCTCAGGACAGCCCTAAGTAGTATGACATAGGTACCATTATTATCCCCATTTTATAGGTAAGAACACTGAGTCTGTCAGAGGTTAAGGTAACTTGCCCAAGGTCACATAGCAAGAGGCAGAACAGGGATTCAAGCTGAGGTCCGTCTTCAAAATCTTCAGTGTTGAGAACTTAACAGAATATTCAGGGCAGTCCCAGAGAGCTCATGGGTTAGCATTTTGACACTAGACAACAACAGTACACAAGATTATATGTGTAACTTTTGAACTAAAATTGACACTGTAGGATTAACTATGGCAAGAGGAAGGAAATTAAACTCCAAGGGAAATAGTACTTTACCACACACACTTAAGGAATTATTTCCATGGACACAAGTTTGTTGTCAGTATTTGGAAAACACTCTGGAGGTGTGGGTACCACATGTGTGAGCCAGGGGCAAATTCACACCTCACTTATCTTTTTTTTTTTTTTTTTTTTTGAGACAGTCTCGCTCTGTCGGCCAGGCTGGAGTGCAGTGGCATGATCTCGGCACACTGCAACCTCCGTCTCCCGGACTCAAGCAATTCTCCTGCCTCAGCCTCCCGAGTAGCTGAGATTATAGGCATGTGCCACCACACCCAGCTAATTTTTGTATTTTTGGTAGAGATAGGGTTTCACCATGTTGGCCAGGCTGGTCTCAAACTGCTGACCTCAGGTGATCCACTCGCCTCAGCCTCCCAAAGTGCTGGGATTACAGACGTGAGCCACCGCACCCAGCTGCTTTCCTTGTCTTTTAAGGGGGAGAGTGATGTGGGCTGCCACATTTCTGGATGCTGCAGATGTAAACATCGGGAGAAGGGCACAGAGCAAACACATTTTTGAAATCAATCCCTCGATTGTCTGTCATATGAGTTTCAGACCCAGGAGACAAGAATGGGGTTTGAGCAAAATACTTTTGTCAGCATGGCCGGCAGAATTGGAGTTCTCATTTTCAGGTTTTGAGAGCGGGCCTCTGCAGCAGCCTGGCTCAATGCTGTATCAATAATACATGGCCTGGGCCTTCTGCACCCAAGGCCTGCTAATTGGCTAATTAAAAAGTGAAACGTGTCGAACGAGCAAACATGTGGCCCGCAAGAGACTTGTTCAGTACCGGAGCCAAGGTCAAAGTTATGTTAAAGCTGTTTTATCAAACTGACCTTTGTTGTAAGTTGACTGTTGGGGTAATCTCTGGAGCAGCTGAGGTGTCTTTGGACCTCAGTGATCCTACTAGGGCTCGGGTCTGAGAGATACTTTGTGTATGGCCGCTGTGTTAGTTTTCTGTTGCTGCTGTAACAAATTATGTGAACTAATGGCTCCCAACACAGATGTATTATCTTACAGTTCTGTAGGTTAGAGTCCAACATCAGTCTCACTGGGCTAAAACCAAGGGGTTGGCAGGGCAGCATTCCTTTCCAGAAGTTCTAGGGGAGAATCCATTTCCTTATCCTTTCCAGCTTCTAGAGGCTGCTCGTATTCCTTGGCTGACAGCCCCCTTCCTCCATCTTCAGAGCCAGTGACATCACACCTCACTGATGCTTCCATCCTCACCTCTCTTGCTCTGACCCTCTCTCCCACCTCCCTATTCAACTTAGAAGGATCCTGTGATTAGATTGGGTCCACCTGGATTGGATAATCCAGATTAATACCCCTTGTTTTAAGGGCAGCTGATTGGCAATCTTAATTCTCCTTTAACATATAATCTAACATATTCACAATTTCTGGGGATTAGGATGTGGATATCTTTGGGCCATTATTCTGTCTGCCACAATTGCCTTTCAGCTGTTTTGGATTCTCCTAGGTACTGGGATTTCAAAGTTTCTGTGAAGTCAGTCAGCCACTTGGTTGGTGGTGTTGCTCCATTAGGTCTATAGATTAAATTGCTTTTTCCTGCCCAAATTTAAGCACCACCATTTGGATCTGGGGAGAGTGGAGCTCTGGAAGGGGTCAGTGGACAAGTGGGTAGAGCCAACACCAATTATAGGGTTTTGTCAGCAAAGACCAACATCTTTGGGGCCTCAAGTGTAAGGCCAGGCAGCCCACTGTCTGCTTTGGGGCAAGTTACCTATCCTTTTAGTGTTTTAGTATCTCAGGTAAATGGTCATTTTCCCTGCCCCGTGGCATGGGACTCTTCCGCTGATAGCTTTAAAGAGTCACCTTTCATTTTGAAAATGAACCCTCCTGAAATGGCAATGGATTGATGATTTTGGGGGTTGGGTCTTAGATACATGGGAGTTTATTATACTATTGCATTTTTATGTATGTTTAAAATTCTCCGTAATAAAATGTATTTTAGCAACAACAAAAATGAGCCTTTCTAGGACCATGCAAAAGCTTCTCATTAACTCTTTCAGGTAACAGATTTCAGAATATAAAAGAATTCATCCAGGGACTTCAAAGTGTTTACCAACATCCTAAATTGAGCCATTTGTTCCCTGTCCCTCATTAATCCCTTCTTGTGTCTCCTGCTCAGGGAGTTGAGGAAAAGATTCTTTTTTCTCATGTACAGAGGAGACTCAGGGCAGGATGTTACTGGAAGTTATACACATGAACTAACTCTTGGCCCACTCATCATGGAGTTCAGGTTAACCCAGCCAGGGTGTCTAACTGGTAGTAATTTCATTTTGATGTTTTCTTTCTCCAGATTGTGGATGACTTTTTCATTGGCCGCTATGTCCTGCTGGCTTTCCTTAGTGCCATCTTCCTTGGAGGCCTCTTCTTGGTTTTAATCCATTATGTTCTGGAGCCGATCTATGCCAAACCACTGCACTCCTACTGACCACTCTTCAGGAAAACGAAAACCTGTTCTCTCCTTCATTGTGATGACATTGATGAGCAGGAAGGCACTATTCAGAGCCTTGTTTTGACAGCCCTCATGCCTTAAGGTTAGAGGAGTATCTGTCCATCACTAAGACAAATCTCTGGAGTCCTGGCTTCCAGAAACAGGATTGCCAAATTGTCCCTGTGGGGCTAGATTCTTACCAGCTTAAGAAGGATATTGCTATCTTCTTAGTACCCGTACCTTAGGATTTCCAACTGTTTTGAAAGGGAAATAGTAACAGTGATCTGCTTAGAGTGGATTTTCACTCAAGTCCTTAGTAAGTGGATTTTGGGGAAAAAAGCACCTGGGCTTCTGGTTCTTTTTGATAATATATAAAATTATTCATTATGAGGTTGCAGTTGTTTGCAAAGGAGAGGCACTCAAATTTGAAAGGTTATTTTAATGTGATAATTTGGAAGACTTACTCAGATGTTGGTCATTGACCACTCTGTGCATATATTTCTGCAGAGCTCTGTGAAGGCAATGAGTGTCACTTCCCTCTGCTCTAATAAAGCAATAAATAATAGCTAAAGGGCTGACTTTCACTTCGAACTCTTGGCCACGGCTTTTTAATCAAGTTCTTTAGGTTTCCTTGGGATTAGAGGAAAGGTATGGAAATATTGTTTTTTGTTTTTTGTCTTGCCATGTATCTGTAGGTTTTTTTCTTCCATGATGTGGTGGGCTGTGTGTGCCTTATTTAATTACCATGAGTCCATTTTGGGGTGTCTTCACTTTTCATCTTTGTAGCCCTTTCTCCAAAGCTAGTGAGGAAGGTATATTCTCAACATCAGATATAACTCTATACCTGTCTGATCTCCCAGACCAAATGAAATTTGCATTAAATGGAGGGGCCCTGGTCAGGTTCCACTTTGGAAGTCTGATCCTGACTCCCTAGAGCCATTTGAAAAAGAATCTTCTGGCTTAAAATTAAGAACCAAGAAAACAAGTTGGAAAGAGATCACTGATGGAGTATGTGCTCTATGCCAATAGCACACTAATTCCTTTGAGGTTTAATTTATTTAATTTTTACAACGGTCTCATTTTTATCATCCCCACTTTAAAGTAGAAAAAATGGAAGCTTAAAGAGATCAGCTGACTTGCCCAACCTTCACCTAACAGCCAGTGTGCAAACCCAGGTGTGGTAGGCCCCAGGGCTTGTCTCAGAGAGAAAACACACTAGGGTTTGTGGAACTCTGATTGAGAGCTTCAGGTAGGTTAAGGCCACACTGTTCCTTCACTTTCTCTCCTCAATTCTGTTTTCAGGGTAGAGAAGTTACCCAGTCCTGCCACCCCACAGGCAACTAAGCTCTAAATTCCAAGAAGAGAGAACAGGTAACCACTGAGAGTCATGGGCTGGTGAGGGCCAGGTATAGTTATCCCTACATTGAACCATTTCCTTTATCTTACTTAGTTTGGAAAAACTTTGCAGATAAGGCTTTGTACAGAAAACTTCAAAGGAAATAGTTTCCTAATCTGGCCTAGGGCACACAGGTAAGAAAAGAAGAAACATCCTCTAAGCAGATTGAGGGAGAGAAAAAAGAATGCATAAGTCTTGAGGGAATTGAGACAAGCTGGGGGCCTCATGCTATTGTGAGTCTCCCTGCAGCCCAAGTGGAAGCTTGGCTCCTAACAAGCACAAGCTGCCAATTGTTACCTTCTTCTGAGAGCCTTGCTAAAAAAGTAACTCTGGGAAAACTCTTATAGGTTCCTGACCATGAATCCATCTTTTTTATTCCCCCCAAAAGTTATTCAACTATTAGATCAATGGATAATAACTATGAGGTTTTGGGTGACTATTTAGATGGAGGAAAGTGTATTAAGGTTGGAAACTAAATTCTATCCTTAATACTACTGTTTTCTAATTTTTGTTTTTTTGCCTGATGTAAATGAAAGGCATATATGTTAAAGATTGGCTTTAGGAAAAAAAAAAAAATACCCTGTGCAAAGTTTATTTCAGCTTGACTTGACCTACAGTCTACAGACCTGGAGTCTATAATTACCAGCTGTGGTGAAATGAATGATAGATTTCTTTCTACCTGCATACTCAATGCAGTTATGCAAAAAAAGCCCCGCAGGGTTGGGATAAGACGTAGAAGGCTGAGAGGGCTCAAAATGGATTTCACTGAGAGTTTGGCATGGGATAACCCTATAGTCAATGTCTGTTATGGTACCCTGTATGCTCATGGCCTTCTTGGAGACAGGGCTCAGAGGTCATTCCTTAAATACAGACAGAAGTCATCTTAGTGTTCAGAACCATTCTGTGATCAGTGGCCTTAGAACATGTTCCCTCTACTGTTCCCTACCCAGAGGGGATCCTGTGGCAGACTGGTGATCCCCACTGTTTAGAAGGTGGAGAGGGAGAGTAAATCTGGGTTTCTATATAAGAAAATAGGTTATTTCGTGGCGTCTTAAAATTGTATCCTGACAAAAGCTGAATTAGGAGGATACCACCCTATCCCCACAATGGAGATCACAATGGGTAATTTGTTAAGTTCCTTAAATTTTTCACTGATAAAAATGGAAGTAAAGCTACCATTCTTTGTGTACAATGTAAATTTAATGTAAAACTGCATCAGAATTACCATACCAATGTCCAGGGACTAGGGAGTACATAGCCATTCATTCTCGAATCCTGCCATTCATTCAGCATATATTGTGTGCCCGTAGGGTGTAAAGCACTAGTCCTGGTGGAGTAAGCCCATGGAAGAACTAGGCTGTAAGGTGTCTAGACTGTCTTCCTCACTGCTTCCTGGAAGGAGGGCATCCAATTTATTTTTAAATGTTTTTATTCTAACATAAAGCAATCCATTTTTTGTTCTGTTATTTAACAGAAACTTTAGTATCAACTCTATTTCATGGTTGTTGCAGTTGAAGTGTTTCTGGTTTATTTTTTGCTCAATGTGTAAAGAAACCTGCTGTGATTATTTTACAGATGAGAAACAGGCAGAGAGGACAAGGGATTTAAAAAGTTTCACAGTTAATTAGAAGTGGGGCTCCAACTTGACATCAGGATTCCTGACATCTCATTTCTCAAATAGTTGAAAGATCACTTTTGACTTTCAAGTAACTCCTTATTTTTACATTGGTTAATACTGTTTCTTAGCTGTTTGTACCTGACATTTTCTTAACACATATCCAAAAAGGTAAAAGTTTCATTAAAGGATTCTAATGATCATTTTAGTATGAATAACAAACATTCAATCATAATTCCTTTGCTTAAACCTTTAAGTATCTGGCTGTTACATAGAAATGAATTTCCAGATGTGAGAATCAGAACTGTATGGAAACGAATCTAGAAAAGTGTTGATTATCCTCATAGAAGCATAAGAACTCAGGATTGGAAGAGATTTTATAGTTCATAAAGTTCAACCTTTAATCTCTAGTTCCATCCCAATACTTGGAAATAAGTCTAGGGTTCCACATGTCAAAATAACAATTTTTGTTACATTTAGCAAACATGTGCTAGGCATTTTTCTAAGTGTGTTGTAAGTATTATGTCTTCTTCATATCGGCCCTATGAAGTAGGTACTCTTAATATCCCCACTTCACAGATGGGGAACAGGCACGGGCTGGTAGGCGTAAACAGGAGTCAGGATCCAAAGTCAGGCAGTTTGGCTCTAGAGTCTAAGAGCCTGACTACTGTCTGTTATAGAGCGTTGCTCCATAGGATAAACTCGAAGGAAAAGGAGGGACAAGGGCAGGCAATGCAAATCCACTTGACAGAAATACCAAGGAAAAGTAGCTGAGTCTGGTGGAAAAACCAGAATCTTAGGAATTGAGCAGGAGTCTGGGGAAAAGCGTGAACAGGCACGCAGGCCTCAGAGATAGCTTCACCCATTAGCCCAGGGTTTCTGGCAGGTCTCTGCTGTTAGACTTTGGTTGTCCCCTTGCTCAGAGATACTAAACAGCTGAGCTGCTAGTAGACTATATTTTCAAGTTTTGAGAACACTGCCGCCTCTCTTGTAAGCACCATCCAGCTGGAATGTTGAGACTTGGGCCAGTTTTCAGAGGTGCCAATGGCAGAATCAAAGCCACACACCAGGAATTTTTGTTTTGTTTTCTACTTGATCTCTGTCCCTAGCAGATTATTGGTGGTGACTGTTTATGCAAAAAAAAAAAAAAAAAAAAAAAAAATTCTGAGTCCCTACCCCCCCCACCCTCTTTTCTCAGTTTCCTGCCACCAAAGAAATGAGAGCTGGGATCGAAATCAGGCTCAGTGCCACAGACAGAATGAGAAAGTGTGTTTTTAATGGTTTACATCACATCATGCCAGAGATGATATAGTCTGTGCATTTGGTCCAAGTCCTGCCCTTGGAGAACTCTTGGGTGAGGTGGTCACACAGTAGCCCTTATGCTGTGCCTAAATGCTATGAGGCCAGCCCCTTCACTTGTTTTAAGCTTTGGAGATTTCTTTTGTTTGCCTGTGGTTATTTTCCTGCCGTTAAATTGGTCATACCCCAGTTTTACACTGGGAATATTATCAATTTCCTATTACTGTTGTAACAGATTGCCATAGACTTACTGGTTTTGATCAATTCACATTTATCGCTCCGGAGGTCAGAAACCAGAAATGGGTTTCAGGGGGTAAAGGAAAGGCTTTGGAGCCTCGAGAGAACCCATTTCCTTGCCTTTTCTACCTTCTAGAGGCCGCCCCCGTCCCCCTGGCTGGTGGACCCTTCCTCAGTCTTCAAGGTCAGCAGAGCAGCATCTGCCAATCCCCAACACTCCTGCCTCCCTCTGTGATTCATCCGGAGCCCTTTGATTCCACTGGGTCCACCCCATCAGTCCTTCCATCTCAAGATCCTTAATCACATATACAAAATCTCATTTGCCATGTAAGGTAACACTCACTGGTTCTGAAAATTAGGATGTGGACATCTTATGGGGGCACATTGTACCTATCACAGAATATAGGGCCCCTTCTCCCCTAAGCATTGCCTCCTTCCACCCCCATCTGCCATCCTCCCTACCCCCACACCTTTCAGTAGGAGGTCTGCTCCTTTGTCACTTCTCAGGATTCCCAACAGCAACTCTCCCACCCCCACTCAGACACCCAGGATGTGTTGAGTTCCTCCTGCCAGCCTCAGTCTTAGTGGTGGCCTCATGGTGCTAGGACCGACCAAGAGCTTCTTTCCCTTTCTTTTCTTTGCCTCTTGCCTCCTCCTCCTCCTCCCCCAGCCACCCCACACACACTCGCCCAGCCTCCCAGTGGATTTCTAAGGGAGAAACACAAAGAGTTACTGCTTTTTAATTACAAGTGCTATTGTAGCATCTATAAGGAAGAACATTTTAAGCTTAATTGAGACCAAATGTGAAGTTAAATTAAATGAATAACTAATTAACGTAATGCTCCTACATTAGCCCCGTGTGAGTGAGTGCTGAGGCCCAGGGAGAAGGCAGGTACCAGGCCTGTGGTGAACAGGCTGCGCCCAGAGCTGCCCAAACAGGGCCAGTAACCTGGGACCTGGGAGATGGGTGCAGACAGGCAGATCTCAGTGCTGGGGTTCCCCCAACCTTCAGTATTTTTTCCAACTCCCTACCCACAGCCTAAGTCCTCATTTCTGAGGCCAGACCCTGAGCTCGCACAATGCCTTTTGCATGTGTCTAGTGCCACACTTACCTGCTGGTAGGAGCCAATGCCATTTGTTCAGTTTCAGTCTCTAAGGCCTAACATCCTAGGAGTTGGATAAGTATTCATGTTAACTTCCTCCCTCTTCCATTACCCCTCACTACCTTATCAAATGAGTCATCCAAGTCCTCAGAATTCTGCCTTCATAAGGAAGAAGGACTCTTCCCGTTGCCCCCGGAATTGCCCTTCTGCCAGCCGTGTTCCTGCATGGCTGGACTAATGAACAGCATAGCTCTCACCTGGAGTCACTGTCTCCGTGTGTTTTCCTATTTATCCCCTAACTAGACAAGTTCTTCAAGGGCAGGAGTGTGTTGAGTATGTGTCTCCCTTCATACCAATCCTATGAGGTAGATAATGTCACCATTTTCCTGATGATGAAACAGGCTTAAAGTTAGTAAGCAGTGCAGTTGGGGAAGAGAAGACCTTGAGAGAACCATTCCTCTTCCCCTGCCCTCTGAAGCAGAAAGCAAGCTGAAAGTCTGAAAAGTCAAGAGGCCTCGGCTCCTGTCTCTCTTCCAGGAAGCAGGATGGAACCACAGCCCACCCTGGGCTGTATGATGGGATTGGGTCACCATCTAGTGGCTCATATAAGCAACACAGCTTCTCCTTAAACTCCTTAATTACAAGTGCTATTGGAGCATCTCTAAGGAAGAACATTTTGAGCTTAATTGAGACCAAATGTGAAGTTAAATGAATAACTAATTTCATTTCATTCTCAATGTCAAAGAGCAGCAGAGAGCAGCTTTCCTGAATGCTGAACATAAGGCCAGAGTATAGCTCTTGCCCCTGTGGGCTGAGGACTTGGAGGTCCCTGGCTGACTCCTGCGCTCAGAGCTGAAGTGACTGCAGGCAGGAGGAGCCTTCCTTGTTTGTTGCCATTGGCGCTGTGCAGCCTGCTTCAGTGTGGAAGGGTGTGTATCTGGCTAATGCACCAGCCCACAACGTCCCAGGAAATGCAAGGCTTTTATCTTGCGTGGCGCTCTAAGCTCCCCATTTGCCCACACATCATCAATATCATGAGCATCCCCTTCAGGAGTGCCCACTGTCATGAGCTTTAACCTACCCACTTGGTGGTCCTGGTGTGTCCGGAATTGGTGGGTTCTTGGTCTCACTGACTTCAAGAATGAGGCCGCGGACCCTCGCAGTGAGTGTTACAGCTCTTAAGGTGGCACGTCTGGAGTTTGTTCCTTCTGATGTTCAGATGTGTTCGGAGTTTCTTCCTTCTAGTGGGTTCGTGGTCTCGCTGGCTCAAGAGTGAAGCTGCAGACCTTCACAGTGAGTGTTACGGCTCTTAAGGCAGCGCGTCTGGAGTTGTTCGTTCTTCCCGGTGGGCTCGTGGTCTCGCTGGGCTCAGGAGTGAAGCTGCAGATCTTCGCGGTGAGTGTTACAGCTCATAAAAGCAGCGTGGACTCAAAGAGTGAGCAGTAGCAAGATTTATTGCAAAGAACAAAGCTCCCACAGCGTGGAAGGGGACCCGAGCGAGTTGCCAATGCTGGCTCGGGCAGCCTGCTTTTATTCTCTTATCTGGCCCCACCCACATCCTGCTTATTGGTAGAGCCGAGTGGCCTGTTTTGACAGGTCGTTGATTGGTGCGTTTACAATCCCTGAGCTAGATACAAAGGTTCTCCACGTCCCCATCAGATTAGTTAGATACAGAGTTTCGACACACAGGTTCTCCAAGGCCCCACCAGAGCAGCTAGATACAGAGTGTTGATTGGTGCACTCACAAACCCTGAGCTAGACACAGGGTGTTGATTGGTGTGTTTATAAACCTTGAGCTAGATACACAGTGCCGATGGGTGTATTTACAATCCCTGAGCTAGATATAAAGGTTCTCCGAGGCCCCACCAGAGCAGCTAGATACAGAGTGTCGACTGGTGCACTCACAAACCTTGAGCTAAACACAGGGTGCTGATTGGTGTGTTTACAATCCCTGAGCAGGACATAAGGACTCTCCACGTCCCCATCAGACTCAGGAGCCCAGCTGGCTTCACCTAGTGGATCCCGCACCGGGGCTGCAGGTGGAGCTGCCTGCCAGTCCCGCGCCGTGCGCTCGCACTCCTCAGCCCTTGGGTGGTCGATGGGACTGGGCGCCCTGGAGCAGGGGGTGGTACTCGTCGGGGAGGCTCGGGCCCCACAGGAGCCCATGGAGCGGGTGGGAGGCTCAGGCACCGCGGGCTGCAGGTCCCGAGCCCTGCCCCGCGGGAAGGCAGCTAAGGCCCAGCGAGAAATCAAGCACAGCGCAGGTGGGCCGGCACTGCTGGGGGACCCAGTACACCCTCTGCAGCCGCTGGCCCGGGTGCCAAGTCCCTCACTGCCCGGGGCCGGAAGGGCCGGCCGGCTGCTCCGAGTGCAGGCCCGCCAAGCCCATGCCCACCCGGAACTCCAGCTGGCCCGCAAGCGCTGCATGCAGCCCCGGTTCCCGCTCGCGCCTCTCGCTCCACACCTCCCTGCAAGCTGAGGGAGCCTGCTCTGGCCTTGGCCAGCCCAGAAAGGGGCTCCCCACAGTGCAGCGGTGGGCTGAAGGGCTCCTCAAGTGCCGCCAAAGTGGGAGCCCAGGCAGAGGAGGCGCCGAGAGCGAGCGAGGGCTGTGAGGACTGCCAGCACGCTGTCACCCCTCACTGAGACCCCACTTCAGCACCCCATGCCAGCCTCGCTCGCTGCCAAGCCAAGCCCCGACAAAGATGAGCATGGGCACAGCAGGTCAAACAGAATCTATTGGTGCCAGTGGGCAACTTTAGGCTCAGATGGAGATGCCAAGAGCTAGCCAGAAAACAGCGAGTGATCCGGGACTTGGGGTGGAAGGAGGACATAGAAAAGTGGAAAAGGGAGCAGCAGATGGCACCAGGTGACCACATCTGCAGCAGCTGCCTGAATGAACCATTCATGCCCTCACGTCTTGCCAGTCTTGTCACCATTGGCACCTGTGCTCAGGGCGTAAGTCCTTCTTGTGTCCACTGTCTACTCCATTCCTAGAGCTGGCATATAGTAGGCACTCCTTGGCATTTCATTCTCAAAATACTTAATACACATACTGGTATTTTTAGTCATGCCAACCCCTCTTTCTACTCTCCCCACAGCACCGGCCCCCATCACCTTCCACTGAGGACATTATGGGGCCAGGATCAGAGTGAGGCAAGGGAGGCACTCAGGGCCGGCATGTGCCCAAGAGGGAGTGCCCCTTCAAATTATGTACCGAAGGCAGCTCCCCTGCCTCGCCCGAGTGCTGGCCCTGGAGGAACAGCAGTGATGGGCGGGTAATGGAGTTATCAACAGGCCTAAATGGAGAGTAGAAGAGGGCCCAGCTTGGGGAAATGCACAGAGAAGACTGTTGCATGGATAGAGGGACAAAGAGAGGCTGGGCTCCTTTGGTGGAGTGAGATGCCCACCTATAGATACAGGCAGATTACAGAGGTTAAAGCTTAACATGGGAAGGAGAGATGCCCATTTTCCAGGCGTTGGCCTTGTGAAGCCTTCTGTCTTGGAATCTGAACAAGCAAGAGTCTGAGCATATCCTTTCCTTATCAAAATGGAGACACAACTCAGCCCTAGTCCCATCCCTTTTGCTTGCAGCTTCCAGAGCTCAGGCCCCTGAATCTTCTATTTCCTCATGCTTGGCAGTCCCCTTCCCATGGAGAATCTCTGTGTCCTTAGGCAGCCCTGGGGTCTGGGCTGGGCTGGCTAATGTTCAATAAAGAGGGTTTGCCTTCCCTGCTTGTGGAAGTTTCCATTGTCTTGCCCATGGGGAGCACGTTGGGGACCCAACTGGGACCCTCCATGCTGCTGTTCCAATTGGGGCCTCATATTTCTTTATACCTGCATGAAGAGGAGAGGGGGGACAGAAGAGAAAGTGAGATGACTTCAT
Organism: Homo sapiens; assembly: GCF_000001405.40. Taxonomy (NCBI): domain Eukaryota; kingdom Metazoa; phylum Chordata; class Mammalia; order Primates; family Hominidae; genus Homo; species Homo sapiens. Next base: position 125,088,069 of record NC_000011.10, on the reverse strand, counting down.
AAGCTCCTGCTGAGTAGGGAGAGGAAAGGCAGGGTCCCAGGGTCCCTTCATCATTGCTTTCATCTCAGTTCTCTGTAATGAGGCCTCCCTTTCACCTCTCAGGCAGGAAATAGCAAGCTAGATTAATATTTAAAACCTGGCCGGGCGCGGTGGCTCACACCTGTAATCCCAGCACTTTGGGAGGCCGAGGCGGGTGAGTCACCTGAGGTTGGGAGTTCAAGACCAGCCTGACCAACATGGAGAAACCCTGTCTCTACTAAAAATACAAAATTAGCCGGGCGTGGTGGCGCATGCCTGTGGTCCCAGCTACTCGGGAGGCTGAGGCAGGAGAATCACTTGAACCTGGGAGGCGGAGATTGCAGTGAGCTGAGATCACACCACTGCACTCCAGCCTGGGCAATAAGAGCAAAACTCCGCCTCAAAAAAAAAAAAAAAAGAAATTAAATAAAACCTTACAATGTTCATGCCACATTTGACAGCTTTACAAAGCAATATCACATATCCCATTTATCTCAGCCTTGGGTCAATTCTGCCAGGTATTCAGGGATAAGCATCCCCATTCATACATAAAGATGTGGTGGTTCAGAGAATCTGGGTCTGATGGAGTGCTATGCCCAAGGTCTCATGGAGTGAGTGGAGAAAGCAGGACTGTCCAGGGGTTTTTGGATTCCAAGCACAGTGCTCTGTCTGCTCTGATAAATCACTGCACACCTCACACACAGGCCTCCCATGGAGCAGGACCAGCCTGGGACAGCGGTGGCAGTCCAGAGAAAAGCAAACAAACCCCAGGCCCAGTTTCAGTGTTAGGCTGTGCCCGAGCTCTGAGCCTCTGTCTCTCACCTTCAATGAGAGGCTGCTGCGAGGCAAGCTCACACGTCTAAAGCCAGACACAATTCCAGGACAGAGCAGTTGCTCACTAAATCCTCCTCGCTTTCTGCTGCTCTTCTTCCCTTCCCACCCTCAGGCCTGGCTCCAAGGAGCACAGGCACAGGAACTTTGGGTCATGCAGTCCAGCCCCCTGCTCCCCTCTTCCAGGGCAGGGCAGGGCAGGGCAGGACAGGTGCTCTGCGTGCTTCCTGTGTTGTGTGTCTTCCTGCTCTCACTTTCTCTCCCCTGGGTGGTGTCTTCCTTAAGTGGAAGTGTGTCCCCAGATGCGTGCTGGTTACCATGTCCCGGGGGTTCCTCCTCACATTTGCCATCCAGCCCAGGTCCACAGCTCCGGCCAGCTCATTAGCGGCCTCCTTGTTAGCACGAGGCTCCTGCTCAGGACGGCCAGCGGGAGAGGGTCGCCCGACCATCAGACCACCAGCACTGTGTAGCCTCAGCCACTGACCTGCTGATGCCACCACCACATCCACCACCACCAGACAGTAGGCAGAGAGCACACCAGGCCAGCCACCCATGCTTGATTCACATTTGTTTCAGAGACTTTGATTGGTAGTTGCTTTTGTTCTGCATACCCCAGGCAGAGGGGCCAGATGACCTTGGTTTCTGAACTTCAGGAGGCACTTGCAGCTCAGTCGCAGCTCAGAGGGAAACTGGTTTCCCTATTTCTGCCTCCTCTGTCCCCGAGGGCATGTCCAAAGTTCTCACACTGTCCCTCAGGGAAGAGGCCACCAACCTCTGTGGCATCTCAGACCCCTTGGAAAACACTTCCCAAGCACCATGCTCTGCTGAGGTTGAAAGTCTTTACAACTGGCCCACAAGAAGAAAGAGAAAGTTGGAAAAAGTCATACTGCAGGACAGAGGATTTGCATGCAGCCCCCACTCAAATGGCACTCGAGTCACAGACTCGAAGTAAATACTCACAAAAGTCATGGGACTTGAGGAAAATACTATCACTGGTGGGTTAGGACCATACTAGAGCTATAGAGATACACGGGGACAACAGAGGACAGGTTAGCAGGGTGAGGGCCACCCAGGGACTGGCTCAGTGCTCCTCAGGTCTGGGCTGGTCGAGCCTCAGCCTGCGTTTGGAGAAACTGAGCGCTGGGCTGATTCCCACGAGAAATGAGGTTGGTAGAGGGGCAGCTTCAGCTCCCCGGACTCACCCGCTGCCTCTGCTCAGGGACACCTTCCAGGCCAAGATCTCTTTGTATACTAACCGGCAAAGGAGCTGTGGAGCACAAGGCACAGAGGGAAGGGAGGGCACTGTTAGCACTGAGCACTGAGTGCCCAGCACCAGGGTGACCCGTGGACTGGCAGTGGAGAAGGGGGAGAGACACGCTGCCACTTGGCAAGGGGTCACTCGGGGGAGGGAGAGTGCTTCTGAGCAAAGGGCAGCTGCTCTCATTGCCCCAGAACCCCAAATGGCCAACGCTTTGGACCTCCAGGGTTCCAGTCTGGCAGGACAGAGCATCCCTCAATACCTATCTGTGTACCCCAAGACTCTTACCAAGCAGGCTAGGACGTCGGCAGAGATGAGCATGTAGAAGACATTGTTCCAGCCCGTGGGGGAGATGAGCCCAGCCAGCAGAGGCCCCAGAGCCGCACCTGAATGGAGCACAGCCTCGTGAGCAGGGGTCCTGCACCTCCCCTGCCCACCGGAGGGCACTATGCCTAGGGGCCGGCCCACAACAGAGCTAGAGTCACAGACCTATGGAGCCGGTGCCGTCAATGATGGCCGTGACCGTGGACAGGGCTTTGGCGTTGCCCTTCAGGCTCTTGTGAGTCCCCTGGAGAGAGACAGTGGAGTGGGGAAGCCCAGCTGAGCAGCAGCATGAGCAGAACCAGGACAGGAGAGGGGCTGACTCAGGGAAGGTGGTAACTGGGGTTTGGGCTTGAGAGGAGAGGGGCCCATGGTGCGTTCTGAAGGACTTTGACGGTTTCTCCTCTGCGGGATGGGAGACAGGGAGAAATGGACCTGGAGATGGTGGCCCTGACCAAGCCCCCAGAACGGTCCCTGGCCCTCGGGAGGTGGCCCCACTCACCAGATCAGCAGAGACAGCAGTGGTGATGAGCGCGTATGGGCCATTGACCAGGCCCCCACAGATGATCAGCATCACTGGGACAGCATAGAGACAGCCAGTCAGAGAAGCAGCACCACCCGCAGCCCCAACCCCAAGGCAGGAGCACTCTCCAGCCTTCAGCCCTCCCAGCCCCTCCACCTGTCAGTGCCCCCCGTGGGCCAGCCTCATGGGGCCCCCAAGGCAGTGCCTTTCCCCTGGCCTGGCAGGACTTGCAACCTCCTCCTCACCTATGGAGCTGGCAATCCCGTCCTGGCCAATGTAGTTGTACAGGAACATCTGAGAGAGGAGAGGGGAGAGGCAGAGTCACCCGGAATCCCTTTGCTGGCCTGGAGCCCTGAGGTCTGCAACAACCATCTCCTGCCCTGAAACCCCAGAGGGCATCCTATTCCTTTTCCCCTGCCTATGCAGATTTCTCTGGTCTTTAAATGTCCCAGGGATGGACGGTCTAAAACGTGGTACTCTATCATCTCCCTTTCTCCAAACAGTCTTCTCTCAGATTCAACCTCAATCTCTTCTTTCCTTGATCAAGAAGTTTAGGAGGCGGTCTCCTCTACCAAGGCCAAAGAGTCATGAATCCCCCTCTAAAGTCTGCAGTCTGGCTCTTTTTCCAAGGTGCCTCTGCTGACCCTCGCTTCTCCTCCCCCGTGTGTGCACAATGATGCATGTGCACGCGTACACAGCGACATCAATGTGTGTAACGCGTGGACGTGCACATAGGCCAGAGGCCCACACAGGCTCCTGCTCACATGCATTCGCACTTCACCCTCGGGGTTATACGCACCATGGGGGCAGCCAAGATGAGCATGACACAGCAAGTGGTGGCCCTGCCATTGGTGTAGTCAGAGACGAGCCCTGCCACGATGCCGCCTGGAACACACAGCCACTCACGCACTGACTCCCAGACAGGACCCTGCCATCCCCTCGCCTGGCACCCCAGCTGTGCCCCAGTGCTGGCCTGGGCCTGTCAGCAAGAACCAGCAGAGCTGCTTTTTCCACAGCCCTCCCCTTCCTGTAGTGCCCATCACTACTGGAGACCAAACAAAAGGGCATCTTTCTTAGGCCCACCCAGCCAGGCAGGATCAGAGCTGAGAATAAACCCAGGAGCCATTTTTCCTCTGGTGCCACCTACCCAGGTCATAGCCCATCGGACCTGTCCCTTCTTCCTGCACCCCACAAGAAAAGAGGGGAAGGGAGCCTGCTGGCAGAGCAGGGCAAGGCCTCACCTATGATGCCACCAACATCGAAGAGTGTAGACAGGTCCCCAGCCTCCTTGGCACTAAAGTGAGCTGTGGAAAATACAGGTATGTGGTCAGACCTGGGGTTTGGGGCAAACATCCTGGAGTGTCACAGCTAGAAGCCCTGCAGAGCGTGATCCAGACCACTGCCCCCTTTTCCGAGGAAGAGCTGGGGACCTGTGGAGCAGGCTGGCCAGGGCCACAGGGTGAGAATGCAGCAGTTTGGATAGACGCCCTCTTGGTCCCGTCCTGTGTTGCCCTCTTCCCCTGCAGGATGACCTTCACCTCTCAGAACAAGCCCTCCCTGGCAAGCTCTGGGATCTGGCCCCCGAGCCTGCTGTCCCGTGGCCACCTTTCCCCTGGAGCGCAACCTGAAGCTCAGCCCAGCCCTTTCTCTGCTTCACTCCGGCCCTAGCAGCACTAGGAACTCTTCCCGTTTACCTTAGGCTGTGCTCATACACAGAGCCAGGAAGGAGACTTGCAGGGACACAGGGGCCTCAGGTCACAGGCCTTGGCTCCATGTTTTAAAAAAGGAATGTCCAGAAGCTGAGATTGTAGCCCCACCCTCGAGGGTGCCTCATACTCTGAAGTCAGCACCAAGGCCACAAAACAAAGAGTCACGGTGTCCACAAAGCTGCCCTAGTGCTCCACACTGTCACGAGAGAGGCCCCGACAGAGCTGCGGGGCAAGCTATGGCTTGAACTTGGCCATGACTAATTCCTACAGTATCCTGTTCAGAGCGAGCACAATGTGTGGCAAGGCACTGTTGTTCCTCCCCAGGGCTGGGAGGGAGGGCAGCAGTACTGGGTGACAGGCCCTCAGCCCTGGTGGAGCTTGGAGGCTCCTGGGGGCTGGGCAGGGCGGGGTGGGCTGCTGTTTGGTAGAGCAGCCTGACCTATGGAAAAGCAGAGACCCAGGCCAGGTGGACATGAAACATCCTTTTTCAAATGAGCTCTTCTCATCTATACATCCCTGGGCAGGAGCAGACGGGAGTAGGTCCATGAGACAGGACAGAACACCAGTGCAGCCCAGCAGATCCAGGCACAGGGGCATCGATCACATTAGGTCCCACGGGGAGAAGACCACCAGGGTCACCACCAGGCTACAAGGAGTGGGGTCACTCACCAGGCCCTCTTCCTTGGGCTGGGGGAGAGATCTAGCAGGCAGGCCTTCCCTAGCACCTCCAATGCTACCACCTATGAGCCAAGCAGCCTGGAGGGGGTTTCTCCTACACTAAGGGCTAGAGAAGAAGATAGCAAGAATTGCAGAACAGAGCTCTGAGTTCCTAACCCCCAGCTCAGTTCCAAGGGGAGAAAAGGTGGCTGGAGTCAGGGTCTAGGGGGTAGTTTGCTGGGTTTAGCTTTCATTTAAGTAAACAACTAAATCAAGCTCCTTTCACTCTAGGAGAGGTTCAGCAGGAATTCTGCCTATATACTGGAATCACAGGCATCACCACGACGGGCTTCCTCTCCCACCAGAGGCAGCCTTGGCCTCCTCAGAGACCCCTTCATTCCCCTTCTCTTGGACTTACCCACATTGGCGATGTAGAGGGGCAGCCAGTAGAGGAAGGTGTAACTGACCAGCTTGGCAAACAGCAGACACAGAGAGAACTCGACCACGCCCTGGGGAGTGCAACAGGGGGCACATGGGAAGGGGTCCAGAGGTCCTGGGTTCAGTGGTGGCCCCAAGGGGTGCTCAGCACCACCCCAGTACTTTCCATCACCTGCCACACAAGGCAGCCTCCAACACATCCAGTCCCAATAAAAGCAACATGACCACTGTGCAAGGTTGTTTCAAGACAAATCTCCCACACTGCCCTCCCCAAGCAGGCTGCCCAACTTACACCTCCCCTATAAAGAAGTTCTAGAAAAATAGATCACCCAAGCACCCCATCTCCTCATCACCAACAGAAAAAATCTGGAAAGCCCCTCTCTTTCCTCCATTCCACAAACTTCTTACTGGGATCCGGAGCGCCCCAAAGAAGCTGATGGCAGCAGGCTCTTCGCATGGCCCCTTGGAGCATTTGGCCACAGTCTCAAGGCCGCTCTCCCTGATAGAGCAGGGACTGTTCCCAGGGTCCTCAGGGTTGTCCTGGTTCTCAGCTGGCTCACCCTGAGCAGAGGAGATGAGCCCTGCTGTGGGTGCGTCCATGTGCTGCCTCCCACCAGCTGAAGGTGCAGCCCAGGCAAGAGACACTGGCTCCCAGGATGGGGAGGCACACGTTCGTCTCGGGCTGGACTGACCTGCCAGACTCATCAGGCTGTAGGGCCAACCCATGGGCCTAGCACTGGGTCGGTGAGGTCAGTGAGGGCCAGAACTCCCTGCTCTAGCTCCCCAGGCCTCTCCGGGTCCAGCCCTCTGGATGGAGTTGGAGGGCAGGGATAGGGCTGGGAGGGCTCACACTCACGTGGTGCTGAGGAGGGGCGCAGTCCACATCTTCTGGGTCTAGAAAAAAAAATCGCTTTCTAAGAAGTTTCCCAACCCCCGCCCCCCCAATCCCGAGGTGATTGCCAGGCCCTCACCTTGCACTGGATCTAAGCCATCCCGGGAACCAGCCCCGCCTCCAGCTCCTAAGGTGGCCAGTGTGTGTCCCAGCAGGAGGGAGCGGGGCCTGGGGCTCAGGAGACAGCTTTCTAGGCCTGGCTTTCCTAACAACCAGCAGTGTCACTACTGCCTCTTGGACTTTAGTACTCTTAGCTACAGAGTGGCTCTCATACCTGGCCTGGCTAGTGCACAAGACCACCTGCAGCAAGTGGAGAGCCTGGTCACTGTAACAATGTCCCTTCAACTCCACCCTCCCTGATCACACCTCTCAGATTCAACCAATGCTTGCCAAGCACCTCCTGTGGGCCTGGCATTTTAACTATGGTGTCTCAGTTAAGCCTGCAGAAATCCTACGAAATAGACATTATTATTACTATTATTATTTTACAAATGAGAAAATAAAGGCTCTGAAAGATTGTCCAAAGTCACACGGCTGGTCCTCCCACTCTGTGACCAGCAATCTTTCCAGTAGATCCAGCTGCCTTCTCCCAGAAACCGAGAACTTCTAGGCTCACTTGTGGGGAGTGAGGGGCCCACTCACGTTCGATGAGGAAGAGGAAGGTGATGACGCCCATGACGGCAGTAATGATGCCAGGCACGATGAACGACAGGCCCCACTGCCCGTTCACCCAGATGCCGGCGATCAGGGAGCCCAGGATGTTGCCCACAGATGTGTGGGAATTCCAGATGCCCATGATGAACCCCCGCCTGGAAGGGAGGGAGAGAAGGGAAGAGGTATAAAAAGTAAAAAGCAAAGCACATTGTTCATAGCAACTGCCCCAGCCAAGCTCTAAAGCTGGGCTGACTACAGCTTCCCCGAGGCACCAAAGACAGCCCCAAAGCCCCAAGTCAGCAAGGAGTGGGAGACCTTGGATGGTGTCAAGCAGGTGGCTGCAGGGCCTGTGGTCTCGCTCCGCCTGCCCAGCTCCCTGAGTGAGTGCCGATGGGAGCTCTAGCCACACTGAGGGCATGGGGGCCCCGGCCCTCGTTCTTCTCTTCTGTCCCACGATCTCACTCTAAAGCACTGTCCTCAACCAGGGGTGATCCTACCCCCAAGGGATATCTGGTAACAGCTAGAGATTTTTCATGGTCACAGCTCAGGGTGTGCTATGGCATCCAGTGAGCAGATGCCAGGAAGGCTACTACTAAACAGCCTGCAGTGGTAGGACAGTCCCCAAACAAGGGTCCAATAGCCCAGAAAGTCAGTAGTGCCAAGGGTGAGAACTCCTTCTCCAAAGCAACTTTGTTTTGCACACAAGCCAATTCGGGGTCGGGGTTGGGGGGCAGGGCGGAAGTTTTATAGGCTTCTTTTTGTCTTCGTTGAAAATAGAAATTAATCTATTATTAGAAAAAAACATAACTAAGGTTGCCTGCTCTATGGGTTAAAGCCTCATCAGTGAGAAAATCAGCACTGCTTTTAGCCACTTCTAAGCACGTGAACAGCAACGTGGAGGCCGCTTTCTGACCCTTCCCTCTGAAATTACATCAGAGGCCACGGTGACCAGCTCAGGACCCCCAGCCCTCCCAATCCTTCCCACTCCTCCTCCCTTGTTACACTCACTTCCCCTTCCCGAACCAGTTGCCAACACAGGTCACCACAGAGGGCCAGCCTGTGGTCTGGACGAGTCCATTACAGACCTGCAGGGAGAGAGAAGGGAGGGTGGGAACAGGCCTGGGCTGTGCGACTGGCTCCCTGCTCTGACCACCCTGGGCTGAGGAGGTTCAATTTCGTGGCCAAGGGGCCCTCCATACCCCACACTACAAACCTTACCCTTCCCTTACACACATGCCACACCTCCTCAATGGCATGAGCTGGCTTCTCTCGCTCAAGATTGTTCAAGCAGAGACCAAGCCTCTCGTGCATTGGAAGTGACCACAGCGTTGTGCTCAAGGCCAACTCTCTGAGTGAACAAATGCGGGGGCAGTGGGGCCAGGAGGTAGAACTCAGTGCAGTGTAATAGAGAGCACTGGACAGGGAGCCAGGAACACAGGCTCCCACCCGCTGTGAGCTGCGGTCTCCCAGGTCCTTCCCGAGACGGCAACACAGGCCCAAGTGCAAGACGGTGATTCATACCTGGATGACCACAAAGTACCAGAGCTCGTGGATGTTCCAGAAATATCCCAGGCCAAAGAGCGAGGTGAAAAGGCCACTGAGCAGCATTCCAGCTGAGAGGTAGTAACGGAGCGGAAGCCGCTCCCCAAAAACCCCACTGGGGAAGAGAAAGTTGGATCTGCGGTTAAGCTCCTCTGTGTCCACCTCAACTCCCTACCATGTTTCTGCCCCCACCACGCTAGGAAGTGGCTCTGGCCAAGGTCCCACCAATGACTTCTGTGTTGCCATGTGACGGGGCCAACCTCTGTCCCCCACTGCTTCTGTGACACCTGGCCATGCTCCATGAATTTAGCTTTCCCATCTTCCTCCGCTTGGCCGGCCCCTCGTGTCGTGCGTTTTCCTCTCGGTGCGGTCTTTTGCAACACTTTCACCATTGCCACAACCACCCATAGGCTAAATAGCTCCACAGGCATCACATGCATATCTTCAGGCCTGATCTGTCTCCCAGAGCTTCACAGTCACAGACAGGTGCCTCCTGGACATCTTTATTTGGATGCCCCCGGGGCATTTAAATAAACCCAGTGCTCTTAAGCTGAATTCCTCTTCCTCTTCCCACCAACCACCCTGACGCCTTCATCATCCTGCTATCCTCATCTGAGTGAATGCCACCCCTTGGGCACTCAAGCCAGGCTCAGAGCTCCCTCAGCCTCCCACCTTTCCTCCCCACCCCTCACATTCAGTCTCCAAGACTCACCGGGCTACCTCTTAGCTAGTGCTCCAGTACATAGCCTCTTTCCACCTCTATCACCACTGTAGTAACATAAGCTCAACAGCTTGGGCTACTGTCAAATTGGTCACTCTGTATGACCAGTCTCATCCACCTCAGCATCACTCTCAGAGTGAGCTCTCAGAAATGCTCATCTGGATGGGACGCCCTGGCGAAAACCCTTCCATGCGTCTCTGCCCATGGACCTCATGTGCAAATGACCTCAGCCCTCAGCCCTGCTGCTACCTTCCTTACACTGTCATTCCCTCCATACACCTGCCCGCGGTTCCTCCCGTAGATCATGCTGTTTCTTCACATTTGCCCTACTTGCTCGTGCTATTCCTTCTGCCCAGGTCTCCATCTGCACCGCCGCACCCAAGTCCCTTGCATCAGGTCAGGCACCATCTCATCCAAGAAGCATCCCCGACCCCTCTGCTCTAGCTCAGCTTGGACTGAGTAATGACCTCGGAGCTCCTAGAACACATGATGGCCACCTCTGTCATGGAGCCGCCACAGTTTTAGCACCAGCTGCCAATGCATCCATTGCCCCCACTGGCCTGTGAGCTCTTTGGAGGCAGTATGCAGCCTTATTGATCGTGGATTCCTGGCAAGGAACAGCATGCTTCCCGTGCTGGTTTGGACACAGCAGAGGATGGGGATTCTCCCAGATATATGTGCACGCAGGGCCATTCTTAAAGGGTCCTAGTCCATACCCACCAACTGTGGTATCTGAGTGAATAGACTCAAAAGCAGCATCCAGGAGAACATTTCCAGGCAAAAGAGCTGCTACCAGTGGGAGTCTACCAGGCGAAGGAGCAGTCTCTGCGACCGCGGTAAGGCAAGGAGGATGGCTGTGGGTGGATTGTACATGCAGCATCCCTGGGCTCATTCCCAGCTGCCCCCAGGTTCCTTAAGGGGAGGTAGCAGCTCTAAACCATCCTCCTCTTGGTCATAGGCTCAGCCTCTGTCCTTACCTGATGAACATGCCGATGGCATAGGCGATGAGGAAGGCGTTGTCCACGCCCCCTAGTAACTCCTTATAGTTGTCCTTGTCTGAAAGCAGATGGGAGAAACAGAAAGCTGACTGCGTGGATGCCCCTGCAGGAAGCCCTCCCTGGACAGCCCCTTCTCGAGGAAGAGGGAATGGGGAATGGGAAGAGCAACTTGCCCTGTTCTTACCAAATGGGGCCCAGCTGCACCACATGGTGTCATTGAGACTGTGAGTATCATTGATGGGTTTGATCTGCTCCGAGCAGTTCTGGTGCAGACGGCTCTGGATAGGCAATGGGACATACAGGTCAGGGGTTGACCCAGAGGGGAGCAAGCAACCACCTGCCCCAACCATACTGGAGACACTGCCTCCTACCAGATTCTATGTCCCCGCTACTGGCACCTCCTCCTGCAGGAACTGGCTGCAGGGGAAAGCAGCCACATCAGACCCATGAGCAGCATCCACATAGCCCAGGGGCCCTGCACGCTTATTCCATCCACAGCCACCGACACAGCTGTCTTGGGGAATAAACTCAAAAGGAGCTCCTGGGGAAGACAGCCACTGAGAGTGGGAGCCTGCCAGGTGAAGGTGCAACCTCGGTGGCCATGGGAAGGGGTAAGGACGGTTACGACAGTGTGCTTCTGCACTCTTCCTTGCTGCCAGCCAGCCTCACCTTGACGATACTGATAGGCTTCCTGGACATGTGATAGCAGGCGTAAATTAGGAAGGTCAGCAGCAGGATGAGGCCTCGGAACCTGCAGGAAGGGACAGCATCTGCGTTAGTGGGAAGTCAGCCCCAGCTGGAAGTTCTGGGCCGGCATCCCTGACCCGTGTCCCCTCTGGCAGTCCCAGGGCCTGAGGACCACCAACTCTTTCCTTCTTGGTGCAGAGGCCAAGGGGAGGCTGGGAAAAAATGCCCAGAGGCCAGGGTGCTCAGAGGGACCTGTCTCCCTGGTCCCAACTCCTGAGGCCTCTGTTGCAGCCGGCTCGGCCCCAGCCCACAAGAAGCACCTCCGCCTGCTCTGACCAGCTGGCAGCACCTCTGCTTTTTGTCGACCTCCCTGAGGTCAGGGCGCCTGTGTGTGTGTGCATGTGTGTGGCAGAGGTGGGGGCAGGGAGTTTGAGTGGTTTTCACATGTCTAAAATGATGGGGGTAGGAGGGAGACAGTCGGGAGAAGGGTCTGTTTTTAAAGTGAGGTTGACACTCCTCTGAAGCTTCGAACAGGGCAGACACAGCACCTCCTTCAGGCAGGCGGTAGTTGGAAAGGAAGTGGCAGTGGGACAGGTGGTGACAGACCCCAGCCCTCTTCTTAGTCCCAGTCCGTCCATCCCACTGGACAGAGCCCATTCTTTCCATCTGTGGCTCACACACGTGCTCTTTCTCACCCCTCACGTCTCATCCCATGCCCTGGCCCGGGATGGAAAGAACAGTGCAGGCGGGTGGCACTCAGCTTTTCCACTGTGCCCCGGCCGCTCCCCAAGCCTGAGGCCTGGGGAAGGGCCCCAGAGCCCTGCTGAGTCACTATCTGCTTCCTCGCCGCAGCCAGGAGCCAGGACATGCATGGAAAATAGGCCTCAGAGTGGAGCCCCAGTCCAGGAGAAGGGGCCAGGAGTTAGGCGAGACCCAGGGCTCACTGAAGACTTCATGGAGAAGGGTCAGGAAAAAGGGTGGGAGGGCTCCTGAAGCCCTTTCTGTCCTGGCTCCAAGAGCCCAAGGGCAGGACACTGGATGCTCCCTCGGCCTAGGAATCCTCCTCCACACCCCAGACCCAATTCCCCCAAATGTGGCATGAAGCAACACCCACTACCACTTGGGAAACAAAGGGGCATTTCAGCGAAGGCTGAATTGGGCTTGGGCTACGAGGCTCCTTCTCACTTTGCCCCTGGATCGAGCTTCCTGTCTGTCTTCTTGAGAGACTGAAGTTGCTCCTGCCCCTCCACAGCTCTGCTAAAACGCTTTCAGTGCCTTTCCATCCCATCCAGCATGAAGGTGCAACAGTGTAGTCTGGAATGCAGGCAGCTCCACGCCCCGGCCTCTCTGGCCACCGGTTCCCAAAGGCACACATGTGGGTCACAGAGGTCCTCTAGGGACTCAAGTTGTCTAGGGAAGCTGGGGCTACTCCAAGTGCCTGTCACAGTGACTGACATAGGCAAGCTTGTGGCAACAATGTTTTCCGGGTTCCACCTGTTGCCATATGGCTCATGACTCTTAGTTCGGGGACTTCTAGAATCTGAGGGAAATCCTCTGAGAGACTTTGAAGAGGGTGCCCAGCTGGCCTTCTGCAAAGAGCAATGGATGGAAGAACCCTGCAGTCCTACAGATAGCAGCCACCAAGCCCCGCCTGGGACGCACCTGGTTCAGGGAGAGGCGGGAAGCTTTGCGTGGCACCTCTCACTAATTGCCTGTGTAACCTCCCGTGAATCCCTAAGCCTTTTTTTTGCCTCTGGTTTCCTCATCAGTTACACATTGCGCTAGTATCAGTCCCAGCTGTCCCACAAGATAAGAGAACACAGCATGACTCTCCCCCAGTCCCCAGGTCCCTGGTTATACTGCCGGTAAGGCCCCCCAGGCAGCAGGACCAGCCTTCATGACCACTTGGATGTGCCAGGGCCTCTGCCATGATGTTTGGCCACTGACCATGGTGACAAATCAGATCCTTTCAGTGTCTGAAAGATCCTCAGGGACCCAAGGCCCCACTGGGGCCCCAGCTATGACTGTTCTTTCATTGCAGGCTCGGCAGTGAAGCCCTTGCTGGCTCCGTAGCCTGGTGTTGACTAGGAAGCCAGACTGCACCTCCACACTCATGCTGAGCCCTCCCAGGGCTGGTCAGAGCCAATGGGGACCCAGAGGCACAGCCTGCTGCCAGCACCCTTTCCCCTCCCACCCCACTCCCCCAACTGCACTGTGTCAACTCCAGCCCGCCCTCCCCGACTCCCCTGCTTGTGGCCCCAGGTGTTCTTCCTTATCTGCTCCATGGCCCTTTTGCCTGGAGTTCTGTCCCCGACAACCTCAGTAGGAGGAGCTGTGCCCATTTCTAACATCTTGATTCCCTTCGGCTGAAGCGAGGCTGCTCTCCCATGCATCCCTGTGCCCATCCTGTACCAGGCACCATGCTACAATCCAGCACTAGCAAGAGAATCCGTGAGCGGAATCTCCACCTGCCTGGGCGCACAGGTCAGCAGGGAGACAGTTAGACCTGGTGTGATGTCTCTCTCTTACAGAGATGACACAGAGGAGAGACTCCGAGCCAGCAGGAGGGAGCAGTGTCGGGAAAGGATTCCTGGAGCTGAGGCTTCAAAAACAAGCAGGACGAGGCCAAGTCAACCACAGCTGGGGCAGGGAGGACTGCCAGGGAGAGGAAGCAGCGTGCACGAAGGCACGGAGGTGTGAAATGACACTACCTGTTTGGGGAACTCCGCCTCAGTGGGGGTATCTGTAGGGTGAAACTGAGCCAAGCAGAGAAGCAGAGCTGGCTGGGAAGGGCAGGGGCCTCAGGTGGCGTGGCGCAGGGCCTCAGGTGCCAAACTGTGGCATTTAGGCTATCTCTGAAGGTGATGGGAAGCCACTGAAGAGAGCGGGAGTTCCCAGGTCGGCAGCTCTGAACCCCAGCCAGCCTAAGCCAGGTGAAGACCCAGGGCTGTGCCCTGTAGGTTTTGGTGGGAAGCGCAGACAGGCTTCCTCACTGAGGCTCAAGGCCAGTTCCCTGGGCCTTTTTCATCCTGCCAGCCACTCCCAGGGACATAGCAGCATCACGGGGGAACCCAGGTGGTGGATGTCAGGGAGTTGATGTCTATAAGAGAAAACAGCAAGGACTTGGGAATCGGGCAAAAGCTGGTTTCATTCCTTACATCTTTTTGCTCATTGGAAAAGCAGAGTCTATCACCTTTCTCAGACCTATTGATGGGTTAGTGAGATGCACCTAACCAGTCTGAAATTGTTCCTGATGCCCAGAGGGCGCTTAGATGACAGCCAGTGTGCTTCCAATGTTCAGACCAGGAAGAAGGACTGGAGGGGTGGAGGCGGCCCACACTGCTCTGTTAGGGGAGCCGAGTAGGGTCAGGGGCTGAACCAAACTCTTCTGGGAAGTGGAGGCTCCGGGCCCTGGATTTACCTGGAAGGTAGAGATGTGGCTGCCAGCCTGTCCCCCTCCACCCCGCCTCCCGCTGTGCATAGCTGGGTCTAGATGAACATAAGGATGCCCTGAAGCTCCTGGAGCTCTGGCCTTCCATGGTGGGCCCTATGGCTTCTTGGGGAGCCTACGGTGGGACACAGGGGAGACTCCAGCCCCGGGGCCCTCCCACCTGCTCCCGTGGGCAGACAGGAAAGTCAGTAGGGGTCCCCACGTGCATCCTGACCTGGTAGGTTCCAAGATTCCAGCCCTGCCCTCCTCCAGGTGGTAGCCTGATGTCCCCGCCAGCTCTGACCCCAACTCCCTGAAATCCACCACCTGGAGTCCCCCATGATGCTGCCAGTAGAAACCCTGACACCCAAGATAGCAGGAGAGTCATGAGTCTTGAGGGTGGCGGGTGGGGGGTCCTCAGCTGTGTTGTGTGACACTAGGCCTGGCACTGGCCTTTTCTGGGACTTCCTTCCTGGCCTCCAGAGGGATGGAGGGATGAGCTCAAAGTCACACCACTCGCTGGGCATGGCATAGTCAGAGCTGGGCCTCCTCTGAGTCTGGTGCTCTATCCATTCCCCATTGTCAGGTGTTCTAAGAGAAAGATCAAGGTGCCGTGGTTCACAGGAGACTGGGAACTTCGGTCAGGTTAAGGGCTAGGCTAGACGGAGGCCAAGACTGCCAAGCTCATGCTAGCTTCAGAAAGGCAGCTGACGCACTCCTTCCATGTTTAGAACCCGCAGGTTTCACTTCTCCTCTCACCAGTCCTTCCCTCGTGAATCAAGAGGTCCCAGAAGAGAAGCAGGGCACAGAATATGCACAGCCAGGCCTTGCCTAGCTGGCCCCAGGGTGGCTGTGACGGGGGGATGGCAGCCCAGGGGCTGGGCCAGGCTGGGCAAGTAGGCCAAGGACCAAAGGATGGAGGGGAAGGCCCCCGGCTGCTCCAGATGGGGCGGCTGTCCCATGACCCTCAAAGACCTTGTTAGCAAGAGATGGCACTTCTCAGAATCCCACCTCCCCCCCACCGGATACTGGTTACTGAATAACCAAGTTAGATAGGGAGGTTGACTAGCTATCTCTTAACTATTAGCTGACAGTCCAACCTACTCTTTCGAAGGAGCCTGATAATAACTTTATTGACCTTGTTGAGACTTTGCACTAGGAATGCTTCTGGGGTAAAAATCAAGAAATGGCATGTCCCAAAGCAGTGACAGATTAGAAACAAACAAACAAAACCCCCAAAAGACCGACTGCCACCACCACTGCAACAGCAAAAAACAAGAAACAGCCCAGCAGAGGGACGCTGCCCCCGAGAGATGTCAGAAACAGCCCCGGTTCCCCAGTGGCTCCCTAGTCACTCCCCAGTCCCAGGCTAGGCTGGCTGTGGCTGCAGGTGACTTTGGCACTTGTCCAGAGAAAATGGATTCAGTAGTCTCTTCTCGGACGTGACTGTTCTGAGACTAAGCAGATCTGAAAAGGATAGAGGGCTGGGCACAGTAAGAACCAAGCTAGGGTCAATGGTGACAGTGCCCACCCCCCCTCCCCCACAAGCCCTCCACCAGCACTGGGAGATACCCTGCTAGGAAAAGGCCAGCCAGGAACAGATACCACAGGTGCAGAGCCCTGAGCCAGGTCTTTAGCACACAAGACAGGACAAGACCCTCTTTGGGAGGCGCAAAGCTCTCCCAGGGCAGCAGCCAGCCCCTCAGGGAATCCTCTGTTTGCTGTCCTTCCTCCAGCTGGGACGTGGGCACATGCTCAGAGAGATCGAGATGACTCGGGGCTTGCCCTGAGAGCCTTCCTAGAGAAAGAAGCCATTGGCCAGGAGCCACGAGGAACTCAGGACATTTGAGAAGAGACTGGTGGCTCAGATGACAGTCTGTCTTAGGAAAGAGGAAAATACAGGATAGATTGTTTTGCTTTGGGAAGAAAGCTGAGTGGGGGACCCTGAATGGTCAGGCAGAATGAAGACAGCCTTCATGCTGCAGCAGGGACTCTGATCAGCAGCCGGAATAACAGGGAGGGTGGGAGTGTTGGTGGGGCTCAGAAGAGGCAGCCAACAGGTTTTAAGTTGGTGTCTCTTCTGAAGAAAGGTTGTGTAAATAGCACTGATGGAAGCGTGTTGATGATGGCAGAGCTGCAGTCCTGCTTAGAGGGGGAGGAGGATGGCCTTCCTTCTCCTGAGCAAGAAGCGTCCAGGGGACAAGACCTGAGCCAGAAGCCAACAGGAGAGCAGTGACACCGCCCCCCCACCCCACACACACACCAACTTAGTGTCTGTTAGTGACTCAGATAGGAGGTCCTGGGCTTCAGGGACTCTACCTCTGGTGTCTGTCCTCAATTCTGCTGTTACTTTGGGACTGTCAACCCTGACCCCAGCTCTCAGTTGATACAGAAGCTTGAATGGAAAAAACAAGGCCTTGGCCAACCATACAGACTATTTCGAAACCTTGCTGCTACCTTCTAGACCAGCCCACAGGGCCTGAGTCAGACAGCCCCACCCGAGGTCAATGAGGTGCACGCCAGTCCACTGTAGGGAGGGAGAGAGGAAACAGCAGGGTGGAAGAGGAAGCCCAAAAAGCAGCTGGGGGAGAAGCTGCTGTCACGAGGGGTGGGGGATGGGACCTCCACAGGCTCACATGCCCCTTCTGGGGGGCCGGAGTAGGGATCATGGGCTGAGACTCCAGGTTCTCCCCAGGAGCCCTCATTTCCTTTTCCAAGCAGCCTCTTCCCATCAAAGCTCATTTTAAACAGCCCTTTCTGCTGCCCTTACCATGCACCTCTTTGCAGTCAACAGGAAAGTAAGATTTGAGAGAGCTAGCCCATAGGACAGGGAAACAGACATCAGACTTCGAGCAAAATTGGCTGAGTCCTAATTTCTGGTTCTGCCACTTAATGTGACCTTGGGCAAGTTGTTGTACGTCTCTAAGCCTCAGTTCGATCTTCCTTTAAATAAGATCATATTCCCCTGCTGCACGAGAGTGTTATAAAGATTAAATGAGATATCCTGGATGTGGAAGTGTCTGGCACACAGCAGATTTTCTCTCAGTATGAATTTGAATGTCTTTCCCCTGCGTCCTCCTCAGAGTGGGCACCAGGATCCGGCAGTGAAAGCCCTTAGCTAACTCCACAGGGCAGAACCATCCATTCTAGCTCAGCTGTGGCCTTTTGCAGCTCACAGGGGAAGATCGAGGTGTGGGAAAAATGGCACCACAGGAGCTCACAGCTCCTGCTCTTCCTGCCTGCCCAATTCACCCTCCTGCCCATTCCTGCTCATCCAGCTGTGGTCACCCTGGTATTTCCTCCCACAGGCTCTTCTTCTGCACGTTCTGGGCCATCCCCCTCAGAGGGCCCCAGGAAATGGGCCCAGCCCCATAAGCACCAGCCACAGTCATCTCCCATGCTGCCAGCTGCCCCCAGACGCACCCACACAGACACTGGTACAAAAGGCAGGAACCAGCCAGGCTCCAGGCTGGGGAACCTCCAGGTGCTCTGTGGCTCTGAAACGCCATGGACAAGCCATTCATTGTCATCCTGACGAGGAAGGCCTAACAGGAGGAGGAGAGCAACATCTTCCTGGACAGAAACTCCGCCATCTCTGACTCTTGCCTGGATGTCTGCAGCTGTCTCCACACACCTGGCGCCACATGACTCCCAGCCTCCTGTCCAGGGGCACCTTTTGTTCCTACCAGCTGGAGCTACATGTTACTACTTCAGAGACAGGGGACAGGCCATGTCTCCACTTGCATGCCTTTGCTGGCTCTGTGACCTCTGCTCAGAACACCTCCAGATCCAAGTCAAAGACTTCCTTCTTCTCCTAATGGAGATGATTCTCTCCCTCCACAGAAATTTATAAGCACCTAGCCAATACCAACTACGCTAGACACTGGGCTAAGTGCTTTAAGCAGCTTCTCATTTAATTTCACCAAAACCCCGTGATATAGGTACATCATTTTTTCCATTTCATAGATAAGGAAATTGAGCCTGGGAGATGTTAAGTAATTTGTCCAAGGCCAAATGGCCATGTAATCTTTTCCCCACCCAACACTATCATTAGGAAGGCAGCGGAAAGACCATGGGCTTACGAGTCAGACTAATCTTGATTCCAACTCCAGCTCAGTCATTTATCAGCTGTGTGGTGCTGGACAGGCTTACATAACTGCTCTGTGCCTCATTACACTCATATGTTCCACAGGGAAGCTAACATTCACCTTGCAGTTCCACAAAAATTACAAATAAACAATGCCTGGCACAAAGTAGTAGGAAAAACAAATAGAATATAGTCAATCATTAGTGTTTACTCAGTGTTTCATATCAGCCTGGCACTGACCTAAGTACCTTACACGTAGTACCTCATTTAAACCTCAAAACACTCGTGTGATACAGGTATTATTATTATCCTCATTTTACAGAGGAGGAGTCCAAGGCCCAGGGCCAGTCCACTTTCAGCTTCCTATTCTGTCTTCTTCACTTCTTAAATGCCCTCCTTGGGGACATGTGAAAGCAGTTAAATGTGACAGAGATTTGATTTCTCATTTTCAGACTATAAGTCTTTATTTTTATTTGTCTGCACCCTGGCCTGTATTTTGTTTAGCACAAGAAAGGTGAATTGGGTTAATATGTATCTGTAATAATAACATCACCATCATTAATAATGATAGTAAAAGCCGCCATGTATTCCATGCTTCCTGTATACCAGGCAATGTATACATATAATCTCTAACCTTTTATGTGTTAAGTGCTCAGCAAGTCAGTTTTCTTCAAAATCTCCCCAACCGACTTCTGCATTCCCCTCGCTGGTCCTCTGAATGACATGGCACATAGGAAATGCCATCCTTTGGCACTCAATAAGTAGAGCAGGGCCTTCTAAAATTGCTGACTGTGTGTACACAGCCCCTCTCCAGCTTGATTCTTAGTTCCAAGAAGGTAGAACCCTGTCTTGATTGTCTTTGCAGGCCTCAGAGCTCAGCATAATAATGTACTTACAGAAGAACTACGTGACATTTAGTGTTTGATAGGAATCCAAATCTAAACTTATCTGGAAGGAAGTAAAAGGATACCTGTTGAGTACCCTCCAGCAGCCACAAGACGTCAAGAATGTTTCCTTATATTATCGCATTTATCCTCAAGAACCCATCTGACTTTTATTGATGAGGAAACTGGGGCTCAGCAAAGTCAAGGCTCACAGTGGTGAAAGGATTTCAACCAAGGTCTGTCATAAATCCCAGAGATGTTGGGGAATACCGTAGCTGAATTCACACCTTGAGAAGTGTGAAAGTGAAGAGTGTTGGAGGCTGGAGAAAGTCATGTTATGCGTATTACTGAGCCCTTCTAGAATGCCAATGTGTTCTAGATGGTTTATAATGATCCACCCTCCCCACTCCCCATTCTCTCTGAAATGTTAGTTACTTTGGTTAAAAGATATAACTAATATACATGAATGAGACTCTACTAGGAACAATCGTGGCAGAGAGGTATGACTTTGTATACATGGTATTGAAACCTGTTTTTGTTTATTAAAAGGAAAAATATTACACATAAGAAAAATGACTGGTTGTTCCAGAATAAGAAAGGGAACAGGGAAGGTCAAATCTGAATGGATACATTTTAGGTTTGTAGAAAGGAAATTTGATTTGTCTTGGATTATAGTACATCAAACAATAAGTCTAAAAATAAGCAATTAAATGTGTTAAAATTTTGCCAAAGTTGGCAAAATCTTGATAAGTTTGTGAATATTTAATTTAAAAAGAGGAAGGGCTCCTGGAAAACCACAAAGATTTGTTCTTTCATCTTTTAAAAAGAGAGGTGCTAGAAATCATTAGATTTATTTAATATGTTAATATTGATCAATTGCTTGGAAATAATTGTCAAGTCAGAAGAGATGCTCAGCCTTCTCTAGGTTAAATTTATATTGGTAAAATATTATTATTTATCTAAATATTTGAGAAATTATATGCTATAAAAGAGTTGTGCAGACTTCTCAATGCCCTCTCTGTACATGACATGTTTCTATTTATCAGCACCCTGATGGTGCCTTCCCCGATAACAACAGTATACGTGTTACTAGTCACGATTTCAATTATTATTTAAAATGTTACTGGAGGCTGGGCATGGTGGCTCATGTCTGCAATCCTGGTGCTTTGGGAGGATGAGGTGGGAGGATGAGGTAGGAGGATGGCTTTAGGCCAGGAGTTTGAGACCAGCCTGGGCAACATAGCAAGACCCTGTCTCTACAAAAATAAAAAACTTAGCTGGGTGTGGTGGTGCATGCCTGTAGTATCAGCTACTTAGGAGGCTCAGGCAAGAGGATCCCTTGAGCCCAGGAGTTTGAGGCTGCAGTGAGCTATGATCGTGCCACTGCACTACAATCTGGGTGATAGAGCAAGACTTTGTCTCGAAAAAATAAAATAAAATAAAATAAAATAAAATAGTTACTAGGCTGCAACTTTCCTTCTTTAATTTAAATGTAGCATCTTCCAGGCCACTGGTTTTCAACTGGAGATGTACATCAGCCTTTCCTTTGCAGTTTTATTAAAATACAGATATTTAGAACTTATGTTAAGCTTACTGAATATCTTTAGTTGATATTCTTGGCATTTTATGTAAATTATATCCCAGAATTTTTATATATTATATCTTAAAATTTTTTCTCTGTAAAAATCATGTTCATTTTTATAAATTAATATGTTCATTGTGTTTTTTGAAATTAACCTTATATTTTTAGACGTTGTCTAGATTTTTTCTGTTTGGATTAACATCTTTTTGTTTTGCACACCACAGAAGCAACCAAATTTCCTTGTCAGTTGCATTATTCTTGTCATGAATTCTCATCAGATCATTCATTCTTGAAAATTATCAGTAAGAAGTTAATCAACAATTTTTAAGTCTCTGTCACCTACAGATAGTTTTTATTTTACTTTGATGCTTCTTAAAGGCTCTGTAATCAGTTATAGAATAGAGTGGGAGATTTTTGTTTTTTGAGAGATGGGATCTTACTGTGTTGCCCAGACTGGAGTGCACTGGCTTTTCACAGGCATGATCATGGTGCACTACAGTCCCACACTATTGGGCTTAAGGGATCCTCCCACCTCAGCCTCTTGAGTAGCTGGGACTGTAAGCATGCCACTGGGCCTGGCAGGCCAGAGTTTTTATCTTTAACAACCAAATACTGTCTCAGAAAAGCACTGTACTGAGTAATTGCTCTTGGATATAAGTTTCTGATGGAACTACTTAGACAACATTAAGAACGTACTAGTGGACTGAGTCAGGAGTTCCAGAACTCTTTAGTCAAGAAGCAGATAGGTTTTTGAGATTGCTAACCCAAGATTCAGCGGGACAGAATTAATCACACAGGACCGCATGAACTGGGGATGGATGACTGTCTTCTATGTTCAGAATACTGTTGATGTTGATATAGTGTTCTATTTTCTGGACATATAAGGAAGACCTTTCTCTTTCTTCTTAGGCTATATTAACCCATAAGAACTTAGTAGATTCTGCTTTCATAAACTGAAATGAAACACTTATAAATATCTTTTTCTCCCTACCTGACTCCTCAGAATTCAGAAACTCTTATGGAATCTTCTTGCTTTTCATGGAAGTATGGTTATTTGCACAGGTTCAGTAAGAATTTTTTTTTTACCAGTACATAATTAGAAAAATTGGTTATGCAACCAAGACCTTGCCGGGATGTTGTATTTGATCAGGATGCCTATTTAATCAGATACAACCAGCCTCCTCTAAAAACTGAGGTTCACTCTATGCAGCCAATACTAAGAAAAACCTCCCAAGAAAATGGGCTTACTGGGTTTCCAGGTTTACAAGCCAAAAGGAAGGTCACTCTCTGGCTAGCCCAGAAACTTTAGGATATTATGGGGACCCTGAGAAGAGGAATTTGCCCAAATACATCAGTACAGTAGGTAAAACCTGGTGAAGACAGTTTCTTGACTCGGCTTACTAATGTCAGGACAATAAATAATTAAAGGCTTTAAAAAATCTAATCTAGGATTCCTTATGAAAACTTCCAGCTAAGTTTATTAACTTAACAAGGGGTATATGGTAAACTAACACACTTGCAGCCACAATCAAGTCAAATCCAATGAGATCAGCTTTATTTTGTGATCAAGAATAATCCTTCTAAGAATTTTCTTAAAAATCAAAACAGGAGAGACTGTAGAAAAACAATGTATTTCCGTGGAAAACTATGCCTTGTCTAGCACATAGTCCGCCAGGTTATCAGATTCCAGCTTTTAATTGACCTTGAGCTATTTTAAAATTCTTTGAAGTGGTAGGTAACTGAGAAGCCATGCAAAATATACCTATGAAGATAATTTCAGTAGTCTTCCCTCACAACCTGTAGAAGACCAATTTGGTCTCAATATTCCTAACCTATAAATGAATATGTTCTTTAGATTCTCTTTTTAAAATTGTGGTAAAATATACATAACATAAATTTTGCCATTCTAACCATTTTTAGTCTACATTTAGGTGGCATTAAGTATGTTCACATTGTCTCTCAACCATCACCATCATCCATTTCCAGAACTTTTTCATGTTCCCAAACTGAAACTCCATACCCATTAAACAATAATTCCCCAATCCCCCTCTCTAGATTCTCTTTTGAACCGATTATAACATCTTCTGCCTCCTTTATTATGAGTAAAAGAAAATCTTTAACATGGGTTCATTCTTATGTCTTTGTGAGAGTCAGGATTTTAATCTTTTTCTGAAAAATATCTTTTAACAGTCTCCAACTCAAAAAAGACTAGGTAAATAATCTAAACGAGTGAAGAAGGTTAGAATTGATGAGAGCTCTCAACAATTAAAAAGTGTGTAGGGTAGCCAATTGTCTCATTTTGCCCAGGATTGAGAGGGTTGCCGACAAAAGACTGTTTCAAAACCAGGACAAATTGGCCACTTTAATAGCACCTGCCCTATCTAAAGGGGACTCCTCAATCCTATTCATTTAATTTGGAAATTTAGGCCCAGTATTGCTACATCATCCATTTTTCTTTTCTTTCCTTTTTTTACTTCTAGAGACAGGGAGGGGTGTGAGGGGGGAATGGAGGGGTGGTCTCACGATGTTGGCCAGGCTGGTCTCGAACTCCTGGCCTCATGTAATTCTCCCATCTTGGCCTCCCAAAGTGGTGGGATTACAAGCATGAACCACCATGCCCGGTCCACGTCGTCTATTGTTCAAGAGAAGTCTGGAATCTAGCTATTTTTGTTAAATTTTATGATTTGTAAATAATGGCAACTAACACAATATTTTAAAAACTGTGCAGACCAAACGGACTGCTCCAATGGTTGACCGCCTCTAAGGAAGAGTGGCTGAAACCCCTCCACCCCACCTTGCAGCCCAACATGTGGTCCCTGCGGTCAGGAAGAGAACCTCTGTGAAGCCCTTCTCCCACTGCCGAGGGGCTGCCCTGCTCTGCTCTGAGAGCTGTGCCCTTTCCAGGTGCTGAAAGGCCTCGAGACGAGCTCCCAGGACCACTGAGTTCTGGCCTTGGTGTTCGAGGGCTAAAGGAGACCAAGAGGGACACTCACAAACCCCAGTGGCAACCCCTTTCCTCTACCATCCCCTGGCCTCGGTTCCCCAGCCTTCGAGCCCAGGTTCCCCAGCTGCCCAACGACAGAAAGGCGCTCTGAAGGCGCCCCGGATGTGTGTTAGGAGGGGAGGATGGAAACGGGAAACGATGGAGACCCTCCCTGGCAGCCTGTTCTTCCCCAGTGTCACCGAGCCA
This sequence comes from Homo sapiens, assembly GCF_000001405.40. Lineage (NCBI taxonomy): Eukaryota > Metazoa > Chordata > Mammalia > Primates > Hominidae > Homo > Homo sapiens. Next base: position 125,063,647 of record NC_000011.10, on the reverse strand, counting down.
GCGTCGCGGGGTCTGGGGGAGCGCGGGCGGAGTTGGGCAGGGAGGGTTATCAACCTCCGAGGCGGGCGCCGCTGGAGGAGCTCGGGACCAAGTCCCCCCAGCACCCCTGGCCACGCGGCGACGCCGGGGCCGATCTGGGGTGATCTCCGAGGCCCCCCGCGGCCCCTGCAAGCCCCGAGCCCAGGAGGTCCCGGCACGCCTCCCTCCCCTGCCCCGCTCACCAGCTGTCCCTGGAGAAGGCCCGGAAGAACCAGACTCCCGGAGCCAGGGAGGACCGCATTTTGCCTGACCGGTACCTAAGGCTGAGTCGACGGAGGAGGCTACAGAGCTGGGCGCGTGTCCCGGGCTGGACTGGCTGTCAGCGGGGTTTAAATGCCCCGCCGGCCGGCCCGCCCTGGCCCCGCGGCCTGAGTACGGCAGCGCCCGCCCCCTTGCGCCCGCCCTCGGGGTCGGGTCCAGCGCAAACCCGCCAGTCGTCCCTAGCCCGGCCGCTGGCACCACAGCGCTCCTGTGCTTTGCTTCCCCGCCACTGCCCGACAGCTCTGAGGTGCTGGGGCTCCTCATTCCGCCCTGCACTTTCTGCCTCACCACCCGCTGGGGAACCGAAAGCAGCAATCTCGACGCTGTCCGGTGTGACGTGCCTGCCTGCCCGCACTACCCCGCAGCGCTTCCTGTCCTAAAAAGCCATGGGCTCCGACACGGGCGGGACACGAGACGCTGGAGGGCTGGAAGTCACACTCAGCGGCCCTGCATGACTAATCTCGGTACTCTCACCTTCTGGGAGCGCAGGAGTTTTTTTCGTGGGCGGGGGCGGGGGGGGGACAATATTCGGCCCCAAACACACCACAGGCTCAGGCTGGGGCTTCCTGCCCTGCTCATATTCCACAGGACCCCACTCTTCCCCGGCTTCACAGACACCGGCCCCCACGCGCTCCCGCCATGACAATGTGGCAGTCACTCCTGCTCTCCTTTCTGGAGGCAAGCAGCCACCAGGCAGGGACTTCTGTGGTCCTGAAAGTGACTGCCTCTAGCCTGAAGATTTCAGGGTATGTTTCCACTGATAATTGTGAGATCCTTGTACATGAACCCAAGGGTGAAATACAGAAGGCTGCAAAGGGAAGTATTCCCCTGAGGAATAAAGTTAATAGAACATAAAACAGGAGTGTCGGAGCAAATGGGTTTCAGCCCTAACCCCACCCTGCCCCTAATTCCTAGGAGTGCCCAGGCCCTACGCGCAAGGTCAGAGAAGTGGAGTAACAACTCCACCAAACAGATTAGGACCTAGAATAATGGGCTTGGCTCGTACCAGCCCTAGAATCAAGAAAAAGAGGGTAAGCAGAGTTGTAAAAGCCTCTGTTAATCCCAGGCAGTCAGGGGGCATAGGTCTAGTGGCAGAAATGAAGACGGTAACACGCCAACGACAAAAGGTAAAGGAATAGAGAAAAGAAGAAAGGCATAAGTAGAAGGGAGGCCCAAATAGGGTGCAGAGGCTTGAAACACCAAAGGACCAGTGTCATTAGCGGCAATTCACTAAATCAAACCCCTGATTAGACCACTCACTGTACTTGGGGGTATATTCATTTCACTCTTACAAGTCAGTTAGGTGGCTATTACCCACCTAGGTAAGGTGACTTTATGTCCTGGTTTGCCTGGGACAATCCCAGGAGACACCTGCTGTCCCAGAATCTATGATGGACCCATTCTAGGGTCAATAATCACAGGTACCCCAGGTTAAGGTACTCCTTTAAGGGGCAGCAAATAAACTAGAGGAATGAGCTGATATCCCCAGGAAGGGAATTATTCCTACGCTGCTTATTTCTGAGGGACTAAAGGGAAGGATAAAATTGGAATCCAGTTGAGCCAAGGAAGCAGCTGAAGTTCCTTGATGCTACATTTGAGGAGTAGGTGGACATCACCAGAGGAATGGAAGAGACCATCTCCAGGGCTTCAGAGGTGCTGTCCAGACTTCAGCAGTGTGGAACATCTGTCTTTCCATTTCAGACAGAAGCCAAGAATAAGGGTCACTCCTGCTCATTTGTCAGGAAGCTGTGTTCCTGCCTCACAGGGGACCATGCCTATCTGAGGCTGGGACTCTAAGAAAGGCATTAGGAATATGCCCTCATGGTAGTACGGCTATTGTTCACAGTGCACCAAGTAGCTGGGAGCAGGGCCGGTACTGAAACAGACTTTGCCTTGTCACAGTTACTTCCTGTGAATTCCAGCCACGTATCCCTGTTCAGGGGCCAGGGTGGCAGTGGGAACACTCCCACCAATGTTGGAACTCTTTCTTGCTCGCTCCTGTTGGTGAGCTGGATGATCTCTGTGCTTCCTGCTGCTTGGGGGAGTGACAAAGAGGGATATTGTGCCTCAGGGAGTCCCTTCACTCACCTACACAACCTCACCACTCTCGACTCACCTTCTTGTTATTATCTGGCCCCCCTCCCACACACTACCTCCTCAAACCCTGCAGAATGTGGAGAGGATCTGAAGGAAATAAAGAGGGAGGGAAGGAGCTACTCAATCAAATGCTAAAGGAAAAGATCCTCAGTTCTTATATGGATAGCCTTATACTCTGTCAAAAATGCTTCCTATGGTTCAGTATGAGACACTTGTGAGAAAGAAGCCATTTTACCCATCAAATACCAGTCCCTACTGCTAGTAAGTTCCATGACCACCCACAGGACTGTTGGGGTAGCCAGTTGGTGTTTTATGCCCTTTAAGACACGATAACAAGTGTCTTCCCTGTTTTCTTCAAAGGGACAGAAGGATCTGAATGCTTAAGAAAGTCTTTGAGGACAAATGACATGAGAATAAGCCACTAGGTAACAGAACTCCAAAATTTTAACACATCCACAAGCATCATTTTTTGAACACATTTGCCTCCTTCCACTCCTGTCTTACTAAACAGAGAAAAGCATATTTTTTGGTAATACAATCAAGACCAGTCTTGATCAAGGGGGTAAGAACTGGGATATTAGGATAAATTGTAATTATTCAATCTTTTAAATATTCAATTTCATAGTAGGCCTTTTGATGGAGAGGCGGAGTGGTGCAGTAAAAAGAACATTGGCTTGGAGTCAGAACCAAGCCTGGTCAAGATACTTACTACTTCACTAAGCCTCAGTTCCCTCCTCTGTAAAATGTGTGTAACAGCACCCACCTTACAGAGTGCTGTAAGAATCAAAACATATGTGCATACAAAAAGTACAACAGTGCCTGGCCATATTAAATAGGTTTTGCAAATGGAGCAATTATGTGTGCAGGAGCTAATATATATGGTATTAGGGTCAGATATTGACTGCAGCTGACAGAAACCAATGACTGTCATAAATGAGAACAAAATATAGGGGTTAAAGGATCAAAATTCTTAAAAAGGATCAATGGGTATAACAAAATATATTTTTGACTGCAAAATCCTTAATATAATGTGCTTGTGTGTGTATCTGTGTATGTGTGTATATATATACAACTTAACCCACTGAGTTATTGTAAGCTTTGTGGTAATACGTGCTGAATAATTTGGGGTTCACAAGGATGTATGTATGGCTTGAGTAGAGTGTCATAAAAATGAAAGAAGTTATTGTCTTAAATATGTTGGATGCTGAAATCTCACTAAGAATTACTACTAAATTCTTCCCAGCTAACAGTCAAAAGATAGATAAGCAAGGTGACCAAAGGTATTCAAAAATATCTTATTTCTCAATAGAAGTCAAACTTCTGGAATGCTTAGCAAAGAACATCCCAGCCCTTATATAACTGGCCAAAAGTAGGGTTTCAATGTACTGAAGACTAGATTGATGGTTCATAATGGCCTGAAGAGTGGGCTTTGGAGACCTATCAGTCAACCAACAGGGCAGCCCTGCTTTCAAATGGTCAACCTCCTTAGGATACCAGTAGTGACAACAGGTATATACAAAGACAGCCTGACAGCCAGTAGTCCTTAGGAAGAGAGGAGAAGGATGAAGAAATGGTTAAATTATGAAAATTTCCCAAAGTCACCTTGTTTAGAGGAAAAATTAAAAGGAATATATGGTAATGACAAAAGTGAGGTAGTCTCAGCCTGGTCACACAGCTGGGGACAATGTTTAGTTGTTCTAGTATCTGAAAGTAACCATTCATTTACTTGCTTAATAAATATTTGTTGCCTGTAATCCCAGCACTTTGGGAGGCCAAGGCGGGAGGATCACCTGAGGTCAGGAGTTCAAAACCAGCATGGCCAACAAGATGAAACCCTCCTCTTCTAAAAATACAAAAATTAGCCAGACATGCTGGCACACGCCTGTAATCCCAGCTACTCAGGAGGCTGAGGCAGCAGAATCGCTTGAACCCAGGAGGCAGAGGTTTCAGTGAGCCGAGATCGTGCCACTGCACTCCAGCCTGGGAGACACAGCAAGACTCCGTCTCAATAAATAAATAAACAAACAAACAAACATTTGTTAAGTGACAACTATGTGCCAAGCACAGTGCTATGTGCTGAGGATACATTAATGAAAAAGACAGGCCAGGCACGGTGGCTCACACCTGTAATCCCAGCACTTTGGGAGGCTAAGGTGGGCAGATCACCAGGTCGATCGAGACCATCCTGGCTAACACGGTGAAACCCCATCTCTACTAAAAAAAAAAGTATAAAAAAAAAATTAGCAAGGTGTGGTGGCGGGTGACTGTAGTCCCAGCTACTCGGGAGGCTGAGGCAGGAGAATGGCGTGAACCCAGAGGGTGGAGCTTGCAGTGAGCCAAGATCGCGCCACTGCACTCCAGCCTGGGCGACAGAGCAAGACTCCGTCTCAAAAAAAAAAAAAAAAAAAAAAAACAGACAGACACAGTCCCTAATCCCAAAGAATTTACAGTCAAAGGGGACAGAGATGTATAGAGATAATCCCACTTCAAAAGCTTGGCAGAAGAGATCAACTCAAACAAGAAATAGGTTATATAAACAAGAAAATGTTCATGCTGATATGGTGGCACTGATCAAATAACTCCAGGAGAGTCTCAGAAGGCTTACTGTAGACAACATAAGAACTAGATTTGAAGAACAGCTTAGTGCATACCAAGTGAAGAGGAGAAAGGTGGAACCGGAAAATTGCATGTGCAAAATAAGGAACCATGAAAAAGCATGGTACATTGAAGAAATGGTGCATAAGACATTCTTTGTAGCTGGTGAGTACATGTGCAAGGTGGGGAGCTGCAGAAGATATGACTTATTACATGTGGTGAGATAGTGAAGAACCTTCAATGTCAACAATAACAGGTTGGAACTGTATTCTTTAGACAGTTGGGTGCTATAAGACAGCTTTAAGGGTGAAGACAGGATCAGATTTATGTTTTCAGAGGAGAAATGGCCATTTAACAGGGCTTTGTCAGACTTCCAGTTCTGGATGAAGATAGAAGAGATACACTTCTCTCTATTCTTCTTGCTAGGTACCGTTAAAAACCATTGACATTATATATAAAGCAAGCATAAGAAAACTCTGAAAAGTGGAGAGAAGACAGATCAGCGAGGGACCTTGAGATCTAAGGAAAGACAGTGGTGAGTTATCTGGGTTTGCTCTTGGCTTCATATATCCCGGACTGGGTGCTGAAGAAGCCAGCAAATCCAGAAGCACCAATGACACAGACAGAACACCAAAGCTCTCAGAAATGCTGGCTCTGTCTAGCCACAGGACCAAGGAAGGGGTAGCGTGGCAATAACCACCCTGCTCCAACTAAACCTCATAGAAAACACTGCAGCCCCACCCCACCTTATCAGCAAAGGCCAGTGGGGAACCTAGACTTCCACTTGCACCTGGCTGTAATGAGGGGTGCCCCCCCGCCCACCGCCTGGCTGGTGTCAGAGAACTCCAAGTGGGAAAGCAGGACTTTCACCACCTTCCAATGGTAAAGAGCGCCCCACCCCAACCACCAAGGTGTCATGGAGGTCACATGGGGAGCAGTAAGGAGCCCATACAGGGCGATATCAATGGAGGCCTAGTGGAGAGCCAGAACTCCCACCCTTTCAAGCAGTAATGAGGTGCCCTGCCCTGCCTCCCCGAACCAGGGATGTTAACAGAGGTCAAATAGGAAACCTGGACTTTCACCCCCCGCCACCCCTGGCAGAGTAGATAAAAAACATTACCCAAATACATGCTGTCACTTTCCTAAGAAACTAAAATACACTTACCATACACTTATTGTGCTCCTGGGCTTTTATCCCAGATAACTGAAAATTTCCATCCATACAAAAACCTGTACATGAATTGTCCATAGCAGCTTTATCTATAATAACAAAAAACTGGAAACAACCAATATGCCCCTCAATAAAGTTAAACAAATTGTGGTACATTCATACCATGAAATACTACTCAACAATAAAAAGAAATGAACTATTGACATAATGGCATTATGCCAAGTGAAAAAAAATCAATCTCAAAAGGTCACATACTGTATGATTTCATTTATATAACAATCTCAACATGACAAAATCATAAAAATGGAAAAGGGATTAGAGATGGACTGGAGTTAAGGAAGGTGGTGGTTGAGAGGGGTGTAACTTTATAGGGGTAACACAAGGGAGGTCTTTGTGGTGACAGAATAGTTCTGTATTTTGTTTGCATTGGTGTTTACGCAAATCAATGCATGTGATAAAATAGCAGACACACACATACTGTACTACGGTTATGTCAAATGTAATCACTGGGGAAAACTAGGTAAGAGGTACCAGGACGCCTCTGAACTGTTTTTGTAACTCCCCGTGAATCTATCCTTAGTTTATAAAAGTCTTATATATATAAAAGCTCTGTCAACTTTAATTTCCTTTTAGTAGTTCTCAGTTTTCTAATTCCAGAAACAGGATGGGAGAAATTTACTTTTTAAGTAGAAATCTTTCCTTTGGAGAATATGCTATGGAGCAGCATGGTCAGCTGCCCATATTAACTCAAGTACCTCACTAGCAATACAGATTTCAGTACTGTGCCTTGGATTCCAAGTTACGATACTCGTTTTTTTTCTTCAACTTTTAAGCTCAGGGGTACATGTGAAGGATGTGCAAGGTTGTTACATAGGTAAATGTGTGCCATGGTGGTTTGCTGTACAGATCATCCCCTCACCTAAGGATTAAGCCCAGCTATTCCCCCTGGTGTTCTCCCTCCACACCCAGCCAGTGCCACCCCCAGCCCCCACCCCGCCTCTGACAGGCCCCAGTGTGTGTTGTTCTTGCCATGTGTCCCTGTGTTCTCATCATTCAGCTCCCACTTGTAAGTGAGAACATGCAGTGTTTGGGTTTCTGTTCCTGCATTAGTTTGCTGAGGATAATGGCCTCCAGCTCCATCCATGTTCCTGCAAAGGACATGATCTTGTTCCTTTTTATGGCTGCATAGTATTCCATAGTGCGTATGTACCAAATTTTCTTTATCCAGTCTATCATTGATGGGCATTTGGGTTGATTTCATGCCTTTGCTATTGTGAATAGTGCTACAATGAACATACCTGTGCATGTATCTTTATAATAGAATGATTTATATTCCTTTGGGTATATACCTAGTAATGGGATTGCTGGGTCAAATGGTATTTCTGTCTGTAGGTCTTTGAGGAATTGCCATACTGTCTTCCACAATGGTTGAACTAATTTATACTCCCATCAGCAGTGCAAAAGCGTTCTTTTTTTCTCTGCAATCTTGCCAGCATCTGTTGTTTTTTGACATTTTAATAATAGCCATTCTGACTGGCATGAGATGGTATCTCATTGTGGTTTTGATTTGCATTTTTTTAGTGATCAGCGATGTTGAGCTATTTTTTTAAACGTGTAACTCTGCTTTTATCGAACAGCTTCATCGGCACCTCTAGACGGCTAGGAGATAATACTCCTCCCTACTACTCAGACAAACAAATTTAACTTGCAGAGAACAGACATGCCTGGTTCACACAGTGATGCTGGTGGAAAGATGAGACAGAAGCTCTCCCCAAGGGCCACTCCATTTGTAGAAACAGATTCCTTCTTATCATTTGGGACTAACCTCTGTCCCTGTGACCAATTAAGCCTATGATAGGCTTAATTAAGCCTAAGATAGGCTCAAGGAAGTTGTGGGAATGCCTCCCTGCCTTACACTGCTCCTTAGGTCTACAACTAGGAATGCATTCTTATTGTAACATCGTGAAGCAAGAGGAATGAAACAGGGAGAACAGGTTGAACAAATGAAAATGGAAATGGGTTTAGAAATCAAAAGCATGTGACTTCAAGAAGAACAATCATGCCTTTCACAGGCAAGGACTGAAAGGTCTTCAAGTGAAGAGTTTTATTAGTAAGATTAAAGAAGGTCTGAATAAACAAACCAGCACTACACAATAAAGACTGAAGATATCCCTGCTGCCTCTAGATGTCTACAGCATCCCCAACAGGTAAGCTCCAGATCTGGAAAAACTCAACTCTTTCATCTGCTTTGTCCCAGCAAAAACTTCATCCTAGAATTTCCCTACAACTCTGTAACACTAGCCTGAGAGCCCTGGCTCCTAGTACACTGTTGGCATTCCTTATTGTAAAATATACGAAGAACAGGCTACAAGAGTCAGGAATCAAGATCAAGATGGAAATTTCTGGGAAAAGAGTGCTGATCCACTCTACCTTCTTAGAAACTCATTCTCAAGCCCAAATGTTTCTTTCTTCAAAATTAACATCCAAATGTTCACTGTATGCCAAAGCATGCCTTAGTAATTTCTATTTTCTTTCCTTTTTTTTAATTAAAATAATTTGTTTTAGAGACAGGATCTTTCTCTGCCACCTAGGCTGGAGGGCAGTGGTGCTATCATAGCTCACTGCAGCCTCGAAGTCCTGGGCTCAAGTGATCCTCTCATCTCAGCCTCCTGGGTAGCTGGAACTACAGGAATGTACCATCATGCCCAATTAATTTTTTTTTTTATTTTTGCCTTTTTAGAGATAGGGGCCTCGCTATGTTGCCCAGGCTGGTCTCTACCCCTGGCCTCAAGTCATCCTCCCCCCTCAGCCTTGGGATGACAGGTGAGAGCCACCATGTTCAGCTTGTCCAGTATTTTCTGATCACTGTTACTAAACCTTTTCTCCCCCTTCTTAGTAATGAATTGAAACAAGTACTTCCTAGTTTATGATAACAGAGTTTCAGCTAGAGAGAAATGGACATGCCCAGATATCTCTAGAAAAGCCAGAAAACACTTCAGTTTCTTTCATGTTATTGTCTTATCAAGTCCTCGTCTACTGCACAGAATGAAATTTAAGGCACGCACACACACACACACACACACACACACACACACACACACCTCAAAATTTAACAATCCAATCACGTTGAAAACAGATGCACTATGAACAAATACACAGTCCAGTTAACAAGTATTTTAAAAGTTAAATCTGAAATTCCTTATGAAAACTTCCAGCAATGTAAACTGAAGGAGACTTTTGTGGTAAATTAAAATGCTTACCGTACTTATAGTTAGATCCAATCCAATGAGACCGGCCTTATTTTGTGATCAAGCATAGTCTTTCTTTCAGACTATTTTGATCGAAATGGGAGAGGATGTAGAAAAAAATTTATGTTTCAGTGGAAAATAATGTATTGTCTAGAGGACACCCCTCCAAAGTGACCTGATTTTAGCCTAAAGTTCTCCTTGGTTTAACAATTCTGCAAACTGTAGATAAATATGAAAAACATCAGTTTTGCCTCCATTTGCACATCCAATCCAACATTCTTTTATCTATATAAATTTGTGCATTTTTTTCCTTTTTTCTTGGAACCAGTTGAAACATCTACTTATTTCCCTCATGAATTAAATGTTTAATGCACGTTCATTTTTATATCTGTATGAGTCATGATCTTACCTTTTTATGAAAATTATCTTTTAAGATATATAAACATTATCATATAATTCAGAAAACCTATATGCTAAATAGTTACAACTAGTATACTATATAATTGGGCAGGAATAATTGCTTCCGAGTGAGAGAAATCAGGTTAAGTGTTCACAGACAGATGCTACTAGTACTTTGCCTTAAGAGTTATTAGAATTTTAAGACTCAGAATTTGAAGAATATTTCAGGCAAACAAAAGGCCTGTTAATCCTAAGGGACTCTCATGGTAATGGACCTAGCCAGCTTTTAGAGTCCCCAAGGAGAGGCCAGACTCAGTCCCGTGTGATTCATGCAGGGGCAATACCCAACTTGGAACCAATCCCAGTGAATCTGTCTACCATCCTACCTGGCAAGGCTTACAGTCCCAACTATTCAACTGAAGAAAGGCTCCTGGGAAACACAGAAGCATGAGGTGTGATGGTAACTGGGATAAGTGGCTCATGGATCCAAAGCAATGTGTCTTGAAATGAGCATCACAACCCACTTCCTGTGTGTCATACAGCAGAACTATATACCACATGCTATACCACAACCTGAATAAATTCCCTATTCCTGCTGCCTCAGTGGGCCAGGTAGTAGTGATATGGATCCAATTATATCCTACTTCTGGAGTCAAACTAAGCTGTATTAACAGCTATTCATCTCTACATTTCTATTTTGCTAATAGTGAAAAGGAAGAGGTAGGTCAGGGGTTCAGAAAATGTAATACATATAAAAATACATATTCACAGAGCATTAACTCAGTCTCCAGCTATTATGGTTTACCTGTGTCAGATTACATTCCTTGATGAATGGATTTTTCCAATGTGAGCCACTGTATGTAAGTCTATTAGACTAGTTAAAATCACCTCTCCACAGTTTTCAGAGACCCATGTCTAGTTAACTACTGATTCCTATTGTGTTGGCTCAAGTTCCAATCTTGCTCCACTTCAAGCTCTGTTTTCCATTGTTAATCTTAGCTCAGTCCTGGTCCTTGCCTTGTATCTTTGTCATCCTCCTCTTAGTCTTAGCTCTGTTTCAGATCCCCCCTTATCTACCATCCCTGACCCAAGTTACTTATAAGGTAAGAACAAGGAGTTACAGCCATGTGAGAAAACACTCTAAGCCCTAAAAGACAGAGCTGTATCACAGTCACGTTTTATGTGTAGGATGTAATGTCCTAATGTGTGAAAGAAAAAGTGGTATTGATCATGTGTATGCCAAATGCTTTGAACTCATTAGAGAAAACACTGTGCCCACCTGGCAAAAAAGGACAGACATGTCCTCTTCCTCCAGCTGAACCATAACTCAATTCTGGCAATGTGATAAGATGGGTGTAACTTGTTGGATGTGGGTACCTACAGCTTTGAACCAGGAAGGATTTAAACACAGGCATCACCTAATCCTCAGGTTTAGCAATAAAGAAGGCATGCTAATTTGCAATCTAAATGGCACACCCATCCATCTGGCAAACTCTTCCTTTGCTCCTCCACCTACAAAACAAAAATCTGGTTTTAGTCATAAGTAGGCTCAGTGTAGGATGGAGCACTGAATAAGATCAAATAGCCAAATGTAAATCAAATGTTAATGTCATCATAACCTAGGGACATAGAAAACCTCTCTTAGGCAATAACTCAAAAGGCCAAATTGGATGTCTCTGTGTTCCTATGCCTAACTAGCTTATTCTGGCTAAAATATCTGAAACACCAAGGATTCTACATGCAGCCAATGTAAGGAAAGAAGGCCTCCCCTCTTGAATTGTTAAGCAAGAACTATAAGAAGTGAGTAGTAATATTCAGATATGTAGGACAGAGGACATATAATAGTGGTAGTAATTATGATAATAAAGATACTAATTCTGATTATTAGTTTCCAACACTTCCTGTACTTATCATGTGCCAAGCACTATGCTAACTACTATCTCATGGAATTCTCACCACAATTCTGTGAAGTAAGTACTATTACTATTCTCAATTTGCAGATGATAAAACTGAGGCTCAGACCTAAATATTAATAACTGGCTTAAGGTCACATGGTTGATATGTGATAAAACCAGAATTTAAACTGTGAACACACAATCCTAACCACTACAAACTATCCCACAGAAACAGGGCCTTTGAAGACAGCAAGAAAAAGTTGACAACAAAGAGCAATTTTTCAATCTCTACAGACTCTGTTCAGAGGGAAGAGAGAAATATAAAGGACTTTTACTATCTCTGAATTGAACCACATATTCTCTCTTACCCCCAATTCACCCTAAGGTTTCAAAACTGCTTTTATTTACAAAATTACCATTTCGTTCTTTCTGTCATTAATGTTCTCCATGGTCTTTCATCCCTGATTTCTCAACTTTTATATGCCTGGGAATTCACTAGTTATAGTTTATAAAACCAGGTAGCTAGGTGCCTATCTAATTACTTAGGGTGTGAGCTATGCTAGGGAGCTTCTGGTCTCTGGAATAAACCTAAATTCTATTTAATCAGTCTTTCTTATAGAAAGGCCACAAAACACTGCAGCCTCTAGGTTCTAGTCACCACCTAATAATAACTATGTCAGAAGTCCCAGAACTACTTTCTCATCCAAATCTCCTAATATTTGGGAGAGTG